>NC_000016.10:29432107-29747315 GCF_000001405.40 Homo sapiens
CCACCGCACCTGGCCTTTACTTACTTACTTATTTGTTTTTTGAGACAGTCTTACTGTCACCCAGGCTGGAGGGCAGTGGCATGATCATGGCTCGCTGCAGCCTTGCCCTCCCAGGCTCATGCAATCCTCCAACCTCAGCCTCCCAAGTAGCTGGGACTACAGGCGCCCACCACCACACCTGGCTAAAACAAGGTTTTGCTCTGTTGGCCAGGGTGGTCTCAAACTCCTGGACTCAAGCGATCCGCTCACCTCAGTCTCCCCAAGTACTGGGATTTCAGGCGTGAGCCACCGCGCCCAGCCCCAAAGGAGGCTGTTATGTTAAACACACATATCTCATTTCCCCCCTCCCACAAAAAATGGTGCAAGAATAAACTGAGCTAAAACAGTGAGTTGACTATGGTGGGGGGAGGTTTGATGTCTTCCTCACAACTATGAAACTAAATTTAAAAGTGGTTAAATGTTTTTTAAAAAATGTAAGAGGATAAAAGAACTAGTGGAAAATATTGATAAGTAACTGATGTCAGTGTGTGGAAAGGCTTTGTAGAAGGATAAAATGCAAGAAAAGATGCACAAGTAACAGCATCTAGATGCATAATGCTGAAATACAACACTAAACATTAAAAACAAATTATAAATCAAGAAATTGGATAGCATCAACAATCTTAGTATTTAATGAAATTTCACAGATTAACACAGGAAAAATTGAGAGGCCATGAAGACATGATCCATGTTTTAAAAAATCACAAATGGTCACTATATGGGGCAACTTCTACTATTAGTCATTAATACATATAGAAATGTAAAGTACAATAACTATTTTCGCTGATGGTGGTGGCAGCATTCTTGTTTCTCAGTGACTCTCAGTATCCACAAAGGTGAAGGGAAGGGTGTACTCTATTATTAAGGGTATACATTGCAGCCATCTTTTCTGTAGAGTAACTTAGCAATAGAATATATCATAAGACTTATGGTTTGGCAGCCTTTCTTCTAGTAAATCAGTTTATGAGAATGGATTCCAAGAAAGTAATCAGAAATATAAGCAAAGATATTAAGTGCTATGGTACATTTAGTAAAAAAAAAATCAGAAACAACCTTAATGCCCAACAGTAAGAAATATTAAATTATGGTACACTCATAAATACAAATCTTTATTAAAAATAACACTGTAGAATACTTAACATGGCAATTTTTTTTTTTTTTTTTTTTTGAGACAGAGTTTTGCTTTTGTTGCCCAGGCTGGAGGGCAGTGGCACAACCTGGGCTCACAGCAACCTCCGCCTCCCGGGTTCAACCGATTCTCCTGCCTCAGCCTCCCAAGTAGCTGGGATTACAGGCATGTGCCACCACACCCCACTAATATTTTTTGTATTTTTAGTAGAGACGGGGTTTCACCATGTTAGGCTAGTCTCAAACTCCTGACCTCAGGTGATCCACCTGCCTCGGCCTCCCAAAGTGCTGGGAATACAGATGTAAGCCACCGAACCCAGCCTACCTAACATGGCAAATTTTTTTTTTTAAATATTGAGTGGGAAAAACAGATCATAAAACCATGTGCCTATGTATGCTGCTGTTTTGGTGAAGAATGGAGAAAACGACATGAAAGAAAAAAGAATTACAAAGCATATGGATATGGAAATATGGGACTACAAAAGGACACACAACAGAAGTTACTACAAAGATATGGAAGAATGAGCAGTTCTTTTATTTTCCTAAATTCGCAAGATTTCATTAAACTAACATAAATGGACACAGAATATTATGGTACAAGCTCCTCTATCTGGAGGAAGCAATGAGTCTGAATGTAGAGTTCACAGGACTAATGAGCAAATACTCTGACAATAAAGGGTAATTTGTATCAGACTCTGAGGGGGAAGGAGCTCAACTAGGGATCAAGTTCAAAAGCATTTATAAAACAACTGACAGGTCTTGTTTTTCAGTGTGATTTGCCACTAATTCTTAAATAAGAAAGGCACTCAAGTATTACTGCTAACTAAAGAACAAACTGAAGATGCCTCCTGGTGAAGTGATTTATAGCAAGCTTCAATGCTGAAAGCAAACAAAGCTGTTTTAAGATTTGGCTACAATGTCAGTGAGTAATACAAAGAATTTAAACATAAAGTAATTCTATCACCCATTTCCTTCCCTCCAACCTACCTCCCTTCAGCCTGTTGAGCCACTGAGTTAATCCACAGAAGATTTTTTCCAACAATAGATGATGACCAGACAGCAATTCCCTGTATAGCTTCAGGACAATGAAGTTCACATAGTGCTTCTACCACCATCATAATGGTTACTTCCAATTCATTCCCCTGAAAACGCATTCAGAAAAGTTAGTCACCCAATACCATTAAAACATAAATCCCTATAAAATTTACAACTGATCACAGTCTGTGCCTGCTTAAAGCCAAATGTATTTAACAATTATTTTCACAATTTTCACATTATTTAGCTCAGAATTCTTTAAAATGTTACATATAAAATAGCCACAAAGGGTGACTAACAGAACCTTAGCAGCACATGGATGTTTGCACCCCCACCCCAAAGTTACCCAAACATTTAACCTGTGACCTCTGTAGGAATAACACATGGAGTAAAAAGAAAGCAAAAATTAAATATAAATAAACAGGAATTAAAGAATGATTAACTTCATGTGTTTGAATACTGCTTGACATTACCTGAATTGCTAAACATTTTGTTATTTTTGGATTCCAGTTATTTATTGTGAGCCCACTTTCAAGCCAGGAATTACTCAAGCATTTGTCATATGTTATAAAAACAATTTCTCCTGGCCAGGTGCAGTGGCTCATGCCTGTAATCCCAGCACTTTGGAAGGCCAAGGTGGGCGGATCACTTGTGGTCAGGAGTTCGAGACCAGCCTGGCCAACATGGTGAAACCCTGTCTCTACTAAAAATACAAAACTTAGCTGGGTATGGTGGTGGGTGCCTGTAATCCCAGGGACTGAGGCAAGAAGAGGCTTGAACCCGAGAGGCGGAGCTTACAGTGAGCCGAGATCACACAACTGCACTCCAGCCTGGGCGACAGAGTGCTGTGTCTCAAAAAAATAAATAAATAAATAAAAAATTTCCCCCATAAACAAATTTTCAGAATTACCTTTAAAGTTCTAAACTTTGCACATAAGAAATATAGTTTTAACATGTTCTAAGATGAATATTGTTTTAACATGAACAAAAACATGAACATTATTTTAACTTCTAACACTGTTTTAACACGAATAAAATAGGTAACTCTGGCAGTTGTTGCTTTTACAAAATACAGGATCAAAACCTTTGAAAATGAATCCAAGCTTTAACTTATTTTATCCATAGATTAAATCATACCAAAGGAATTAAACCATGTTTTTCTTATTAACAGACTTAAAATGAATTTCAAACACACCACTTTACCTGAGATAGGCTGGTTGTTTTCATCTCTGTAAGCAAGTCAAAGCCATGTCTCACTGTCACTGCAGGCTGGCCTGCCAACAATCCTACCCTCATGATGGAGAGTCGAATCCGCGTTAGCCAGTCCTGACAAGTTTGGTGATTGGTATAGAAAAAAGTTCTAATGACCTTTACGATAAGAGAAAGAAAAGCTCAGGACTGGTTCAATTTGTAGGTAAGGATGTCTCACCTATATATAAACCAAATACACAAGTCTATTGTGATTTCAGCTCTGCACATACTGCCAGCTGTGACCATTAAACTGCTATAAAACAACACTATCTCATGGAAACCAACCTTGGGAGGTGAAGTTAATGCATTAGCACATCCCTCGTATGCATTATACATTAATTTCTCCAGATATTCCAGATACTGCAGAAGAAGAACAAGTCTAAGTTGGTTGTTACCATGGCCTTCATCACTGTCTGCAGTTGTCCACTGACTAACATCCTGATCAGGGTTTAATGTGTGAGCTGCGAGACTTCGAATGATACCTGAAAGCAAAGACAACATTCTGAATTTTTAAAAATCTTAAAAGTTCCTAGAATAAGTGTGAGTTTTTTATGACCAATTCACATTTATCAAGTATCCTCTGTCTACCCATCATTTAAAAATAAAAAATCCCAACATGAAAGATCTTTCATTTTAGGGGAAAAAAATATATATTTTTTCCACACAACTCCCATAAGTTTTGGGAAAAAAACAAACATATTTCCAATGCAATTATTCAATGAAAGCTTATTCTAACAAACATACCTGAAAATTATTGACTTCTTTTCAAAAAAATCATATACTCTCAAATCTTTAACAAAGATTTAAAAATCCATTATTTCTTAATAAGGCTTTGAAAGTATTCACATCACAAAGCTTGAGCGAGTTACCTTCAATTGTCTGGAAGGTGTCTTGAGCTCTGCCCAGTGGGGTTCTCAGCTTAGAAAGAACAGTGAATTGTGCAGCTTCCCATATGGCCCACTGCCAAAGGATAGCATCTGTCTTCAGGAGATTGCGTGGAATTGTTGACTGGTCATGCTTATCCAGTCTCTGGCAGCTATAGAACAGTCTTTCCAACCAATTGTCCTTCCTGGGAAAAGTAGTTTCATATTTAAAAGACAATGACAACTTCATTTTAATAATGAAAAAAAAATGCAAGGGGAATGGGAATAAGGAACTGTAATTTTCCCTACTCCAAAAAAAGGCAAAACCTATGAAATTGAGAAGCATTATGTCCCCCCCCTCTTATTTTGAGGTCTTTTATAGTTAACAGGATGAGGTACAGTGTGGAAGGATGATTAGGGTAAACGGCTCATGCCGGTCAGGAATGAAACTCATTCAATGCAACTAAGCATCTCTAGAATATCTCCACCCCCACCCCATTCCCCAAAGTGTTAATGACATCACATCAGTTAACTGTTAACCACATTTCATTACTCAATTTCAAAGCCCATTTTTGTTTCTACAGATGCTATCTTCAAAGTAATTTTCCTATTGATGAAAACTGAAATAACCCATATGAGAAGAATGTTACTTGATACTCTGCCACCCCCAAACATATTTTCTCTTCAAAACTGCATGTAAAGTCAAGGGAATCTTAAAATTATCTTTCCTAGATAAAATAGTCAAAGAAATGCCTTACCCTGTTCTATGAGAGTTCCCATACAAAATAAAACTAATAACATCAGAGAAATCTTGGGGGTGGAATGTATTACTTGGTGCTTTACTCATGTGACTTCTTAATGCTAAAGAAATTTCTTGAATTTCTGTGTGATTGTTATTGCTGTAGACAGAAAACAAAGTTGTTGTTACGCAAAATATTTTAGCTTAAAAGGTTAGCACATACTGTAAGTGGATTATTTACTTATTAACTCACTGGAGGTAAAAATATAGAAAAATTGAGACTTTCAAATGGATACGGAGATGTGATTACAACTTTAGATCCTTTTTTTATTCACTTCAGATGGGTCATGTGCCGACATCATAAGAGGATTTGAGGGAGGCATATCAAACATGTGAACATAAAAACCCAATCATTATGCTTATGTATTACAAAAGGATCAAGTTTAGGCTCTTAAAAGCTCCCAAATCAACTTGATCAAAAACAATAAAAGATTACTGTTTAGTTTTTCAAATATCTGAGCTACTAAGAAACATATTTTGGCACTACATGAGTTATTCTATACTAATTATTGTGAGCCTATAAAGCTCATTAAAAATTTTTAATTTTCTTGCAGACCTGCAAAATTTGATTATTTGACATCACTTCAATCACTGACAAGCAGGGCCATAAAAGATGTGTCATTAATGCTCTAATAGGTGATCTGTCTTCTCCTAAAGTAGACAACCAGTAGAGGCTGTAAATATCACAGAATGTCTTTGCTCCAAAACAACTGTTATACCTTAGGATAACATCTAAAGGAATTGATTTCAACAGTTTTCCAAATGCTTGTCGAATACGAGTTCCACAGTGCACTAGTTGAACACGGCAAACATCAACACATCTATGAAAGAACGAAATAGACAAAGCAGGTGTGTTAACATTTCAAAGTTATTAGGGTTAATGTCAAAAGACATGATCTTAATTTCATACCTCTGTAAAAGATCATCTGGCAAGGAAGAGGACAGAGCAGGTAGACTGCTGCATGCCTGCAGACAGATATTCACATCTTCAACGAGAGCTATTAAACATTAAAAGACAGTTACTTTCAGCTGGCCAAAAGAAATTATATCCCAGTTTGTCATAATTATCTGAATCCATTCATTCATTCAACAAAGAGTGAGTGCCTACTCTAGACTAGGCACTGTTCTTGTCCAGAATCCTCATTGACTGTCACGTTTGGAAAAATGACACATTCAACAAAACCCACGTAATGTAACTGATGGGTCATCACACAAAACTTTTTCTGAGAGAAAATGTAAAAGTATATGCAAACTATAAACATTCACGTAAGCTTAAAAATGTGACAATCACTTCAAAACATTTTTCTAATACTAAGAATGAAAAAAAATCAAGACTGTGTATCTGTCATTAAAATGAGGATTACACATCTGCAGGTCAGGAAAAGAGCTCTATTGATGACCATCTCCCATTACCAAGGATTGATAAACAAAATAGAAAAAAAAAAACAGAGTCTTACTGTTGGCTAAAAGGCCTTTGCAAAATTTATGGAAAGACGGAAGACAGAATAAAGGTGCATATGTTTCGGACTTCTTCATTAAAACAGCTACTTCCAAAGCCCAAGTCATTAACAGTTTCCTGAAACACAAAATATACAGTTGACTGTACATTAAAAACAATAACAAAAACAAAAAAACGTTAAAAGCCTAGTCTTCTTACATTGGTTTTCTCTTGGTTTTTCAAACATCTCAAACAATAAAAAATAAAAATAAAAAATGAAACTATAGAAATTACTGTCAAAATTGTTGTGTGCCTTTTAAGAAAACCTCCCAACGCAGCATGATAATAGCAAAGAGGCCGGGCGTGGTGGCTTACCTGAGGTCAGGAGTTCAAGACCAGCCTGGCCAACAACATGGTGAAACACCATCTCTACTAAAAATACAAAAATTAGCTGGGTGTGGTGGCGGGCACCTGTAATCACGGCTACTTGGGAGGCTGAGGCAGAAGAATTGCTTGAACCTGGGAGGCAGAGGTTGCAGTGAGCAAAACTCCGTCTCAAAAACAAAAAAAGCATAGAATATTAAAAATCTATATATATTCTTCTATGAAACACTGGGGGTGGGGGATTGAGGTTTTTCATGTATTTCTTTTCAGAAAGAATAAGAAAGCCTAGATTAAATAATAAAACCAAATTATAAGGTGTTTGACAGTAAAGAAGCTGCTCTACCTCACCTCTATAATCCACATTTTTTAAAATTTTTTGTAATTCACATTTCTTATTCTCAAATTATAAAGGCAAATTAACAAAGTTAGGAATAGTTAATACTATATAAAATCTGTTACCTCGTGTCCTGGTTAAGGTTATCTTTCTTAAGTAATATTCACAGAAGATTTAATATAATTGAGAAATGTTTCTTTGTGGCCGTAGTTACAGTGCTAATCACAGCTCCATCAAACAAAGAAGGAGAGGAAGAACTGAGGCTACTAGAGATAAAGTGATCATGCCTGAAAGACAAAGCATAGATTATCTTTTCATCTTTAATCAAAGAAAGCAAGCAAGTCCAAAGTTAAATCAACATACATCTTTAAAATCTATCCATTAAAAAAATAAAATGTTTTGTGGGGTTCTTAAGAAAAATTTGTGAATACAGTACCTGGTACAATGAGAATACAATGTGTAGAGCACAGCATACTGAATGGCAGGGAAGTGAACAGCCAGGTCACTGTGCACAATCATCAGATTCTTACTCAGAAGTGCAAAGACAGTTGGAGATAGCGCCCACATCTGATCATGTACAAAACAAAGTAAGTTTATGGCTTCTCCAAAATAAGCACAAGCATACAGAGTTTATCCTTCAAAACAGGGGTATTTGGACTTTTTTTATTTGGACATTTTTAAATTAAAATTACAGATTGGAAGGGATCTAGTACACTACACCTTGGACAAATACTTTTTTGTGAAGTCAGTAAAGCCTTTGCGTGCAATATAGCATCTCTATGCAATGCAGCAACTCCTTGTCTATCGCTACAGTAAGAAAACAGCCACAGGTCAGGTGTTGTGGCTCACACCTGTAATCCTAGCACTTTGGGAGGCTAAGGTGGGCAGATCACTTGAGCCCAGGAGTTTGAAACCAGCCTGGGCAACACAGCGGGACCCCATCTCTACTAAAATTACAAAAATTAGCTGGGCATGGTGGCGCACACTTGTAATCCCAGCTACTCGGGAGGCTGAGGCAGGAGAATCGCTTGAACCTGGGAGGCAGAGGTTGCAGTGACCCGAGATCATACCAATGCACTCCAGCCTAGATGACAAAGTTAAGACTCTCTCTCTCAAAACAAAACACCAGCCACATACGAAACACAGGAATGAGAGTACCTGTGTTCCAAGAAAACTTTCTTGAGTCGGAGTCTCTCGCTCTGTTGCCCAGGCTGGAGTGCAATGGGGCGATCTCAGCTCACTGCAACCTCTACCTCCGGGGTTCAAGCAACTCTCCCTGCCTCAGTCTCCCAAGTAGCTGGGACTACAGGTGCCCATCACCACGCCCTGCTAACTTTTGTATTTTTTTAGTAGAGATAGGGTTTCACCATGTTGGCCAGGCTGGTCTTGAACTCCTGAGCTCGGGTGATTTGCCCGTCTCGGTCTCCCGAGGGATTACAGGCGTGAACCACTGCGCCCAGCCCAACGAGAACTTTCTTTACAAAAACAGGCACTAGTGTTGCGATGGTTGTACACTTCTGTGAATATACTAAAAATCAGTGAATTATACACTTAAAATAACAAACAAAAAACAGGTGCTGGGCTGTATTTGGCCCACGGACCATAGTTTGCTGATCTCTGGTCTAAACAGAGCCCTTTGTATGTGCCTTTTGCGGAAGTAGACTGTATTTCTTCAATTTTCCATATACTGCAAATGGCAAGGTGCCCTGTTCAATAAGGAAACAAAGGCACACCCTGCCACTATACACCTTTTCCATCCATCTTGTTCCTTTACACTGCCAAGACACTCCATTCCACCTGACTGCCCCAGCCCCACCCACTTTCTCCTTATTTCTAGAGTACAGGACATAAACATCTTTGAATCTGCAAATAATGTGAATAATTTTCCTCAAAAATCAAGCTTTCATGTTTGAAGAAGAGTTTATTGTGACTTCAAACATAAGCTGTAACTGGTAATAAGCGAAGCAGCTATGGAATTATACAAGGCAATCCAATCAAACAACATGGAGCACACTGAAGCGCAAACATCAAATTTTACCTTTTTCCTCCTAAAAACTTTATTCCCTAATTACATCCATTACTTTCTTTCTTTGTTTCTTTCTTTTTTTTTTTTTCTTTTGAGACAGAGTCTGGTTCTGTAGCCCAGGCTGGAGTGCGGTGGTGTGATCTCAGCTCACTGCAACCTCCACTTCCTGGGTTCAAGCAATTCTCCTACCTCAGCCTCCAAAGTAGCTAGGATTACAGGTGTGCACCACCACCCCTGGCTAATTTTTCTATTTTTAGTAGAGGCGAACTTTCACCATGTTGGCCAGGCTGGTCTCAAACTCCTGACCACAAGTGATCAGCCCGACGTGGCCTCCCAGAGTGCTGGGTTTACAGGTGTCAGCAACCGTGCCCAGCCTACACCTATTATTTTCTATTAAAAATAATGTTTTTCAACTCTGTGTGGTCCAATAGGAAGAAGAAATACACAAACCATAAACAATAAATACAAATCAAGAGCAGGGCCACGTCGAATTACTTAAAAAAAAAAACACACGGGCTGGGCGCGGTGGCTCGTGCCTGTAATTCCAGCACTTTGGGAGGCTGAGGCGGGTGGATCACCTGAGGTCAGGAGTTTGAGACCAGCCTGGCCAACATGGTGAAACCAAGTCTCTACTAAAAATACAAAAATTAGCCCGTCGTAGTGGCAGGTGTCTGTAATCTCAGCTACTCGGGAGGCTGAGGCAGGAGAATTGCTGGAACCCGGGAGGCAGAGGTGGCAGTGAGCCGAGATTGCACCACTGCACTCCAGCCCAGGTGACAACAGCATGACTCTGTCTCCAAAAAAAAAAAAAGCTTTTTTTTTCCCCCCTCCTAAAAGAAAGACTACAGGTTGAGTATCCCTTATTCAAAATGCTTGGGACCAGAAGTGTTTCAGACTCTGTATATGTTTGGATTTGAGAATACTTGCACATATATAAAATGAGATATGTGGGGGACGCGACCCAAGTCTAAACACGAAATTCACTTATATTTCATAGACGCCTTCTATTCATAGCCTGAAGGTCATTTTATGCAATATTTTAAATAATTTTGTGCATACAACAGTTTGGACTCATCACATGAGGTCGGGTGTGGGATTTTCCACTTGGGGCATCATACTGGTGCTCAAAAAGTTTCAAATTTTGGAGCATTTTAGATTTAGGATTTTCAGATTAGGGGTGCTCACCAGTAAGTGTTATGAAAATATTCCAAAATCCGGCTGGGCATGGTGGTGCCCACCTGTAATCCCGGCATTTTGGGAGGCCAAGGCAGGTGGATCACCTGAGGTCAGGAGTTCACAACCAGCCTGGCTAACATGGTGAAAACC
This sequence comes from Homo sapiens, assembly GCF_000001405.40. Lineage (NCBI taxonomy): Eukaryota > Metazoa > Chordata > Mammalia > Primates > Hominidae > Homo > Homo sapiens. The sequence goes on from NC_000016.10 coordinate 29,442,731, forward strand.
CATCTCTACTAAATACAAAAAAATTAGCCAGGCGTGGTGGCGCATGCCTGTAATCCGAGCTACTTGGGAGGCTGAAACAGGAGAATCGCTTGTACCCGGGAGGCGGAGGTTGCAGCGAGCCAAGATTGCGCCATTGCACTCCAGCCTGGGCAACAAGAGTAAAACACTATCTCCAAAAAAAAAAAAGTATTCCAAACTCCAAAATCAAAAACACTTCCAGTCCCAAGTATTTCAGATAAGGAATATTCAACCTGTATGAATGTTCCTAGGGAAAAAAAGACAGCCAAAATATAAGACCATGTATAAGAACTAACTTCAGTAGACAGAAAGAAAAAAGTACCAGGGGAAGAAGAAAGAGACCGCATTTTAAAACAACTATACAAATTTGAGCTGTAAGAAACACTGACATTTTCTATAAGCATGCTAGAGCAAATGGGAGAAATTCATAAGACGTTTTCTAGAAAATAAAACTAATATAAAAAAACTTATCAAGATTTGTCAAGGAAAAAGAAGAAACGTTAAATATAATGGCAAGAAAACATTCCTACCAATTTTATTTATCCAGGCATGTCTTAAATATGGCTGTTTGTTACATACAGTGATTCTGCAGACATGTTGACATGACAGTGAAATACATAAATATGTAATGAGAAAAGGCTTAACTGTGGATAAAACAAAGTCATTACAATTAAAGACTCGAGTTTTTGGCATTTCCAATTGTAGTCAGGGCACTGAGGTCAAATTTAACTACAAATTTTGCATTGTCTACATTGAACACATGATTCTTAAAAGCCTCATGTTTTATTTCAGAACAGGCCTCAGGAAGTTGCAGACTGTGCAGGAGGTTGTTTAGGGCACAAGTCATTTCTCCCAATATTAACTTATAGGCAGTCTCCAAAACAGGAATATTCTTCAAGCTGAGCATTGCTTGATAAACAGCATGGGCTACAGCAACAACCTGAAAAACAAAAAATTCAAGGAAGTGATAAATGGAAAATAAATCTTCTAAAATTATATGGAAAATAAATCACTATCTGTATTAGTGCTGATGATACAAATAAATTTAAGATTGATCAATTCACTGTCCGTAGCACTTAATATTTTAATTTTTAAAAAACCAATCAGAAAACTGACACAGATCAGTATGCTATTTCAAATCTATTAAGTTTTATCACAAATAAAGAGTACTATAAATGAAAACTGTCAATAGGAAATTTCCAAAATGGCCGTTTTTTTTTAAATAATCAACATCAAAAGACATATGCAAACAGCAATTTAAGACTGGGTTTCTTAAATCTACCAGGAAAGTCTGTGGTGGATTTGACTAGGGGGTGGTTGAAAAGCCAGTCATTTTTGTTTACAAAATATACAGTACTTAATTTATAACTTTATAAATGTGTCAACTTGTTTTACCCTTATGAAAATTTAATAAATTTAATAACAGCAAGAGATGCATAGTCTGAAAAGAGTATCTGGCACATCATTCATGAAAGTATTCAGTATGATTATCAAGAAATATAAATTTAAAAGAACAAATACAATCACTATATTCTAAATCAAACATTTCACATTTCACTCAATTTCACTTATATAGCCTGGTAAGCAACATTAGGTCCAACTCTTCAGTGACTCAAGTTGTCAAAATTCATTATCAGTGTATTACTTACCTCTTTTTCTTTATGATAACGCAAGAATAGTAGTTTAGATGATGGTATAAACAGTTTTTCTACAAATGATGATGGCAGTTTCGTATTTATCTGTTCAACAATCTAAAAGAATAAAATTTTTAAAAAATGAGCTTCTCAAATTACAAAAAGACATGGAGAAACCTTAAATGCACACTGGTAAGTGAAAGAAGTCAATTGAAAAGGCTACATACTATATGACTCCAACTACATGGCATTCTGGAAAAGGCAAAACGATGGAGACAGTAAAAAGATCAGGGGTTGCCATGGGCTTAAGATGGAGGGAGGGAGGAGTGAGGAGAGGGAACGAGGAAGGAGTGGGTAGAACATCAAAGATTTTTAGGGAAGTGAAACTATCCTGTATGATACTGGTAATAGGGGATACATGTCATTACACATGTTAAAGTCCATAGAATACATAACACAAAGTAAACTATAAAATTAGTTAATAATAATATATCAATATTCACTCCTTTGTAATAAATGTACCACACTAACACAATATGTTAATGAGGGGGAAACTGTTGGGATGAAGAAGGTATATGGGAACTCATTGTTTTCTGCTCAATTTTCTGTATATCTAAAAAATAAAGTCTTTTAATTTAGAAAAATATATCTAAGCTATATTTTAAGGCCTTAATACTGTGACATTAAAGTGTTTAGACACCTAAATAGGACACACGTATTTTACAGTTATCATGGGCATTTTTTCACATTAGCAAAGAGAGGTGTAATTCTGGCAGAAATGCTCAGCAGAATGTCATCTAGAATTTGCTTTAAAATAATCCAGCTGGAGATGAAAGGATAGCAAAGAGGCCTAGATGAAACCAGATGGGCCATTTGTTTCTAATTATAGAAGCTGAGTGTTAAATATGTACAAATTTATTATACTATGCTCCCTATTTTTATGTGCTTCAGAATGTCCATAATAAAAGTGGGGGGAGGATATTTATGGTTAAGAAATTAAAGGAGGCCGGCCGGGCGTGGTGGCTCACGCCTGTAATCCCAGCACTTTGGGAGGCCAAGGCAGGCAGATCACGAGGTCAGGAGATCGAGACCATCCTGGCTAACATGGTGAAACCCCGTCTCTACTAAAAATACAATTGTGCCACTGCACTCCAGCCTGGGCAAAAGAGCGAGACTCCGTCTCAAAAAAAAAAAAAAAAAAAAAAAAAGAAATTAAAGGAGGCCAGGCATGATTGCTCACACCTGTAATCCCAGCACTTCGGGAGGGCAAGGCAGGAGGATTACTTGAGACCAAGAATTTAAGGCCAGTCTAGACAATGTAGTGAGACCCCTTCTCTCCAAAAACTACAAAGGTTAGCCAGGCATGGTGGCATGCATCTGTAGTCCCAGATAGTCGGGAGGCTGAGTGGGAGAATCACTTGAGCCCAGGAGTTTGAGGCTGCAGTGAGCTCTGATTGTACCGCTGCACTCCAGCCAGGGGAATACAGCAAGATCCTGTGACAAAAAAAAAAAAAAAAAGAAAAAAGAAAAAAAGAAAGAAAAGAAAAGAAAAGAAAAGCAAAAAAGAAAGAATCTGGTGCGTAGAGCAATGTTTCCTCAGAAAAAACGAGTAAAGCTACACTGAGACTAGCTATCAACCACTAAAAATAGAGGCCTGGCAGAGTGGCTCATGCCTATAATCCCAGTACTTTGGGAGGCCAAGGCAGGTGGATTGCTTGAGCCCAAGAATTCAAGACCAGCCTGGGCAACATGGCAAAACTCCATCTCTACAAAATAATATAAAAAATTAGCCAGGTGTGGTGGTGCACGCCTGTAGTCCTAGCTACCTGGGGGGCTGAGGTGGGAGGGTCACCTGAACCCAAGAGGTCAAGGCTACAGTGAGCCAAAATCATGCCACTGCACTTCATCCTGTGCAACAGAGTGAGACCCTGTCTCAAAAAAAAATTGCATTAAAAATAAAAGTAAATAGACACTAAAATGAAAGCATAGATTATAAGACTGATGAATGTACTCTAAAAAATAATATAATAAAGCAAAGCCCTTATTTTTTTTCTTTTTTGGAGACAGGGCCTTTTTTGTCACCTTGGCTGAGTGCAGTGGCACAATCAGAGCTCACTTCAACCTCAAGTTCCTGGGCTTAATCGATCTTCCTCCCTCAGCCTCCCGAGTAGCTAGGACTGCAGGTGCACACCACTACACCAAGCTAATTTTTGACTTTTTGTACAGATGGGGTCTCACTACATTGCCCAAGCTGTGCCAGAATTCCTGGATGCAAGCAATCCTTCTGCTTTGGCCTCCCAAAGTGCTGGGATTACAAGCATGAGCCACCATACCCAGACAAAGTCCTTAATTTCTTACATATCGATTTAAGGGCCTGAATAAACCAACACATTAAAAAGGAAAAGAATAATTCACATACCAGCGTGAGTAAATTCAAGACTGAGATGATATAATCGGTACCACAAGTCTGGCAATTCTCCAGTTGGTCTAATCCATATGTAATGACCATGTCACAATGTATAGTCATGCTAGGATCCAAGCTGCCGAGCAAAACACCAACACACTCATTAGCAGCTGTCAACACAGCCTCAGAAAAAAACACCTGGTTTGCAGCCGTCACACATCTCATTACTCTGTACAGAACCTGTAAATGGGGAAAACAAGCAGCTTTTTACAAAAATTCACGTGCTTCCACAAAGCAAGAAAATACTTTTTATTTAATGCAATTTCAACTGAAAATTAACTGCTTGCCTTGCCAGCAGTCTCTTAATATTCTAGTTCTCAGTAGCTGAATAATAATGATCCCTTTACTACAATATGTAAACATGATCTTGGCTAAAAAATCCTAAAGTGCTACTATGACAGGAAATGGAACCTGCCATCCTCTATTTCCCATATACCCAACTTCGTTTCTCCCAATGTCACTAAATGGCTGAAGCTCAGAATCTTTATCATGAAATACACCACGACAGTAATGGTATTGACAGCATGGGAATAGCCTGCCCACACATACTACAAGCTAGCTCTTGGGCTTTTGGGAATCAATCTTTCAAAACTGAACATACAAGTCACTTTAAGCTTATTAAAGTTTCTATCTACTGATGGTCTCTTTTGAAAGATAAGCACTCTCATGCTTACCACATAATATCTTCAAAAATCATATTATTTCCAATACACACACAAACAAAATCCCCCACTTAACTATAATGGCCAATAATTGTGTACTAAATTTCTAATAAAATGGGGGAGAAAACAGAGCAAATGTTTAAAAATATTTCTATAATATTTAACAACCAATACATACAGGATTTTATTTAGTCTACCCATAGTTTTCATTAAAAGTATCCTTGGAGGTTGGGCATAGTGACTCACATCTATCATCCTAGCACTTTGAGAGGATTAGCTGGAAGGTTCTCTTGAGTCCAGGAGTTTGAGACCAGCCATGTCAACATAACAACACCTCATCTCTACCAAATTTGTTTTTAAATTAGTTGGGCGTGGTGGCTCACACCAGTAGTCCCACCAACTACTTGAGGCTGAGGTGGGAGGATCACTTAAGCCTGGGAGGTCAAGGCTGCAGTGAGCCAAGATCGTGCCACTGCACTCCAGCCTGGGCAACAGAGACCATGTCTCCAAAAAAAAAAAGAGTGGGGGAGAGAGGGCGGAGGGGGAACCATTCTTGGCCATGCATGCACAGTGGCTCATGTCTATAATCCCAACACTTTGGGAGGCTGAGGTGGGAAGACTGCTTGAGGCCAAAAGTTCAAGACCAGCCTGGGAAACACTGAGACCCCATCTCTACAAAAATAAAAAATTAGCAGGAACTATGGTGGGAGGATCACTTGAGCCCAAGATACAGAGGCTGCACTGAGTCGTGATGGCACCACCCCACTTTAAAAAGAAAAACAAAAAAAGCTGGGTATGGTGACACCCGCTTGTAGGGCTGAGTGAATGGGAAGTTCACCTGGGCCCAAGAGTTCAAGACTACAGTGAGCTATGATTGCACTACTACACTCCAGCCTGGGTGACAGAGTGAGGCTCCAGCTCCAAAAATAAATAAAAAAAATAAAAACCCCACCATTCTACCATTCTCAAAGGCCTAAAAGATCCTCATAAATCAATATACACCTATCCTATAAATTATGTCCCTTTTATTTTATGTCTGAATTAACGGCTTTTTATTTCAACTCTGTACAGTCTTCAACCACCTTTTAGACATTAAAAATGAAGCAAAGATATTAAACCATTTTGAAACCATATTGGTTTAAAATACCAATATGCTGGTTTCATTTATCTTTAAGTTCTGACATTTCTGCTCAAGTACACAACTTACTATATAATCAATATCCTATTTTATTTAGCAACATGTTCAGCAAAAGTATATGCTCCTAAAAGCGAGTTTTATCCTAACAGTAAAATTTTCATCAGTTAGATTAATTTTTTTATGACTGTATCACACATGCTTCTTTCTCCTTATTCAAAGCAGAGTACAATGCCTGGGGTTCATTTCTTGTGTCTTTTCCACTGAACCCTCATTGGATGTGCTATATACAGTGCAGCTAATGTTTGAGGCTGCTGAAGTGTGGCAATCTAGCTACCTCATTTTTAATTTGTTTATGTTCTTTGATATCAGGCTATCAAAGAATATAAAGATATACAAGTTTTCATATGAGTTCCATCTTATGCTCAGAGAAGGTTACTTTCTGAGGCTTCTCCTATAGTGTGCTATTCGTAATATGTTGAAAAACTAAAAGGAAACCCAATAATTTAAAAGTAAAATTATAAGAAATATTATTTCTTATAATAATACCGGCGCAGGAGGGCAGCACCAGAGGCCAGTGGCACTCCCAGCTCGGTGAGAGGGCTGGGAAGCCAGGGAATAAAACTGGGAGGGTGGGGTGGGGCTGGTGTTTGGGGCACCTCAAACTCACAACATTGGGAATCTTTGTGGGTCCGGGAATGGTAATCCTGAGGCCTCAGAACACAGGTTTCAGATTGATAGGCCTGCAGGTCTCCAGGCAGCAACCAGCTGAGCGACTAAAGGGCCCAAGGCCAGGGCTCTAGGGATGGGGCTCAGCAGAGGCTGGGGTAAGGGGAGCCAGGGAGGAGCTGGGCCTAATGCAGCACCGGGTCCCCAGGATGCCGTGTCTCGGCTGGAGGAGGAGATGCGGAAGCTCCAGGCCACGGTGCAGGAGCTCCAGAAGCGCTTGGACAGGCTGGAGGAGACAGTCCAGGCCAAGTAGAGCCCCGCAGGGCCTCCAGCAGGGTCAGCCATTCACACCCATCCACTCACCTCCCATTCCCAGCCACATGGCAGAGAAAAAAATCATAATAAAATGGCTTTATTTTCTGGTACCTCCCAGACTCTGATGACTGGTCCCCTAGACACGCAGTTTGCTGAACCAACCAGCCCTAGAGCTTCCCCTCCACCGCGCTGAGGGGACTGACCCATGGCAGGGGATGTGGGATGCCCCCTGACTTACTACATCACAGGAACAGGGCCTTCGTGGGTAGAAACCAGCCATGCTGATGTGGGCCAGGAGGCTGCTCTCCGTTTCCGAGCTCCTTCTCAGAGCTGACACAGCTGAACTATTTAAGGCCCTAGCTTAGAACCTCAATAATTCCCAAATTTACCAAAAATCTGCCTTTCCTAGTCAACCAAAACATCACGTTGCACGTGACTCTGCTGGCACTGTTGCTTGTGAGGAAATGAACCAACCATCACTTACAGGGTAGGCATCTTTTAAACTGCAGGTCCAAAGATAAAAATAACGAGGGAGGCTGGGCATGGGGACTCACGTCTATAATCCCAGCACTGTGGGAGGCTGAGGCGGCAGGATCATTTGAGCCCAGGAGTTTGAGACCTGCCTGAGCAACACGGCGAGATACCGTCTCTACGAAAAATAAAATAAAAAATTAGCCAGGCATGGTGGTGGGCACCTATAGTTCCAGCTACTCAGGAGGCTGAGGCAGGAGGATCCCTTGAGCCCAGGAGGTCGAGGCTGCAATGAGCCATTGCACCACTGCACTGCAGCCTGGGTGACAGAGCAAGACACTGTCTCTAAAAAATATAAATAGGCCGGGTGTGGCAGCTCACGCCTGTAATCCCAGCACTTTAGGAGGCCGAGGTGGGTGAATCACCTGAGGTCAGAAGTTCGAGACCAGCCTGGCCAACATGGTGAAACCCCATCTCTACTAAAAATACAAAAATTAGCTGGGCATGGTGGCAGGCGCCTGTAATCTCAGCTACTCAGGAGGCTGAGGCAAGAGAATTGCTTGAATCCGGGAGGCAAAGGTTGCAGTGAGCCGAGATCATGCCATTGTACTCCAGCCTGGGGGACAGGAGTGAGACTTCGTCTCAAAAAAAAAAAAAAAAAAAATATATATATATATATATTTTTTTTTTTTTAAATGTATAAATACATCATATATATTTTAATATATAAATATATTATATATATTATATATTTTAATATATAAATATATTATATATAATATATTTTAATATATAAATATTATATATATTATATTTTAATATATAAATATTATATATATTAATTATATATTTTAATATATAATATATATTATATTATATAATAATAAATTATATATTATATTATATAGTAATAAGTTATATATTATACTATATAATAATATAGTATAATATATAATATATATTATAATATATTATATTATATTATATTATATATTATAATATAAATTATATATATTTTATATATATGTTTTATATATTATATATTTTAATATATGAAACAGGGGAACTTCTTCTAAGGAAAAGACAGAATTAAGGCAACAGGCTGATCCTAGTTTACCAGAGAAGAAACTGAGGCCGGGAGCAGGAGCCCAGCTCACTGAAGGGCAGATCCCAAGTCAGAGTCCAAGTCTCCCCACTTTTTTATTTATTTAATTTTTTCTGAGATGGAGTTTCATTCTTGTTGCCCAAATTGAGTACAATGGCACAATCTCGGCTCACCGCAACCTCTGCCTTCTGGGTTCAAGCCATTCTCGTGCCTCAGACTCCCAAGTAGCTGGGATTACAGGCATGTGCCACCACGTCCGGCTAACTTTTGTGTTTTCAGTAGAGGTGGGGTCTCACCATGTTGGCCAGACTGGTCTCAAACTCCTGGCCTCAAGTCATCTGCCTGCCTCAGCCTCCCAAAGTGCTGGGATTACAGGCATGAGCCGCTGTGCCTGGCCTTATGTCTCCCCTTTTGAATTCAGAGCCTTCCCCCGTGTAGTGAGTGCTTCTGCCTCTCTAGCCCTTCCTGTGGGTTCTGCCTGGGCCTGACCTCTGTGAGAGACCTGGCAGGAACAGGTCTGTCAGGCCTTGTGGGGAGTGGGTGTGGGAATAGGTTTTGATACCCAACTTAGCAGGTGATCCTGAGATGGGAGGACACAGGGCTGTTTGGGATGGGCGTCTTAGCCATAGTAAGGTTTGGTTCATATCAAGCAGGGACCACCCATGGCGTCATTTCCAGGCCCCACCTCTTCAGTATGCCATAGAAAACTACTTGGGCAGTAGAGGTGTGGGAAGAAAACAAAAAAGAAAGCTGGGCATAAGTGGCACACGCCTGTAATCCCAGCACTTTTGGAGGCCGAGGCGGGTGGATCACCTGAGGTCGGGAGTTCAAGACCAGCCTGAACAACATGGAGAAACCCTGTCTCTATTAAAAATACAAGATTAGCCGGGCGTGGTAGCACATACCTGTAATCCCAGCTACTTGGGAGGCTGAGACAAGAGAATCGCTTGAACCCAGGAGGCGGAGGTTGTGGTGAGCCGAGATCGTGCCATTGCACTCCAGCCTGGGCAACAAGAGTGAAACTCTGTCTCAAAAACAGACAAACAAACAAACAATAAAAAAACCCCAAAAATTAGCTGGGCATGGTGGCGTGTGCCTGTAATCCCAGCTACTAGGGAGGCTGAGGCAGGAGAATCGCTTGAACCCGGGAGGGGGAAGTTGTAGTGAGCCAAGATCATGCTACTGCACTCCAGCCTGGGCAACAGAGCCAAGACTCTGTCTCAAAACAAACAAACAAACAAACAAAAAAACGCAGGAAAAGAGTGTGTGATGGCTGAAACTTGCAATTTCTCACTCTCAACGAGCCCTGGCCCCAACTAGGTTATTTGGGCTCCCTCCCTAGGTCTCAGGGACCTCTGTTCAAAGTCCTAGCAATCTGGGCCAGGTACAATGGCTCACGCCTAAAATTCCAGCACTTTAGGAGACCAAGGCGGGCAGATCACTTGAGGCCAGGAGTTTGAGACTGGCCTGGCCAACATGGTGAAACCCTGTCTCTACTAAAAGTACAAAAATTAGCCGGGCATGGTGGTGCACCCCTGTAATCCCAGCTACTCAGGAGGCTGAAGCACAAGAATCTTTTGAACCTGGGAGGCAGAGGTTGCAATGAGCTGAGATGGCGCCACGGCACTCCAGCCTGGGCGACAGAGCAAGACCCTGTCTCAAACAACAAAAAACAAATAAAACAAACAAGGTCCTAGCAACCCTACTAACCTGTTATGAAGACTGATACAGGGGCATCACCTGCCCCAATTTTCTGACTCAGGTCAGCCTTATATTCCTACTCTAATCTCACCCCTATCCCCGTCCCACACCCACTATTCTTAAAACCTCCATGGTCCTCCGGGGGCAGCTGTAGACACATTAAGCCCAGGGCTATGGGGCCACTGGAACCTTCTCCAGTGGGTCTGAAAACATCAGCATTCCAGGAGTTGATGAGCCCCTACCTGGGCACCACTCCCTCTTGGGCCTGAGAAGGCCGGGGGGAACCTGCAAGGAATATGTGGAATTCTATATGGTGCCTCTGATACTGCGGTAATGTCAGGGAGAGGTTTGTTCAACTGGTCAGGGCCCTGAAACCCCGATCACTTTCTCATCTCTGCATCTTGAAGGCTAGCAGAGAGGAGGAACCCTGAGCTCTCTAGGAGGTGGGTAGGTGGTGGCAGTACAGACTCCTAGATGTCTAAACGGAGTTGCAGAGAGAAGGCTTTCTCGGTAGACCCTGGAAGGGACTTTTACGGTAGAACTTTCATTTTACAAGCAGGGATAGAGGCCTAGATGGGGACAGAGACGTGTCCAAGGTAAAACAATGGACGGAGGCAGGGCAGGGAGAGGCCAGGTCCTAGACTCGGCCTCAGCACCCCTCCCACACACACATCGACACAGAAGCTGGTCCAGATTTATAATTTAATGGCTGTGCAGATCCCAGTCCCTCATTTCTGTCGCTCACGTGCCCACTGGTCTGGGGTCAGGGTTTTCTGTTCAAAGGCATGGATGTGCGGGAGCTCTTCTGCTAGGCACGCGTTCACCAGCCTGGGGCGAGAGATGGGGTTAGGAAAAGGCCAGCGGTGATCGCACACCCCGAGGCTAGGGTGACCCAAGAGACTGGTGTCCCCAAGGTTGTAGTCCCCAGGCCGTGGGAACACGTACTTGGAGAGAGGGTCTACATCGAAATACTCGAAGCAGGGGTCACGAAGGCGGGATCCTCAAGGTCCCTGAGCCACGCCAGGGGGAGTGCGGGAGTCAGGTTGCAGGGGTAGGGGGAGTGGCTGGGGTTGTGGTACAGGAGCTAGGCAAGGTGCTCCCAGGGCCTTACCTGTGTCTCTGAAGCAGCGGTTTCCCCTCGAACTTGGCCGACACCACCAGGACTCGGAAGCTACAGGAGCAACGGTTGAGGGTCGTGTCCTCCACCTCCTACCGAGCGGAAGAATATGAATGGTGCCGAACCCGCCCCCCGAGCTCTTTTCCCCTTGTCCGGCGGCTCAACTCACCACATGCTCCGCCTCCAGGTCCCGCTGCAGCTTCTCGCGGAGGTATTCGGCGCTGAGTTCCATGGCGGCAGTCCAGCTGGAACGGCAGCCCAGCAGGGACACAACCCCAGCTCGGGCGCCGGCCACGCTACCTTGCTGCCTTACAGGAGCCACTTCCGCTGGAAAACTCACTTCCGCCCTTACTAAGGCGTACGTCAACGCAGTACTTCCGCCCTCAAGCAGCCGGGCTTTCCAGCGGTCCAGGCTTTTCGCGCTTGCCATGTGTCAGCCAATCAGAGCCTGAGGAAGGTGGGACTCGGGCGGAGCCGATGCTGAATGGTACGCGCTCGCCGACTGGACAGCAGTCTGGCTTCCGCGGTCGGACTTCTACACCCGCCTCCAGACAGGAGAGGGGCACGTACCGGCGCTACGGCTTCCTGCAGGCTGCCTCCGGATAGTCCCCGAGAGCTTGTTCCGAAGCAAGCACCCTGCAGCCCTAGCGATCCAGCCCTCCCCTGGACCCTAGGTCACGGCAATCAACCCCCTGCTGTGGTTCCCGAACCCCAAGGCCCGATGGGTCCCGCGGGGGTCGCGGCGAGGCCAGGGCGCTTTTTCGGCGTCTACCTGCTCTACTGCCTGAACCCCCGGTACCGGGGCCGCGTCTACGTGGGGTTCACTGTCAACACTGCTCGTCGGGTCCAGCAGCACAATGGGGGCCGCAAAAAAGGCGGGGCCTGGCGGACCAGCGGGCGAGGGCCCTGGTGAGAGGGGGAGGCCTTCTGTGCCGGGAGGAAGGCGTCCCAGAGGAGGCGGACCCCGCGGGGCACAGGCCTGTTGAGAAGGACCGGCCAGGACTGTGACAGAGGCGGGGCGTCTGTGGTGGGGACGGGGCCTGTCGCAGGGGAGGAGCGTGACGGGGAGGCGGTGCCCGGGGCATCTCCGCGGCGGAACTCAGGGAAGGAGCTAGCTGGGGCGGGGGTGATGATCCAGGCTGGGTTCCAGCATAGGGCTCTTGGTGGGCACGCTGGGGTCGGGTGGAATGCAGGAGAGAGAGGAGGTGGGACAGGTGGGTACCTGGGCTGGAGGCAGGGCCTGAGGTGGGCAGGTGCAGAGGGCTGCACTTCTCGGCTGAAGCCGGGAATGAGGACCCCGCTCTCGGGTGGGATTGGAGGGGACCCGCGGCTGAGGCGCTGGGCTGCGACAGGGACATCACGGTTCTCCTCCTCAGGGAGATGGTGCTCGTCGTGCACGGCTTCCCGTCCTCCGTGGCCGCCCTTCGGGTAAGGAAGGAGACCGGGCAGCGGCGGCCGGGTGAGGGCTTGGGTTCCGCCCCTCGCTCCGAGCCGCCCTGATGCCCCTGTACGCCGCCCGCAGTTTGAGTGGGCTTGGCAGCACCCGCACGCCTCGCGCCGCCTGGCGCACGTGGGGCCTCGCCTGCGAGGAGAGACAGCCTTCGCTTTCCACCTGCGCGTGCTGGCGCACATGCTGCGCGCACCGCCCTGGGCTCGCCTCCCGCTCACGCTGCGCTGGGTGCGCCCAGACCTCCGCCAGGACCTCTGCCTCCCGCCGCCGCCGCACGTGCCTCTGGCCTTCGGGCCTCCACCGCCCCAGGCCCCGGCCCCAAGGCGCCGCGCAGGTCCCTTTGATGACGCGGAGCCTGAGCCAGACCAGGGGGATCCAGGGGCCTGCTGCTCCCTGTGCGCCCAGACCATCCAGGTGAGGTCCCCCCGAGGAATGGATGGCTCTAGAGTCCAGACGACTTCGGATCCAGCTCTTTCTTGAGGGAAACCCACTGACACGCTTTGGCCACCCTATCCCCATCTCTAAGATGCTGATGCTATAGGACTTACGGCCATTCCTGAGCAAAGCAGGCCCTGCTCAGGGCCTTCACCATTTCCCCTTCAAAGAAAAGGTTCTTCCCTAGGCCATCAGTACTCCGCTGCACTCCAGTGTGGTCGACAGAGCATGACCCTCTTTTTTTTTTTTTTTTTTTTGAGATGGAGTCTAGCTCTGTCGCCCAGGCTAGAGTGCAGTGGCGCGATCTCTGCTCACTGCAAGCTCCGCCTCCTGGGTTCACGCCATTCTCCTGCCTCAGCCTCCCGAGTAGCTGGGACTACAGGCGCCCGCCACCACGCCTGGTTAATTTTTTGTATTTTTAGTAGAGACGGGGTTTCACCGTGTTAGCCAGGATGGTCTCGATGTCCTAGCCTCGTGATCCGCCCGCCTCAGCCTCCCAAAGTGCTGGGATTACAGGCATGAGCCACCGCGCCCGGCCCTTTTTTTTTTTTTAGACAGAGTCTTGCTCTGTTGCGGAGGCTGGAGTGCAGTGATCTCAGCTCACTGGAAGCTCCGCCTCCTGGGTTCAAGCGATTCTCCTATCTCAACCTCCCAAGTGTGCCACCACACCTGCCGAATGTTTGTGTTTTTAGTAGGGATGGGGTTCGCCATGTTGGGCAGGCTGGTCTCAAACTCCTGACCTCAAGTGATCTGCCCGCCTCGGCCTCCCAGAGTGCTGGGATTATAGGCGTGAGCCACCATGCCTGGACATGACCCTGTCTCTAAAACAATGTAATGAACTGCAGCTCATTCTTGTGTGCACTTTTCTGCACCCCCTTTCCCTTAACACTTACTATTGTCTGGCATGCTACGTGTTTTCTTGATCTCATTAGCCTCTCCCACCCCAACTGCCACACTGCACTATCAGAGGGCAGCACTTATCACTGCTGTAGAACAAAGTCCTGCACTGAGCCGATGGCCCAGAAATTTTCTTTTTATTTATTTATTTATTTTTTTTTTGAGACAGAGTCTTACTCTGTCGCTCAGGCTGGAGTGTAGTGGCGCGATCTCAGCTCACTGCAACCTCTGCCTCCTGGTTTCAAGCAATTCTCCTTCCTCAGCCTCCAGAGTAGCTGGGATTACACGCGCCTGCCACCGCGCCTGGCTAATTTTTGTATTTTTAGTAGAGATGGGGTTTCAACCATGTTGGCCAGGCTGGTCTCAAACTCCTGACCTCAGGTGATCCTGCCCACCTAAGCCTCCCAAAATGCTGGTATTACAGGCATGAGCCACCGTGCCCGGCCTAAATATTTAATAAAATAATGGACGATGGGTGCCTTCTACTGAGCTCCCGGTAATTGTGAGTGAGTAGAGGACTTGCCCTGGGGACATTCAGTGACCTGCTGGGTGTTGCTGAGCTGTGAGGAAGTTCAGGTCTGGCTGCAGTGGTGAGGCTGTGACTCAATCAATCACTGCTGATGCTCCCAGGACCTGCACCAGCTTAGTCCTAGGGGCAAGGATTTTAACTGTCCACCTCAGTTTCTTCATTTGTAAGATGCAAATAACAGTCACCCCTGCCTCATGGGATGGAGCTGTGTAATGCCCGCAACAGTGCCTGCTGCATAGAGGGGTTGCTGCCAGCTGCCTCTCCCTCCTTGTCTCTTACCTGCCTGCTGCCTGGGTCAGGATGAAGAGGGGCCCTTGTGTTGCCCCCACCCTGGCTGCCTGCTAAGGGCCCATGTGATCTGCCTGGCAGAGGAGTTTCTTCAGGAAGAACCAGGGCAGCTTCTGCCCCTAGAGGGCCAATGCCCTTGGTGAGTGCAGTCCCCTGGCCCCAGCCTGGTCCACCTCTGGGAAGAGGGTGCCCAGTTGTGCAATCCAGGCCCAGGCAGCTGAGCCCTCATCTCAGCATCCAGGGCGGATACTGGAGGGGGCTTGTGGCATCTGACTCTGTATCTCCTACCTGCCCCTCTCCTTGGTAGCTGTGAGAAGTCACTGCTTTGGGGAGACCTGATCTGGCTGTGCCAGATGGACACTGAGAAAGAAGTAGAAGACTCAGAATTAGAAGAGGTGAGTGGGCTTTGGTGGCGGGCTCCCTACCCCACTCCCTGCCCTGGGCTGCCTGTGACCACACTGCTTGCCTCTGCAGGCACACTGGACAGACCTGCTGGAGACCTGATCCTCAGTGTCCTTACCCCCTCCTACCTCTTTTCTGTGCCACCTGCTGTGGGTCCAGCAGGTTTTTACTTGAGTACAATAAAAAGTCTGAGTCAAGGGTGCCTTATGGTGGATGCTGAGGGGAGGGGCGGAGCTAGTAGCCCAAGGTCCTGCCAGTCACGGGGCTTCCTCAGGGGCACAGAGGAGGCAGGAGGGGCCCCTGGCCCTAGCACGTGAACAGCTTCTACTCTGCCTGGAAACCCCATGCCTCAGCTTTCCCCTACTTGCCTCTGAGCTCATGCAATTCTTGGAAGCCTGGGAGACTTACCTTGAAATTGAATGCAAATAGGACAAAGACCAAGGAGGATGGGGGGATGCCCTCCTTCCACGGGGCCCTGTGGCTTCCAAGTCTTAATCTCCTCTAGTCTCTTGTCTACGGAGCCTCCTTCAAACCCAGGGAAAGAAAAGCACCTGCCAGGGTTGTTTTTCTTCTAGGATCTTCTATTGATGCTCTGTGAGGTCCCCCAGGAGCCATGAAGCTAGGGCTGGCTCCTAGGGCAATGGGACTACAGTGTCCTTGTCCTTTCTTATTCTTTCTGTTCTTTCTTTCTTTCTTTTTTTTTTTTTTTTTTTTTTTTTGAGACAGAGTCTCACTCTGTTGCCCAGGCTGGAGTGCAGTGGTGTGATCTTGGCTCACTGAAACCTCCGCCTCCTGGGTTCAAGTGATTCTCTTGCCTCAGCCTCCTGAGTAGCTAGGATTACAGGTGCCCGCCATCATGCCCAGCTAATTTTTGTATTTTTAGTAGAGACAGGGTTTCACCATGTTGGCCAGCTTGGTCTCGAACTCCTGACCTCAGGTGATCCTGCTGCATCGACCTCCCAAAGTACTGGGATTACAGGCGTGAGCCACCACGCTCAGCCTCTTTCTTGTTCTATATGTCCATGCTCTGCTCCACTTCTGCCCCTTCACTCTGCCCCCACACATCACTCCAGACTGGCCTTGTGGTCAGAGCCTGGAATGCCTGGGCTGCTGGGGGCCTGTGGACTGCACTGGGCCAGAACCCCTGCCGCCTTCAAGACTGGCCTGTAGCCAGCAGGTAGGTGACTTTTCCCAGGCCGGCCTATCCCACCTTTCCCCTCCACTCACTCACCTCCCTTGCCTGGGTCAATTAGAGAAAGCTTGTCGGCCAGGCATGGTGGCTCATGCCTGTAATCTCAGCACTTTGGGAGGCCGAGGCGGGCGGATCATCTGAGCTCAGGAGTTTGAGACCAGCCTGGCCAACATGGCAAAACCCCGTCTCTACTAAAAATACAAAAATTAACCGGATGTGGTGGTGTGCACCTGTAATCCCAGCTACTCGGGAGGCTGAGGCAGAAGAATCGCTTGAACCCAGGAGGGGGAGGTTACAGTGAGCGGAGATCGTGCTACTGCATTGCAGCCTGGGCGAGAGAGCGAGTCTCCATCTCATATAAAAAAAAGAAAAAGAAAGAAAGAAAGCTTGTCTGTTGGCCTGCCCTGCAGGGTGGAGTTCAGAGGGAAGGTCAGGAGCCTAGTGACAGCTCAAAAAAAAAAAAACCCAAATACCAATGTTGGCCCCTTTTGCCTTTCATTCATGTGTTTTCTATACACTAAACTCACATATTGGGTTTGCAGATCACTCCAAGCTTGGCTGGAGCTGTGGTGGTAAGGAGGGTAATAGAGAAGCTTCCCCACCCTCAACCCCACCCCTTCCTTCCTGGAGTTCCCAGCCCTGACTTTAGATCCCTCCCACACTGGACCTTCAAAACCCTCAGGGCAGAGAGCAGCCCTACACTCCCTACACCACACCCATACTCAGCCCCTGCAGGCAAGGAGAGAACAGGTCAGGTTCCCGAGAGCTCAGGTGAGTGACACGTTGGAATGGCCCAGGGCACCTTCACCCTGCTCAGCTTGTGGCTCCAACATTCTAGAAGCCGAGGCCTCTGCCATCCCTGCCCTTTCCCATGGATATTCCATTTCAATTAGACAACCCAGCCTGGCCGGAATCCCCCTGCGTTCCTTCTTTTCCTTTGTGTATTTTTGAGACAGGGTGTTGCTCCGTCACCCAGGCTGGAGTGTAGTGGGATCCTGGCCCACTGCAGCCTCAAATTCCTAGGCTGAGGCAATCCTGCCGCCTCAGCCTCCTGAGTAGCTGGGGTTACAAGAGCAAGCCACCACACCCAGCTAATTTTGAAAAATATTTTTTGTAGAGGAGAGGTCTTGCTTTGTTGTCCAGGTTGGTCTCAAACTCCAGGGCTCAAGGGATCCTTTCCCGTTGGCCTCCCAAGGCTCTGGGATTACAGGCGGGAGTCACCCTGCCTGGGCCCCTCCTTTTGATGAGTCATCAGTTTTCATTCCCGCACGAGGCTCTAGCCCCTGGTACCAGCTTAGTTGCTCAATGGGCTGTGTTTGTTCTGGAGCCCAGATGGACTGTGGCCAGGCAAGTGGATCACAGACCTGGCCGGCCTGGGAGGTTTCCACATGTGAGGGGCATGAGGGGGGCTCAAGGAGGGGAGCATCGGGGAGAGGAGCGCACTGGGTGGAGGCTGGGGGTCCCAGCAGGAAATGGTGAGACAAAGGGCGCTGGCTGGCAGGGAGACAGCACAGGCAGGCCCTAGAGCTTCCTCAGCACAGCTGGACTCTCCTGGAGACCTTCACACACCCTGATATCTGGGCCCCGCGCTACGAGGGTGCTTTCACTGGTCTGCACTATGCCCCAGGCCCTGGGATTTTGAACAGCTCTGCAGGTGACTGAAAGGTGCGGCCAGGCTGGGGAACGACCTGGTTTCAGCCCCAGCCCCGCCACTGACTGACTTTGTGAGTGCGGGCAAGTCACTCAGCCTCCCTAGGCCTCAGTGACTTCCCTGAAAGCAAAAACTCTGCAAAGGGGCAGCTGGGTGCTGGCTCACACCTGTAATCCCAGCACTTTGGGAGGCTGAGGTAGACAAATCACTTGAGGCCAGGAGTTCTAGACCAGCCTGGCCAACATGGTGAAACCCCATCTCTACTAAAGAAAAAAAAAAATTAGCTGAGCATGGTTGTACATGCTTGTAATCCCAGCTACTTGGGATGCCGAGGCGGGAGGATTGCTTGAACCCAAGAGGTGGAGTTTGCAGTGAGCTGAGATTGTGCCACACTGCACTCCAGCTTGGGTGAGAGTGAGACTCCATCTCAAAAAAAAAAAAAAAAAGAGAGAATCCCACTTTCTTGCTGTTGTGATGGTGGTAAGGGAACGGGCCTGGCTCTGGCCCCTGATGCAGGAACATGGAGCTGATCCAGGACACCTCCCGCCCGCCACTGGAGTACGTGAAGGGGGTCCCGCTCATCAAGTACTTTGCAGAGGCACTGGGGCCCCTGCAGAGCTTCCAAGCCCGACCTGATGACCTGCTCATCAACACCTACCCCAAGTCTGGTAAGTGAGGAGGGCCACCCACCCTCTCCCAGGCGGCAGTCCCCACCTTGGTCAGCAAGGTCGTGCCCTCAGCCTGCTCACCTCCTATCTCCCTCCCTCTCCAGGCACCACCTGGGTGAGCCAGATACTGGACATGATCTACCAGGGCGGCGACCTAGAGAAGTGTAACCGGGCTCCCATCTACGTACGGGTGCCCTTCCTTGAGGTCAATGATCCAGGGGAACCCTCAGGTGCATGGCTGGGTCCTGGGGGTAAGGGAAGTGGAGGAAGACAGGGCTGGGGCTTCAGCTCACCAGACCTTCCCTGACCCACTACTCAGGGCTGGAGACTCTGAAAGACACACCGCCCCCACGGCTCATCAAGTCACACCTGCCCCTGGCTCTGCTCCCTCAGACTCTGTTGGATCAGAAGGTCAAGGTGAGGCCGGGCTCAATGGTTCACACCTGTCATCCCAGTTTGAGACTGAGGAGGGAGGATCCCTTGAAGGCGAGAGATGGAGACCAGCCTGGGCAACATTGCTGTAGAGATGACATCCCATCTCTACAAAAATAAAATTAACAACCTGGTATGGTGGCATAGACTGTTCCCAGTTACTTAGGAGGCTCAGCGGGGAGGACTGTTTATGCAAATAGGAAGCTGCAATGAGCCCTGATGATCCTGCTGCTGCACTCCAGCCTGGGCAACACAGCAAAACCATCTCTACGAAAAAAAAGTTCCCACTGACTGGCAAGGAAAGCCAGGAAGGGGGGCTCAGGTGCCCTCTCAGCCATGTACCTGTTCTTCTGGAAGGGCCTCCTCGCTTCTGCCAGGCTCATCACATCTTTTTTTTTTTTGAGACAGAGTCTTGCTCTGTCACCCTGGCTGGAGTGCAGTGGCATGATCTCAGCTCACTGCAACCTCCGCCTCCCCAGTTCAAGTGATTCTCCTGCCTCAGCCTCCTGAGTAGCTGGGATTACAGGCGTGTGCTACCACACCCGGCTAATTTTTGTATTCTTTTTAGTAGAGACGGGGTTTCACCATGTTGGTCAAGTGGATCTCAAACTCTTGACCTTGTGATCCTCCTGCCTCGACCTCACAAAGTGCTGGAATTACAGGCGTGAGCCACCGCGCCTGGCCCTTTTTTTTTTTGAGACAGTTTCACTCTTGTTGCCGAGGCTAGAGCGCAATCGTGTGATCTCGGTTCACTGCAACCACCGCCTCCTGGGTTCAAGCAATTCTCCTGCTTCAGCCTCCCAAGGAGCTGGGATTACAGGTACCTGCCACCACGCCCGGCTAATTTTGTATTTTTAGTAGAGATGGGGTTTCACCATGTTGGTCAGGCTGGTCTTGAACTCCTGACCTCAGGTGATCTGGCCACCTTGGCCTCCCAAAGTGCCGGGATTAGAGGCATGAGCCACCACGCCCAGCCTTCATCACATCTTGAGAGAGGACACTGTCTGCCTCTTGCTCTGATGAGGGTCTGATGCAAGGATAGTGAGTCTCTACAGTGCACACTTAAGAAAGGCAGCATGTGGGTGCTCACAGGTCAGCGGAGGAGGGGGAGCTGGTGGGGACCAGGCATGCCTTGCTCCAGATCAGGATATGATGGCATTGGTGCAGATTATATTAGTATAGAATATGGTCTCAGGAACCAGGCAGGACTTTGGCTTCCGAGCAGGGTTCAGATCCCAGCTTGGCCCTACCTGTGCAGTGAGATCTCAAGCAAGTCAGCCTCTAAGCCTCAGGTTCCTCCTTTGCCAGTTCAACAGATGAGCTGGCCTGGGGTGGGCTGTGTGGTGATGGTGCTGGGGCTGGGTCCTCTGCCCCTGCAGGTGGTCTATGTTGCCCGAAACCCAAAGGACGTGGCGGTCTCCTACTACCATTTCCACCGTATGGAAAAGGCGCACCCTGAGCCTGGGACCTGGGACAGCTTCCTGGAAAAGTTCATGGCTGGAGAAGGTGGGCTTGACTGGAGGAAGGAGGGTGTGAAGCCGAGGGGTGGTGGCTATAACGTACAGCAACCCTGTGTCGGTGCCCCCTGCCCGCTTCTCTAGTGTCCTACGGGTCCTGGTACCAGCACGTGCAGGAGTGGTGGGAGCTGAGCCGCACCCACCCTGTTCTCTACCTCTTCTATGAAGACATGAAGGAGGTGAGACCGACTGTGATGCTTCCCCCCATGTGACACCTGGGGGCAGGCACCTCACAGGGACCCACCAAGGCCACCCAGCCCCGTCCCTGGGCGGCTCCCACAGCAAGCCCGGATTCCCCATCCTACCTCCCTGGCCCAGGCCCCCCCACTGCAGCCCCACCTGGCAGCAGGCTCGGCACAGCTTTCATCTTCTGCACCTGAGTCAGCTGCATGGGTGGCCACGGATCAGATACTTAGTCCTATTGCTTATCCTCACCAAAGGGTGTGCCACCCAGGGCCACAGTCATGGAAGAAGACCATCCCGGTCCTCACCCATAGGCGCCAAGCCCTGTTCATGATGGGATCACAGGGCAGAGATCAATTCATTTTACTCCAGAGACTAGGGCCCCAGGGGTTGAGGCTCTTTGGGGTTTCTAGGGGAAGTGGCCAGATCCCCTCTGAGGTTAGAGAGGGGGACCCGTTTTGTTTTGCTCCACTGAGGAGCCCTCTGCTGCTCAGAACCCCAAAAGGGAGATTCAAAAGATCCTGGAGTTTGTGGGGCGCTCCCTGCCAGAGGAGACCATGGACTTCATGGTTCAGCACACGTCGTTCAAGGAGATGAAGAAGAACCCTATGACCAACTACACCACCGTCCCCCAGGAGCTCATGGACCACAGCATCTCCCCCTTCATGAGGAAAGGTGGGTGCTGGCCAGCACGGGGGTTTGGGGCGGGTGGGAGCAGCAGCTGCAGCCTCCCCATAGGCACTTGGGGCCTCCCCTGGGATGAGACTCCAGCTTTGCTCCCTGCCTTCCTCCCCCAGGCATGGCTGGGGACTGGAAGACCACCTTCACCGTGGCGCAGAATGAGCGCTTCGATGCGGACTATGCGGAGAAGATGGCAGGCTGCAGCCTCAGCTTCCGCTCTGAGCTGTGAGAGGGGCTCCTGGAGTCACTGCAGAGGGAGTGTGCGAATCTACCCTGACCAATGGGCTCAAGAATAAAGTATGATTTTTGAGTCAGGCACAGTGGCTCATGTCTGCAATCCCAGCGATTTGGGAGGTTGAGCTGGTAGGATCACAATAGGCCACGAATTTGAGACCAGCCTGGTAAAATAGTGAGACCTCATCTCTACAAAGATGTAAAAAAATTAGCCACATGTGCTGGCACTTACCTGTAGTCCCAGCTACTTGGGAAGCAGAGGCTGGAGGATCATTTCAGCCCAGGAGGTTGTGGATACAGTGAGTTATGACATGCCCATTCACTACAGCCTGGATGACAAGCAAGACCCTCCCTCCAAAGAAAATAAAGCTCAAAATAAAATATGATTTGTGTTCATGTAGAGCCTGTATTGGAAAGGAAGAGAAACTCTGAGCTGAAAGAGTGAATGCCCGGTGGGGCCACATATGGTCACCTCTCCCCCAGCCTTCAGCTCCCCAGGTCACCATATCTGGGGAGGGGAGAAGGGTTTGGAGAAGTAAAACCCAGGAGATGTGTGGAGGGGGGATGTCTGTTTAATCCCAGCACATCCTCTGCTGTCCTGCCCCAAGATGGTGGAGGACGTCGAGTCCGCCGGGCAGCGTCACTTTTTCTTGGGCTCCTTAGAAGCTACCAGGTACCTCTGGGCCACACTGAGATGAGGGGAGTAGCCGTCTGCATAGGAGGTGTCTTCAAACAGGATAGAATAGTCCTCCTGGGGCTGTGGGGCAGGTGGACAGGAAGGGCAGAGAGCAGCCCCGGGGCTGGTGTCACTCACTTGTTGGTGGCATGGCTGTAACTGACCACCTCGGCCAGGATCCACTGCTCATCCCCATCCACGGCCTTCACCCGGGCAGCCACCTTGTCTCCAGGTCTGGCCACGTAGTCTCCTGAGGCAGGGATGGCCCCACAGAGGGGTGGGGGCCTGTGAGTGGAACAAAGGATCAGTCCCAGCCCCTGGGCACCAGCCCCTTCCTCGCAGCTGCTGCCCTCACTTGTCACCAGGCTTCCCAATCCACAGGGGCAGGGTCATGGCCGACTGCTGCAGCAGGGTCATCAGCACCCCTCTGCGCATGGTCTTCCGGGGTGGCTCCAAGTCATTGTAGAGACCCGCGATCTTGGCCACTGTGGGAAGAAAGGGAGGCCTGAGGCCCCAGGGACAGGGGCTGGCCCTGACCCCCCAGCATGCTGAACTGAGCTGCTGGAGGAGCACCTGGGAGCCCCCAGCTCCCGAGTGAGCCCGAGGGCACAGCAGGACTGTGACCTGATCTGCCAGGTGTCCTACAGGGGCTGCTGCGCTCAACTACATATGGGTGAGACGGCAGCACACCAGGCACCCAGGGGAAGGAACCAGGGAGGGACAAAGCGGGTTCTGAGGTGCTGGTGAGGTTCTCTTCTTGATGTCGGTGCTGACACAGAAGTGTGTTTCGTTAGTGAAAAGTTCCTAAAATTCGAAGGGTCCCGCGGGAATCGGGGCGAGGCCGGGTGCCTCTTCAGCGTCCAGCTGCTCTACTGCCTGAATCCCTGGTACCCGGGCCCTGTCTACGTGGGGCTCACTGTCAACCCTGTTCGTCCAGCAGCACAATGGTGGCCGCAAAAAAGGCGGGGCTTGGCGGACCATTGGCCGAGGTCCCTGTTAAGAGGGGGAGGGTCTCTGTGCCCGGAGGAAGGCTCCCTGGAGGAGGCGGAACCGGGGGGCACAAGCCTGCTGAGAGGGACCCACTAGGTCTGTGACGTGCGCGGGACGTCCCGGGCGAGGCCTGTTGGTGGGGGGAGGCTGTCGCAGGGGAGGAGCCTAACGGGGAGGCGGTGCCCTGGGAATCTCGGCGTTAGAACTCCGGAGAGCAGCTGGCTGAGGCGAGGGTGATGATCCAGGCTGGGGTCCAGCGCAGGGGTCTTGGGGGGCACGCTGGGGTCGGGTGGAGCGCAGGAGGGAGAGGAATGAGAACAGGTGGGTACCTGGGCTGGAGGCGGGACCTGAGGTGGGCAGGTGCAGGGGGCGTGCCTTCAGGCAGTTGCGGGGCCAGGGCTCGGCTGAAGCTGGGAGTGAGGACCCCGTTCTCCGGTGGGATAGGAGGGGACCCGCGATGCTGGGCTGCGCTGGCGGTAGGGCGCGGCGGGGCTCACAGGAACATTCCTGTTGTCCTCCCCATGGAGATTGTGCTCGTCGTGCACGGCTTCCCATCCGCCGCGGCCGCCCTTCGGGTAAAGAAGAAGACCGGGCGGCGGCCTGTGGCCTGGATTTGGGGTCCGACCCCCGCCCGGAGCCGCCTTGACTCCAACCCCGCCGCGGTTGGAGGGGGCCTGGCACCCCCGCCCTGGGCGCTCCTCCCGGTCCCGTTGCGCCCCGACCTCCGTCAGCCGCACGGCACTGGCCACTGACCGTCGGGCCTCCTCCGCCCCAGGGCGCCGCGCAGGTCCCTTTGCTGACGCCGAGCCTGAGCCTGAGCCGGTCCCGGGGTCCAAGAGGGCTGTGTGCACCCTGCGCGTCCGCGCGCTCCAGGGGAGGTGCGCTCCAGGGGAGGTCCGCCCCAAGCAGAGCGGCACATCCTCCAGACGACTTCGGATCCTGCTGTTGAGGAGCCAGGAAACGCCCTGACACTGTTGCGGCCCTGTCCACATCTCTAAGATGGGGATGGATGATAGTACTTCTGGCCATTCCTGAGCACAGCAGGACCTGCCTTTTCCCTTTGACTGGAAGGTTCTTCTCTACATCTTCAGTCTTGATAACCTGCCACCTCCACAGGGAGGTCTTCCCTGGCTCCCAATTTAAAATTGCAGCTCTGAGAAGCCGGGCATGGTGGCATATGCCTGTAGTCCCAGCTACGGGGGAGGCTGAGGTGGGAGGATCGCTTGAGCCCAGGAGTTGGAGGCTGAAGTGAGCTATGATCACTCCATTGCACTCCAGCCTGGGGGAAACAGCAAGACCCTGTCTCTAAAAAAATAAAATACAATAAAATTGCGGCTCTTTCTTGTGCACTTCCCTGCCCGCCCCCCTTTCCTGAACCCTTATTATTTTCTGCCATACTACAAATTTTATGCATCTCATTAAACCCCTTCCGAACCTGTGTACTAAACTGCCTGGGGGCAGCTCTCATCACTGCTGTAGAACAAAGTCCCACATAGAGCCAATGGCCAAGAAACAGTTAATAAAATAACAGACGATGGTCCTGGCCTCTACTGTGAGTGAGTAAAGGGCTTGCCCTGCAGAGATTCAGTGATCTGGCGGGGGTTGCTGAGCTATGAGGAAGTTCAGATCTGGCTGCAGGGGTGAGGCTGTGACTCAGTCAATCACTGCCCATGCTCACAGGACACTGGCCAGCTTAGTCCCTGGGGGCAAGGATTTTACCCCCCCCCCCCCACCTCCATTTCCTCATCTCTAAGATGTGAATAATCGTCGCCCCTGCCTCACAGGATTGAGCTGTGTAACCCCCCTCCCACCTTTTTTCTATGCCATCCACTGCGGGTCTGGGGCTTTTTACTGGAATGCAATACAAAGTCTGAGTCAAGGGTGCCTTCTGTTGGTTGCTGAGGGCGGAGGCAGAGCTAGTTGCCTGTGGTCCTGCCAGTCAAGGGGCTTCCAGAGGAGGGAGGAGGGGCCTGTGGCCCTAGCATGTGAGCAGCTTCTCCTCTGCCTGGAAGCCGGACGCCTCAGCTTCTCCCACACTCCCACCTGCCCGCTTGCCTCTGAATTCACACAATTCTTGGAAGGCTTGGGAGACTCACCTTTACTCAAATGGTTACCTGTCTCGTGTCTCGTGCCCAGCTTGACCTTTTTTTTTTTTTTTTTTTTTTTTTTGAGTTGGAGTCTTGCTGCGTCACCCAGGCTAGAGTGCAGTGGCGTGATCTCAGCTCACTGCAATCTCCGCCTCCCGGGTTCAAGCAATTCTCCTGCCTCAGCCTCCCCAGTAGCTGGGATTACAGGTGCCCACCACCGTGCCTGGCTAATTTTCGTATTTTTAGTAGAGACAGGGTTTCACCATGTTGGCCAAGCTGGTCTTGAACTCCTGACCTCGTGATCTGCCCACCTTGGCCTCCCAAAGTGCTGGGATTACAGGCGTGAGCCACCATGCCTGGCCCCAGCTTGACCTTGAACTTTAAATAGTGAAGACAAAGAATGAGGAGGGTGGGGGGATGCCCTCCTTCCACAGGGCCCTGTGGCTTCCAAGCCTCAACCTCCTCTGGTCTCTTGTCTGTGGAGCCTCCTTCAAACCCAGGGAAACAAAAGCACCTGCCACGGGCTGCTGTTTTTCTAGGATCTTCTAGCGAAGCTCTGTAACTTCCCCTGAGAGCCATGAAACTGGGCTGGCTCCCAGGGTGATGGGACTCCAGCGTCTTTGTTCTTTCTTGTTCTATGCATCCATGCTCTGCTCCACCGCTGCCCCTTCAACTCTGCCCACACATATTACTCCAGACTGGCCCTGTGGTCAGAGCCTGGAATGCCTGGGCTGCTGGGGGCTTGCATGCAGGCTGCACTGGACTAGAAGCATTGGCGCCTTCAAGACTGCCCTGGGAAACATGACCTGCCCTGTTTCTGTCTAGTGAGTACCCATTTTTCCCCACTCACCGGCTCACTTCCCTTGGCTGGGTCAATTAGAAAAAGCTCTTCTGTTGGCCTGCCCTGCAGGGTGGAGTTCAGAGGGCAGCTCAAGAGCCCGGTGACAGCTCAAAAAATAAAAAAAGCCGCCAGGAGCAGTGGCTAATGCCTGTAATCCCAGCACTTTGGGAGGCCGAGGCAGGCGGATCACCTGAGGTCAGGTGTTCAAGACCAGCCTGACCAACATGGTGAAACCCCGCCTCTACTAAAAATACAAAAATTAGCCGGGTGTGGTGGCGGATGCCTGTAATCCCAGCTACTCAAGAGGCTGAGGCAGGAGAATTGCTTGAACCCAGGAGGTGGAGGTTACAGTGAGCCGAGATCCTGCCACTGTACTCCAGCCTGGGCGACAGATCACGACTCCATCTCAAAATAAATAAATAAATAAATTATACATTGGGCTCTTTTGCCTTTTATTCTTGTGCTTTCTAATCACAACTAAACACTAAACTCACATCTTGGCTTTGCAGATCACTCTAAGCTTGGCTGCAGCTGTGGTGCTGAGGAGGCTAATAGAGAAGCTCCCTCGCTCTCAACCCCACCCCTTCCTTCCGGGAGCAAACCCAAGTCTGGTCCCGACTCCGGATCCCTCCCACATTAGACCTACCACACCCTCAGGGCAGACAACAGCTCCACACACCCCACACTCAGCCACCAGGGCAAGGGAGCAAAATTCCAGAAAGCTCAGGTGAGTACCAGAGTGGAATGGCCCAGGGCGCCCTCACCCTGCTCAGCTTTTGGAGCCAACATTCCAGCAGCCAAGGCCTCTGCCATACTGGCTGTTTCCCCACGGATATCCAGTTTCACTAGGGGAACTCCAGCCTGGCTTCCCTTCTTTCTTTTTTATTTTTGTTTTTTTGAGACAAGGCTTGGCTCTGACACCCAGGCTGGAGTGCAGTGGCCAAATTGTAGCTCACTGCAGCCTCAAAATCATGGGCTCACATGATAATCACGCCTCAGCTTCCCTGGTAGCTGGGTGTACAGGAGAGAGCCACCATGCCCAGCTAATTTTTTAAACTTATTTTTAATTTATTTTTTATTTTTTTGAGACGGAGTTTTGCTCGTGTTGCCCAGGCTGGAGTGCAATGGCATGATACAGCTCACTGCAACCTCCGCCTCCTGGGTTCAAGCGACTCTCCTGCCTTAGTCTCCCAAGGAGCTGGGATTAGAGGCATGCGCTATCACACCCTGCTAATTTTGTATTTTTCATAGAGAAGGGGTTTCTCCATGTTGGTCAGGCTGGTCTTGAACTCCCGACCTCAGGTGATCCGCCCCACCTTGGCCTCCCAAAATGCTGCGATTACAGGTGTGAGCCACCACACCTGGCTGCCCAGCTCAGTTTTAAATATTTTTTTTCTAGAGATGGGGTCTTGCTGTATTGCCCAGGTTGGTCTCAAAGTCCAAGGCTCAAGTGATTCTTCCCCACTGGGCCTCCAAAGCTCTGGGATTACAGGCATGAGCCATGGTGTCCCCTCCTCATTCTGCGGAATCATCAGAGTTTTGTTCATTCCCACACCAGGCTCTGGCCCCCAGTACCAGCTCAGTTGCTCAATGGACCATGCTTGTCCTGGAGCCCAGATGGACTGTGGCTGGGCAGGTGGATCACAGGCCTGGCCGGCCTGGGAGGTTTCCACATGTGAGGGGCCTGAGGGGCTCAAGGAGGGGAGCATCGGGGAGAGGAGCCCACTGGGTGGAGGCTGGGGGTCACAGCAGAAAATGGTGAGACAAAGGGTGCTGGCTGGCAGGGAGACAGCACAGGCAGGCCCTAGAGCTTCCTCTGTGGGCGGCAAGCCACCCAGGCACCGAGGCAAGAGACAGAGGACACGATCTGTTCCAGTATAATAAAATATAAAACAAGAATAGTTATACCAGATATAGATCTTAGATATGATTATATATGAATATCATTAATCATTAGTTTGTAGCAATTACTTTTTCTTCCAATATTATAATAATCCTTGCTCTATAATCATAGCCTAGGAAAAACCAGGCCATACAGAGACAGGAGCTGAAGGGACATAGTGAGGTGTGACTGCAAGACAGGAGTGCGAGCCTTCTGTTATGCCCGGACAGGGCCACCAGAGGGCTCCTTGGTCTAGCGGTGACGCCAGCGTCTGGGAAGACGCCCGTTACCAGGCGGATCGTGGTCCAGCGGTAGCAAAAGGTGTCAAGAAACAACACCCGCTACTCAGCAGACCAGGAAAGGGGGGTCTCCCTTTCCCTGGGGGAGTTTAGAGAAGACTCTGCTCCTCCACCTCTTGTGGAGGGCCTGACATTAGTCAGGCTCGCCCGCAGTTATCCGGAGGCCTAACCGTCTCCCTGTGATGCTGTGCTTCAGTGGTCACACTCCTAGTCCACCTTCATGTTCCATCCTGTACACCTGGCTCTGCCTTCTAGATAGCAGTGGTAAATTAGTGAAAATACTAATAGTCCCTGATATGCAGAAATAATGGCATAAGCTGTCTTTCTCTTTGTCTCCTCTCCCTCTCTGCCTCGGCTGCCAGGCAGGGAAGGGCCCCCTGTCCGGTGGACACATGACCCACGTGACCTTACCTATCATTGGAGGTGACTCACATTCTTTACCCTGCCCCTTCTGCCTTGTATCCAATAAATAACAGCGCAGCCCGACATTCGGGGCCACTACCAGTCTCTGCACATTGGTGGTAGTGGTCCCCCGGGCCCAGTTGCCTTTTCTCTTGTCTCTTTGTCTTGTGTCTTTATTTCTACACTCTCTCATTGCCGCACTTAGGGAGAGACCCACCGACCCTGTGGGGCTGGTCCCTACAGAGAATGACTTGAACCTGGGAGGCAGAGATTGTAGTGAGGTGAGATTGCACCACTGCACTCCAGCTTGGGTGACAGAGCAAGACTCTGTCTCAAAAAAAAGATGAGGTGAGTTCAGTTTGGGAAATGTTGAATGCCAGATGCCTTTGGCCTATTCAGAGGGAGATTGCCGAAGCACAGAGGAGAGTTCATGACAGGGTTTAATTATTTTTAGTGCTCTCATGTCCCAGATTCGGCCAATTGGAGTCCCTCCACGCTGGTTCCTGTGTCCTGTGACATCACCCATCTTCTTTCTCCTTTTCTTCTTTCATAAGCCACTTCCTTCCTGGCATGACAGTGTGTTCCAGGACCATCTTGTACCTTGCACCTGCCCTGCCCTGGCCCTAGAATCAGCCAATTCTCTGAGGCATCCTGATTCCTTTTTGTGGGGGAACGGTTTGAGAACAAAATATACTACTACATGATACTATATTCTGACAGGAAAAAACACAGCCATAAGAAATAAAGCCATGGCCGGGCACAGTGGCTCCTGTAATCCTAACACTTTGGGAGGCTGAGGCAGGAGGATTGCTTGGGGCCAGGAGTTCAAGACCAACCTGGCCCACATAGTGAGCCCTCATCTCTATTAAGAAAAAAAAAAAAGAAAGAAGGAAAGCCATATTTGGATGAGTTTAGTCTTCTGATTATTTTTGCTGAAGTTTTAAATTATTATTATTATTATTTTTTGAGACAGAGTCTCGTTCTGTTGCCCGGGTTGGGGTGCAATGGTGCAGTCTCAGCTCACTGCAACCTCTGCCTCCCAGGTTCAAGCAATTCTCCTGCCTCAGCCTCTTGAGTAGCTGGGATTACAGATTCCTGCCATCACGCCCTGCTAATTTTTGTATTTTTGTTAGAGATGGGGTTTCTCAATGTTGGTCAGGCTGGTCTCAAACTCCCGACTTCAGGTGATCCGGCTGCCTTGGCCTCCCAAAGTGCTGGGATTACAGGGGTATATTTTATATTTAAAGTATATTTAAAAATTAAGGGCCAGGCTCAGTGTCTCACGCCTGTAATCCCAGCACTTTGGGAGGCCGAGGTGGCTGGATCCCATGAACTCGGGAATTTGAAAGGCACAAGAGCGAAACTCCGTCTCAAAAATATATGTAAAATATATTTTATGGCCAGGCATGGTGGCTCACAACCGTAATCCCAGCACCTTGGGAGGCCGAGGTGGGCAGATCACCTGAGGTCAGGAGTTCAAGACCAGCCTGGCCAATATCGTGAAACGCTGTCTCTACTAAAAATACAAAAAATTAACTGGGCGTGGTCGTGTGCACCTGTAATCCCAGCTGCTCAGAGGCTGAGGCAGGACAATCCCTTGAACCCGGGAAGTGGAGGTTGCAGTGAGCCGAGATCGCACCATTGCACTCCAGCCTGGGCAACAAGAGCGAAACTCCACCTCAAAAACAAAACAAAATAAAACAAAACAAAACAAAACAAAATATATGTATATACACACACACATTATATGTAATATCTACTTTTAAATATAAACATAAATATTATAAAGCTTTTATTGCAATTGTTCATTTTAGAAACTTCAGAAAATACAAATTAGTAAAAAGAAGAAAATAAGTCTGTAATACCACTTTTAAGAACTATTTTAAAAACCTCTAGCTTTTTTTTGAGATATAATTTACATACCAAGACTTTTTTAAAAAAAAAAATTCATAATGGTGACTTTTTTATCGGACTGTATAGAATAAAGCTTGTTAAAATGTCTAAGATATTTTGTAATATATGAAAATTTCAGCTAAACTTGTGCTATAGCATCCCATGGTTTGAATATATTATTGAAAATCATTCCATAAACAATGGTTTGGTATATAGTTTTAACAATTCAAGGCTGGGCACAATGGCTCACGCCTGTAATCCCACCACTTTGGGAGGAGGAGGCAGGCAAATCACCTGAGGTCAGGACTTCAAGACCAGCCTGGCCAACATGGTGAAACCCTGTCTCTAATAAAAATACAAAAATTAGCCGAGCATGGTGGCAGGTGCCTGTGATCCCAGCTACTGAGGAGGCTGAGGCAGGAGAATCACTTGAACCTAGGAGGCAGAGGTTGCAGTGAGCCGAGATCTTGCCACTGCACTCCAGCTTAGGCGACAGAATGAGACTCCATCTCAAACAAAATAAATAAATAAAATAATTCAGCAGGATGAGGTGGCTCATGCCTATAACCCCAGCACTTTGGGAGGCTGCGGTGGGACTATTGCTTTTGCCTGGGAGTTCAAGACCAGCCTGGGCAACATAGAGATACCATGTCTCAGAAAATATATATATAATTAATTTTAAAAAAGAGAATTCATTGATGATTCTGTATTTACAAATATATTCCTGCATCATTTGTTCATGGTAACCAGGAAATTGCAATGCATAAATACATGCTGTCATTTCCAAAGCGGCTCTCTTCCAGAATTGGTACTGATTCTAGTAGACTTTTCATTCTGATGTTAAAAATATAATTAATAGAAATGTCTTGTACCTAATAGCTTTTTTCCCCACAACTCCCCAACCCCCTCACTCTAGAGGCCTTAGTAGTCTAATTTAATCAGCTTAGTCTGAAATATAATACTACCTTGGCATCTTGTTGGCCTAGTATTTCTTACTCTTTTATGGAATGAACTGTGCAATTGTTTTGTGTGGCTAAAAGGTATTCTAGGTCGAGTATAGTGGCTCACACCTGTAATCCCAGCGCTTTGGGATGCCGAGGTGGGCGGATCACCTGAGGTCGGGAGTTCGAGACCAGCCTGGCCAACATGTTGAAAACCCGTCTCTACTAAAAATACAAAATTTAGCCAGGTGAGGTGGTGTGCATCTGTCATCGCAGATACTCAGGAGGCAGAGGCACGACAATTGCTTGAACCCAGGAGGCAGAGGTTACGGTGAGCTAAGATTGCATCACTGCACTCCAGTCTGGGCAACAGAGTGAGACCCTGTCTCAAAAAATAAAAAACAAAATAAATAAATAAAAAATAAAAGGCATTCTAATTAAGTTGTTGCTTTTTTTTTTTTTTTTAATTCCAGAGCGGACTGATGTACTGGCCCTTAGTACAGGTGAGTTCCGCCTGCTCAGTAATATGAACTCAGGGCTTTGGTTTCCATGTGGCCCTAATGGACTCACTCTCCCTGTTCCAGCTAACCAACTTCAGCCTTGTTCCTGTTCAATGGAGAACAGCTTACGCTGGAGTCTGTGGTTTTCTCTGGGCCACCTTCATCTGTTTTTCCCAGCAGAGCGGTGACGGCACATTCAAGTCAGCTTTCACCATTTTATATACAAAGGGGACCAGTGCCACAGAAGGGTCCCCGGAGAAATGAGAAGTCAAGGACTCTCTTAAAGGGACCACATTTTGACCTAAAATGCACAGAATTGCCTGCAGACAAAATATTTGATGTGCCAATTATGCACTTCATTTTGAGGAATTACTACTATTTATAGACCCACTTTTAAAAAAATTATCAATGATTATTTTTTAATTGTATTCAGACATTTTTTCCTGATCTAGTCTGAAATATTACTTCTCTAATATTTTGGTTAATATGAATAACAGTGGCAAAATGGCATTTTAGAATTATTAATATTTCTAATATTTTAATGCAAGTTTCAGGAAACTTGGTTTCTTGGTTTTGATTGTTTACATTTCTATTCTAAAATCTCAGGTTATCTCCTGAACACTTTTGGACAGATGAAGTTTTACACCAAAAAATAGTTCTTAGAGTGAATTTTAATTTACATAGAACTCAATCGAAATGAAGATTTAATAACCAGATTTCTTTCCCCAAAACATACATAATTTGTTATTTTGATACTAAAATTTAGTAAATACCTTTTTTTTTTTTTTTTTGAGATGGAGTCTGGCTCTGTCACCCAGGCTGGAGTGCAGTGGTGCCATCTTGGCTCTCTGCAACCTCTGCCTCCTGGGTTCAAGCGATTCTCCTGCCTCAGCCTCCCAAGTAGCTAGGACTACAGTCGCCCAGCACCACGCCCAGCTAACTGGTGGTGGTAGAGACAGGGTTTTACCATGTTGGCCAGGCTGGTCTCCAGCTCCTGACCTCGTGATCCGCCCTCCTCAGCCTCCGAAAGTGCTGGGATTACAGCAGTCAGCCACTGCGTCCTGCCCCCAAATTTGCTTTGCATGGAGAAAACTCTAACAAGTCCTCTTGAACACAGTTTTCTGATAACCCAGATCAATGAACTACCCAGGCTTCACCACTATGCGATATAGGCATGTGAGAAACTCGTACTTATACCCCCTCAATACATTAAAACTAAATATATATATATATATATTTTTAAATCAATGGGCCAGGTGCAGTGGCTCACGCCTGTAATCTCAGCACTTTGGGAGGCCAAGGCGGGTGGATCACTTGCGGTCAGGAGTTCCAGATCAGCCTGGCCAGCCCGCCTCTACTAAAAATACAAAAATTAGCCAGGCGTGGTGGTGCATGTCTCCCACCACGGCTGGGAGGTGTGCCCAACAGCTCATTGAGAACGGGCCATGATGACAGTGGCGGTTTTGTGGAATAGAAAGGGGGGAAAGGTGGGGAAAAGATTGAGAAATCGGATGGTTGCCGTGTCTGTGTAGAAGGAAGTAGACATGGGAGACTTTTCATTTTGTTCTGTAGTAAGAAAAATTCTTCTGCCTTGGGATCCTGTTGATCTGTGACCTTACCCTCCCTCCACTATTGTCCTATGACCCTGCCAAATCCACCTCTGCGAGAAACACCCAAGAATGATCAATAAAAAAAAAAAAGAGTTCTGGAGATCAGTAAAAAAAAAAAAGAAACAGGGTTTCTCCATGTTGGTCAGGCTGGTCTGGAACTCCTGACTTCAGGTGATCTGCCCACTTTGGCCTCCCAAAGTGCTGGGATTACAGGCATGAGCCACTGTGCCTGGCCCCAAATGTGTTTTACATTTTCTTCCTATTTGATTCATCTTTGTCCTGCAACATAAATATGCTACTTTTCTACCGATAAAAAGACAAAATGGAATTTAAATCTGGCCTGGACTTCTCAAAAAAGTCAGTGTGATGAAAACATGTTCTAGATAAAACAGAAATGAGACTGGGCATGGTGGCTCATGCCTGGAATCCCAGCGCCTTCGGAGGCCAAGGCAGGAGAATCACTTGAGGCCAGGAGTTTGTGAACAGCCTGGGCAACATAGTGAGACCCCAGATCTACTAAAAATTTAAAAATTAGCTGGGCATGGTGGTGCATGCCCATATGTCTGGAGGCTGAGGCAGGAGGATCGCTTGAGCCCAGGATTTGGAGGCTGCAGTGAGCTATGATTGTGCCACTGCACTCCAGTGTGGGTGACAGAGTGAGACCCTGTCTCTAAAAAAAAAAAAGAGAGACAAGATGATCAGGATGAGCGCAGTGGCTCACGCCTATAATCCCAGCACTTTGGGAGGCCAAACCAGGTGGATCATATGAGGTCAGGAGTTCGAGACCAGCCTGGCCTAGATGGTGAAACCCCGTTTCTACTAAAAATACAAAAATCAGCTGGGTGTGGTGGCGCACACCTGTGATCCCAGCTACTCGGGAGGCTGAGGCGGGACAATTGCTTGAACCTGGGAGGCAGAAGTTGCTGTGAGCAAGATTACACCACTGTGCTCCAGCCTGGGCAACAGGAATGAGACTCTGTCTCAAAAAAAAAAAAAGGGGGGATGATCAAACACAATGCATCAACCTCCCGGAGCCATATAAACCCTAACCCTAACCCAGGAAGCAGGCAAGCCTGTGTGTGAGTTTCCACTCTATTGCTGGTACCACTCGGCTCTGGCAACCCGGAAGGCCACCTTCCCCTGTTGTTACTGTGTAAGGAGGAAGGAGCACTGGTTTGCAAGTCAGAAGCCTGGGTTGAAGCCTCTGCTCGGGTTCCTGCTGGCTGTGGGAATGTGGGGTTACCTTTCCTGGCTGGCCTCGTTTCCTTCATGTCCAATGCAGGGGTTCCAGTCACATGCATTGGGCACCATTACATGTCCAAGCTGTGCCAGGATCTAGAAAAATGGCTGGACTCAGGCCAAGGGGCCTTCCTGTCTGGCAGTGAAAATAAGAGGAGATACCAAGGGCCCTGAGTCTGGAGGGGAAGTCATGAGCACAGGGCAGTGCCAGGGCCCGGGAGCTGCCACAGAGGAGCCCACCTTGGTGACAGACACCTGTAGGCACATCCGTGATGCCCAGTGCCCAACACAGGGAACTGGACAAACGTTTCATGCACGACTCTTTTTTCCCTTCTTGGCTACCTTGAGGACCTTGATTATAATAGTTATCCTTTTTTTCTTTTTCTTTTTTTGAGACTCTTGCTCTGTCGTCCAGGTTGGAATGCAGTGGCAAAATCTTGGCTCACTGCAATCTTCACCTCTCAGGTTCAAGTGACTCTCCTTCCTCAGCCTCCCTAGTAGCTGGGATTACCGGTGTGCACCACTAGGCTCAGCTAATTTTTGTATTTTTACTACAGATGGGGTTTCACCATGTTGGCCAGGCTGATCTTGAACTGCTGACCTCAGGTGATCTGCCCACCTGGGCCTCCCAAAGTCTTGGGATTACAGGTGTGAGCCACTGAGCCCAGCCGGATTATAATAGCCTTTTCATGCACCAGGGGCTTTATACTCATTATCTCATTTCATTCATATGAGTTGAAGTCAGCTTACCCCCCATTTCACAGATGAGGAAACCAAGGCCCAGAGAGGTTAGGAATTCGTCCAAGGTCACACAGCTAGGAAGTAGGATTCAAACCCAGACAGCCAGGCTGTAACACCTAGGCTCTTCTCAGGCTCATGCCCTTCCCAGGGGTCTGGGAAGCCCTGACCTGCAGCCTGTCACCTTCGTTTACCCCCCAGCCTCCAGGATATTATGTGTGCACCGGCGTGGGATCCTGGAACTGGCAGGAATTGTGGGTTGTGTTAGTCCCTAGACTCCCATCGCCTATATGAAATATGGTTCCTTTTGTGGCTTGGGAGGCCATGGCCAGCCCTGCGATGCCATTGACTGGTGAGTGCATGCCTGGGACCAGGCTACAAAATCCCTCACACTCTGGGGTAGTCAAGGCTTATGAGGAAGTACCCAAAACTGAAGCTGGGGTTTGGTCCAGGGAGATCCCAGTGTGCAGTACTACTTTGCAGGCAGGCAGAGGCCTCTTGGATAACATGGCCAGTGAAGCCAGATCTTGGTACCAGCTGCCCCTTACCCTGGCCATGGGCTGAAAACGTTGCCTTAAAAAATTGGCCAGGAGCGGTGGCTAACTCCTGTAATCCCAGCACTTTGGGAGGCCGAGGTGGGCAGATCACTTGAGGTCAGGAGTTCAAGACCAGCCTGGCCAATATGGTGAAACCCCATCTCTACTAAAAATGCAAAAATTAGCTGTGTGTGGTGGCAGGCGTCTGTAATCTCAGCTACTGGGGAGACTGAGGCAGGAGAATTGCTTGAACCCGGGAGGTGGAGTTTGCAGTGAGTTGAGATTGCACCGCTGTATTCCAACCTGGACAACAGTGCCAAACCCTGTCTCAAAAGAAAAAAATAATAATAATATAAAGTGGCCAGGTGTGTTGACTCATGCCTGTAATCCCACCACTTTGGGTCGAGGCAGGAGGATCACTGGAGCCCAGGAGTTTGAAACGAGCCTAGGCAACAGAGTGAGACCCTGTCTCTATATTAAACACACACACACACACACACACACACACACACACACACACACACACACACACACACACACACACAAAGGCAGCCAGACTATGCACTAGGAACTGCCCTGGGAATCTCTTTGTGTTCTCACAACAATCCCATTTCACAGATGAAGAAACCTAGGCACAGAAATATTCAGTAACGTGTCCAGGTGCGGTGGCTCACGCCTGTAATCCCAGTACTTTGGGAGGCTGAGGCAGGCAGATCATGAGGTCAGGAGTTCGAGACCATCCTGGCCAACATGGTGAAACCCCGTCTCTACTAAAAATACAAAAATTAGCTGTGTGTGGTGGCAGGTGCCTGTAATTCCAGCTACTCAGGAAGCTGAGGCAGGAGAATTGCTTGAACCCGGGAGGCAGAGGTTGCAATGAACCGAGATCACACCACTGCACTCCAGCCTGGGTGACAGAGCAAAACTCCGTCTGAAAAAAAAAAAAAAAAAAAAAGAAATATTAAGTAACTTGTCTGAGGCCACTTAGTTACCAAGACGTGGGAGCTGGGACTTGAACCCAGGCAGTCTGGCTGGATTCATGCCTGCAGCCTCTGCACTCCTGCTACTTACTGTGTGAGAAGCGCCTGTTCTGTGGAAGGTTGTGGGCTGAGATCTTTCCATGAGTTCCACTCATTTACCCCCAAGGCTGTTCTTAAAGACGGGCATGACAGTTATGCCCATTTTACAGATGGGGCCCTGAGGCTCACAGGGGCATGCCACTCACCCATTTCCACAAAGCTATAGTTAGTTAGCAGAGGGCAGAATTCGGCCGCCTCTCCCCTAGCTTGAAGGCTGTGATTGACACAGAGGTTTTTTTGTTGTTGCTGTTGTTTGTTCCTTTTTCTTTTTTTTGAGACAGGGTCTTGCTCTGTCATCCCAGCTGGAGTGCAGTGGTGCGATGTCAGCTCACTGCAAACTCTGCCTCCAAGATGCAAATGATTCTCGTGCCTCAGCCTCCCAAGTAGCTGGAATTACAGGTGTGCACTACCACGCCCAGCTGTTTTTTGTAGAGATGGGGTTAGTAGAGATTTGTTTTATAGAGACGGGGTTTCACCATGGTCTCTACTAAACCCTGTCTCTACTAAAAATACAAAAATTACCCAGGCGTGGTGGCACATGCCTGTAGTCCCAGCTACTCAAGAGGCTGAGGCAGGAGAATCACTTGAACCTGGGAGGTGGAGGTTGCAGTGACCCAAAATCATGCACTCTAGCCTGGGGTCTCGCTTTTGCCCAGGTTAGAGTGCAGTGGCACAATCATAGTGGCTCACTGCAGCCTCAAACTCCTGGGCTGAAGGGAATCCTCCCACGTCAGCCTCCCAAGTAGCTAGGACTATAGGCATGTGCCATCATGGCGAGTTAATTTTTTGTGTGTTTTTATTGTCTTGAGACAGAGTCTTGCTCTGTTGCTCAGGCTGGACTGCAGTGGCATGATCTTGGCTCACCGCAACCTCCACCTCCTGGGTTCAAGCAATTCTCCTACCTCAGCCTCCCGAGTAGCTGGGATTACATGTGTGTGCCACCATGCCTGGCTAATTTTGTATTTTTAGTAGAGACAGGGTTTCGCCATGTTGGTCAGGCTGCTCTCGAACTCCTGACCTCGTGATCCACCTGCCTCGGCCTCTCAAAGTGTTGGGATTACAGGCATGAGCCACTGAGCCTGGCCTGGTGAGCTAATTTTTAAATTTGTTATAGAGACAAGAGTCTCTCTTATGTTGCCCAGGCTGGTCTCGACCCCCTGGCCTCAAGTGATCCTCCCACCTCAGCCTCCCAAAGTGCTGGGATTACAGATGGGTGTCACCGCACCTGGCCTCCGAGGAGGATTTCATTATAAACCTGCCCTGAAGGGAGGGAATCCAATTTTACGAGAGGGTGTAGCCTGGTGAGGCCTGGATGACCTCCGGAGGCAGGGGCTTGTGCCTGGGCTGAGGCCTAAGGGACAATGGGCAGACATGAAGTTGCCCCAGGCAGAGGGTACAGTGTGGGCAAAGTCAGGAAGTGGCAGGGCTTGGATCACTCCAGGAAGAGAGAGGAGTCATGTGTCACAGGAGCTCGAGACCCAGAGAGTGAGGCAGGCAGGCAGGGACCAAGCTTGGGCACAGCCAGGAAGGCAGGACAGGGCATGGTGGGGCCAATGGAATCATTACCCAAGACGGGCATTTTCAGGGAAACAGCTTAGATAAGGCCAGGCGTACAGTAGCTCCCACCTGTAATCCCAGCATTTGGGGAGGCTGAGGTAGGAGGACTGCTTGAGCCTGGGAGTTCAAGACCAGCCTAGGCAACATAGACCCCATATCCACAAAAAATTTAAAAAAGGAGTTTGTGTTCCTGTAGTAGCATACTTGGGAAGTTGAGGTGGCAGTATCACTTGAGCCCGGGAGTTCAAGGCTAAAGTGAGCTGATTGAGCCATTGCACCCCAGCCTGAGCGACAGAGAGATATGCTGTCTCAAAGGAAATACAAATTAAAAAACCAGCCGGGCATGCTGGCGTGTGCCTGTAGTCTCAGCTACTTGGGACACTGAAGTGGGAGGATCGCTTGAGCCCAGGAGTTCAAGGCTGCCGTGAGCTATGATTGTGCCTCTGCAGTCCAGCCTGGGCGACTGCAGACTGCAGGACTTTTTTAAAGACCCTGTCTCTTAAAAAAAAAAAAATCTTAGATAAGAGGATGCTGTGCCTCCCTGGGGGTCTTCAGTCACCCATGGTCCTGGCAAGAGAGGAGGGCCAGGAGAGAGCTTCACCCACCTGCTGTCCTGCCCGTGTGACATCCGCAGGTGCTGCCATGGCCACGACTGTTGTTACACTCGAGCTGAGGAGGCCGGCTGCAGCCCCAAGACAGAGCGCTACTCCTGGCAGTGCGTCAATCAGAGCGTCCTGTGCGATGAGTCCCCAGCAGCACCATGCCACCCACCCCGAGTATCCCCTGGGCACCCTGGCATAGCCAGATGACTTCCGTGCCCCTGTTGCAATAACCACTGCTTCCAAGTCTCTGTAGACCACCCCTTGGGTATATCTAATGTAAGTGATATTTATTTTATTTATATTTTTTGAGTCAGAGTCTCACTCTGTCACCCAGGCTAGAGTGTGCTGACGTGATCTTGGCTCACTACAACCTCTGCCTCCTGGGTTCAAGCGATTCTCATGCCTCAGCCTCCCAAGTGGCTAGGACTACAGACATGCACCATCACGCCCAGCTAATTTTTGTATTTTTTTCAGTAGAGGTGGGGTTTCACCAAGTTGGCCGGGCTGGTCTCAAACTCCCCACCTCAAGTGCTCTGCCCGCCTCGGCCTCCCAAAGTGCTGGGATTACAGGCATGAGCCATGGTGTCTGGCCCTAATGTGAGTGATCTTTAACACTGAGCACTTGAAAAAGAAAACCCTGAAGAAACCTAATTATTCGATGTCTGGACGACAAGGAAGAAGATAGAAATGGCATCAGATAATAAACAGTGTAAATGTTTGTTTATCAGAAAGGGGCTGGTGGTCGGGACAAGTAGGAGGATCGCTTGAGTCCAGGAGTGCATCTCTACAAAAAAGTTAAAGGATTTTTTAACATTGGCCAGGCGTGGTGGCACACATCTGTGATCCCAGCTACTTGGGAGGCTGAGGCAGGAGGATTGCTTGAAGCCCAGGAGGTTGAGGCTGCAGTGAGCTGTGATCGAGCCACTGCACTCCAGCCTGGGTGACACAGCAAAATCCAGTCTCAAAAAAAATAATAATAATATTTTACATAACCAACCACTTCTAAAGATTAAAAAAAAACCCCTATGATTAAAAACCTCAGGTCCCTCAGGCAATCATACCAGATATCGAAACAAAGCAATAACATAAGGACTGCAGTATTTATTTTATTTTTATATTATTTATTTATTCTTTGTTAGTTTTTGGAGTGTGGGTTTTGTTTTGTTTTTTGAATTTTTTATTTTGTTCTACTCGGTTTTATTCTTATTGCTCAGGCTTGAGTGCACTGGCCTCTTCTCAGCTCAACCTCCGCCTCTTGGGTTCGGGTAATGATGGTTCCACGTCAGCGGCCCTCCGCCTCTTGGGTTTGCGTGACGGTTCCACGTCACCGACCCTCCGCCTCTTGGGTTCGGGTGATGATGGTTCCACGTCAGCGGCCCTCCGCCTCTTGGGTTTGCGTGACGGTTCCACATCACCGACCCTCCGCCTCTTGGGTTCGGGTGATGATGGTTCCAC
Source organism: Homo sapiens (assembly GCF_000001405.40). Taxonomy (NCBI): domain Eukaryota; kingdom Metazoa; phylum Chordata; class Mammalia; order Primates; family Hominidae; genus Homo; species Homo sapiens. The sequence goes on from NC_000016.10 coordinate 29,483,908, forward strand.
GTCAGCGGCCCTCCGCCTCTTGGGTTTGCGTGACGGTTCCACGTCACCGACCCTCCGCCTCTTGGGTTCGGGAGGTGGTTCCATCTCAGCCGCCCTCTGCCTCTTGGGTTTGCGTGGTTTTTCTGCCTCAGCCTCCTGAGTAGCTAAGGGAGGTGTCTTGAGATTATCATCGGCTGAGGGTGGAAGCGGCCCCCGCAGACGCTCGGCAGGTGTCTTGATATTATCATCTGCTGAGGGTGGAGCTGAGGGTGGAAGGGGAGTGAGCTGACGCTCAGAAGGTGTCTTGAGATTATCATCCGCTGAGGGTGGAAGCGGCCCCCGCAGACGCTCGGCAGGTGTCTTGATATTATCATCTGCTGAGGGTGGAGCTGAGGGTGGAAGGGGAGTGAGCTGACGCTCGGAAGGTGTCTTGAGATTATCATCCGCTGAGGGTGGAAGCGGCCCCCGCAGACGCTCGGCAGGTGTCTTGATATTATCATCTGCTGAGGGTGGAGCTGAGGGTGGAAGGGGAGTGAGCTGACGCTCGGAAGGTGTCTTGAGATTATCATCCGCTGAGGGTGGAAGCGGCCCCCGCAGACGCTCCCCGCAGACGCTCGGCAGGTGTCTTGATATTATCATCTGCTGAGGGTGGAGCTGAGGGTGGAAGGGGAGTGAGCTGACGCTCGGAAGGTGTCTTGAGATTATCATCCGCTGAGGGTGGAAGCGGCCCCCGCAGACGCTCGGCAGGTGTCTTGATATTATCATCTGCTGAGGGTGGAGCTGAGGGTGGAAGGGGAGTGAGCTGACGCTCGGAAGGTGTCTTGAGATTATCATCCGCTGAGGGTGGAAGCGGCCCCCGCAGACGCTCGGCAGGTGTCTTGATATTATCATCTGCTGAGGGTGGAGCTGAGGGTGGAAGGGGAGTGAGCTGACGCTCGGAAGGTGTCTTGAGATTATCATCCGCTGAGGGTGGAAGCGGCCCCCGCAGACGCTCGGCAGGTGTCTTGATATTATCATCTGCTGAGGGTGGAGCTGAGGGTGGAAGGGGAGTGAGCTGACGCTCGGAAGGTGTCTTGAGATTATCATCGGCTGATGGTGGAAGCGGAATCCGCAGACGCTCAGCAGGTATCTTGATATTATCATCTGCTGAGAGTGGAGCTGAGGGTGGAAGGGGAGTGAGCTGACGCTCGGAAGGTGTCTTGAGATTATCATCCGCTGAGGGTGGAAGGCAGGTGTCTTGATATTATCATCTGCTGAGGGTGGAGCTGAGGGTGGAAGGGGAGTGAGCTGACGCTCGGAAGGTGTCTTGAGATTATCATCCGCTGAGGGTGGAAGCGGCCCCCGCAGACGCTCGGCAGGTGTCTTGATATTATCATCTGCTGAGGGTGGAGCTGAGGGTGGAAGGGGAGTGAGCTGACGCTCGGAAGGTGTCTTGAGATTATCATCCGCTGAGGGTGGAAGGGGATGGAGCAGACACTCGGCACGTGTCTTGAGATTATCATCCGCTGAGGGTGGAGCTGAGGGTGGAGCTGAGGGTGGAAGGGGAGTGAGCAGACACTCGGGAGGTGTCTTGAGATTATCATCCGCTGAGGGTGGAAGGGGAGTGAGCAGACACTCGGGAGGTGTCTTGAGATTATCATCCGCTGAGGGTGGAAGGGGAGTGAGCAGACACTCAGGAGGTGTCTTGAGATTATCATCCGCTGAGGGTGGAAGGGGAGTGAGCACACACTCGGGAGGTGTCTTGAGATTATCATCCGCTGAGGGTGGAAGGGGAGTGAGCACACACTCGGGAGGTGTCTTGAGGCTCAGGGAGTTATCAGTTATAGAATGTTGTTGAGTTGGAGGAGGTGGCTGGTGGCCCATCCTGTTTTTTAAAGTTTCAGCTGTGAGGTAGGGCCAGTAGGGCAATCCTGAAGAATGACGATGCTCCGCTGCCGCCATTCTGACCTGTAGGGCCAAAGGAGGGAATGTTTTCACACATATTCATTTGATGGACAAAATTACCGCCACCAACACAGTCTGCACCTTCTGTTGCTGGTGATAGATTTTTGCACCTTTCCATCCTCCAGGTTTCAAAATAGCAGTATCAGTGTCATAATATCACCCTTCCACTGAGTACTGCCGACAGCTGGAGGGTAAAGGAAAGTCATTGGGACACACTGTTGTCTCCACATGCCACTGTGTCTGTCTGCAAATGTAGGCAGGCTGGGGTCCTGCCCCAGGGAAGACAGAGTCATAACAGAGTAATAAAGAAGCATGTTTGAGACACAGGAGTGTCTATGTCTATCCTCATTCCTCCCTCACAGCCATCACCAGAGCATGTTTCTTGCACCAGGTCAACAGACAGTAAGAGACAGTAAGAGAGGCATGAAAAGCCCACTGTCCACACATGTTGCAGCTTCTTTTTGGAGAATGTTTTCCAGGCCTTTTATGTTCTGTCTCTGACTCTCAGAACTCTGCAAGGTCAGTGTGACCACCCTGCTCCAAATCTAAGAAAACAGAGGTTTCCAGAGGAAGGAGAAATTGTGCCCAGGGTCACACAGCTTGCAAGAGGCAGAGTGGAAGTTGATTCCAGCTCTGCCTGCAGGACCCTCTCATTTCCCCTCTGTTTCCCTTCTTGACAAAGGATCTTCTTCACTCTGGAGGTGCCACCCATGAGAACAAAGAGCTCTGGAGAGATGTGGATTCCTGAAGAGCTGCAGGGGAACTGGGAGAGGGTTTTCTGACAGAACAATCTCACCTCAAGAAGTCACTTAGGCATGGCTGTAATATTTCTTTTCACTCCCAGGTAATACCAAATTGTAAGTGCACTAGGACATAAAGAATACTTTTGTCCATGGAAAAATGAGGTGGGAATTCTAAACAAAGCAAGTTTTAAAACTGTGTTTCACTTCAAGTGTACAAGTCCCATCACGTGTAATCATAGGACTCGGCAGCTTTTGAAGGTACAGAGGCCACACAAGAACCAGCTTAGCTGAGCATCATTTAAGGCCTTCATTTGGAATTGTCCCTGTGGGTAATAAGTTACATTCACTCTTCACTAGTTTACAGTCAGGGCCCATCTGCTATTACAAATACGGAACCTCTGACACTTAGAATATTAGATCAGGGGCCCCACTGGGTGGGGATGAAGGTGTTTTTGCACAACACGGTTACCAACAGGGATGGGACTGTGATGCTTGTAGGCAGCCTTTCTCTCTGCCATCTCCCTCTGCAGGGCTTGAGCACAGAGCTGTAGGGAGAAAAATGTATCCATGTCCTGACCTGGCAGACTATGTCCAAAAGCAAGGAAAACAAGCAAACTTACCCAGTTGCAAAGAGCCTTTCTTGCAGAAGGGGGGATCTGAAAAAGCCAACACATGAGAAATTGAATGTTGAGAGAGTCTAAGGGCCGTGGCATCATCTGCATCAGCACTGAACTATCCTGCAACTGCAGGGAGGAAGCTCCTTACTTTGCATTTGTGGTAGTCCTCTGCCCGCCGCCGCAACTCTTGCGCACGTTGAAACATTTTCCTATGGATTACAATCACTTTCATCAGATAAAGCACCACTTTCAGGATGATTTTAAATAATCTGCCATGTTTCTGTTATCCTCACAACTGTACCCTTACACAATCTATCTCTACCTAGAAAACGTATTTCAGATGGCTATAAGAGTACAGTCTGAGCCGGTCACGGTGGCTGACGCCTGTAATCCCAGCACTCTGGGAGGGCGGGGCAGATGGATCACGAGGTCAGGAGATTGAGACCATTGTGGCTAATATGGTGAAACCCCTTCTCTACTAAAAATACAAAAAATTAGCCAGGCGTGGTGGCAGGCACCTGTAATCCCAGCTACTCGGGAGGCTGAGGCAGGGGAATCACTTGAACCTGGGAGGCGGAGGTTGCAGTGAGCCAAGATCACGTCATTGCACTCCAGCCTGGGTGACACAGCGAGACTCCATCTCAGAAAAACAAAAACAAAAAAACTGTACAGTCTGATCCAAACTGTTGCTGTATTGATTCCTCCTCTTGCTTACTGCCTGCTGACTTCTGAGATGATAGTTTCCTTCCCCATTCTCAGTACATCCCTAATTCATCCTTCATTGAGCATCTTTTATCATAAAGCTGTATTCTCTTTGTATTAATATCCTTACCGTGTTTCACAGGGCAGAAACAGCTGGGCTTATAAACAGGCATAGTCCTTTTGAAGGATGTGGTTGATCCTACAACAACACACTTTCCTAAGGATGACAACAACTCACCCCACCCCTAGAATGGCTGGTATGAACCGAGTTTCCACACAGTCTAGCTGGCAATGGGGTCAGGAGACGTTTTGCTACTTCACATCTTTTGGTCACTGGTAAATATTAAGGTACTTTGTTTTCTGTTTTGTGAACTCTCTCTCGCTCTCTCTCACGATATGTCTTCTGACCGTTTGTTTCTATTTCTGCATTTACTGGGTCTAAATACTGTACAAAGGTTAAAAACAACACTCCAATGGGCGTTTCCCAGGAGGGTGGGGTTCAGTTTCTGAACTCACTTGTAGGTGTGTATTTCTTTCATATCCAATTTCCCATTTTCCTCTGCCTCTGATACCTGCCTCTCCTTTTCTGCATGCTCACATTCTTTCACGCTTAGTTTCCTCAGATTAGAAGGGAGAGAAATGCACACACATGATCCACCAGCCCGTGTGGGATTCCCTCTGCCCTTCTGGCATCTGAAGGCTGTGATTCAAAGATCCCCCCTGCAACCTTCCCACAAATGAACCAACTGATTCTCACAACCGAAGGGAGAATTGACACCTCCCATTGAGGGACAAAAAAAAGTCACACTCTGGCCTGCTGGCAAGTCACCTGTCATTTCCAGCTCATCTTCATAGTTCCATAGTTAGTCCTATTCTTTAGTAAATATAAAGACTATTAAAAGCTTCTATGAGGTGCACTATGTGTGTCTCTGGGGTCAGTCTTGTGCTTGACACAGCGAAAGCTCATTTTAGTTCAGTGTGAAAAACCAGACCTCACCAATTCATCACAACTAACTCCATCGGAAGCAGAGGATTGCTCCTCATCTGACTCCTCCTGTGTGAGACCTGATTCTCAGTCAGAGGCTGATGCCGGAACTGAGACCATCAGCCATAGAGAGATCCTTCCAGAATAACCCCGCAGTTCACTACTGCACTTTGCCATGATTCAGGACTGGAACTCTTGTCATCGACTTTAAAGATCCTGGTTGAGAGAAAAGGCAATCTGAATGCTGGGCGCATCTATTGAATTAGAAATGATCGGAATGGCTCCTAAGTCAGGGTGTTATGTCCTGAAAATAGGTGACAACGGCAAACCATCCACCCTGGTGTTGACTGACTTTAACAAGGTTCAGTTCACAGAGATTGAGGGCAGAAAAAGGAAACGGCCTAAAAAGGGTAAGTTTGCTGTGTTGCCCTCACTCCACTTGATTCATGGTCCTGATCCTAAGGATCTCACCTGATACTTGGTTTTATAGGAAGGATGTGTAAAATTCCCAGAACGCTAGGAAACAGGGGCGAAAACACTTCAAAGAGAAAGTTAATGAACTTGTTTCTGACCACAAGGCATCCTTCAGCACATGCTGTCTGGAGTGGCCTCAAACAAGGAGTGTGTGGTGTGGTGCTGAGAATGCAATGGGAGCAGGGTCCTGTCCCCACGCTAAAGAAGCTCACAGCTTAATGCAAATGAGAAGCCAGTGAGGACATCACTACTCCTGCTGTGCACTTGGGAACTAGAAACACAAAACCTGACTCTGGAGGGAAGCTAAGGAAGCATTCTACTCTTGAGTTGACATAAGTGCATCTGAAGCTTCTGATCTCCGATGAGAACAATGGGGGACACCAAACAGAATATAAAACCCATGATTGAATACATCAAATTGCTAACATGGCAGTAAACAGACATGAGGTGAAGATGGAGAAGAAGGAAACCCAGGACGAAAGTCAGCCTCGCATTTGGAACCCATTTCCCTGAGTTTCATTGCTGAATTCCAGAAGGAACTACTGAGATGCAAAGAAGCACAGCAGCTTTTGCACACATGCGTGGGATTAGATGGAAAACAAGTGGATTGAGGGTCTGCCAATGAAAGCGACCCGTACTGAAGTCCACTGGCTCTGGTTGAGACCCAGAAGAGTCATGCATCAGAATAAAGGTGGACAGGAAATACCCTGGCCTTTGTAGGGACTGAGCCTGCACCGACGACTTCAATTGCAGCCTGTATGGAGGACCCCTGACCATCCCCCAGAAGTAGACTCCCATCTCTTCTGCAGCAAGATAACATGCTACTAGGCCTCAATTCATTGCTAAACATTTTTTAACAAGTATCTCACATTTAACAAAAAAAGATCAGTCATATGGCAGCAAAATACAATGTCATATGACCAAAACATGAAAGACTGTGAAAATGAATCTGGAGGTGACCCAAGCATTGAATTCAACAATCCAGGCTGGGTGCGGTGGCTCACACTGGGAGGCTGAGGTAGGCAGATCACCTGAGGTCAGGAGTTCAAGACTAGCCTGGCCAACATGGTGAACCCGTCTCTACTAAAAATACAAAAATTGGGCCGGGCACGGTGGCTCACGCCTGTAATCCCAGCACATTGGGAGGCCGAGGTGTGCGGATCATGTCAGGAGTTCTAGACCAGCTTGGCCAATATGGTGAAACCCCGCCTCTACTAAAAATACAAAAATTATCCGGGCATGGTGGCATATGCCTGTAGTCCCAGCTACTCAAGAGGCTGAGGGATAAGAATCGCTTGAACCTGGGAGGTGGAGGTTGCAGTGAGCCAAGATCATGCCACTGCACTCTAGCCTGGGTGACAGAGTGAGACTCTGTCTCAAAAAAAAAAAAAAAAAAAAAAATTGGTCAAATGTGGTGGCACACACCTGTAATCCAAGCTACTCGGGAAGCTGAGGCAGAATTGCTTCAAACTGGGAGGCAGAGGTTGCAGTGAGCCAAGATTGCACCATAGCACTCCAGCCTGGGCGACAGAGCGAGACTCTATCTCAAAATTAAAAAAAAAAAAAAAAAAAAAAAAGGCTGGCTGTGGTGGCTCACGCCTCTAATACCAGCACTTTGGGAGGCTGAGGCAGGTGGATTACCTGAGGTCAGAAGTTCGAGACCAGCCTGGACAACATGGTGAAACCCCATCTCTAGTAAAAATACAAAAATTAGCTGGGCGTGGTGGTGGGCACCTGTAATCCCAGCTACTTGGGAGGCTGACGCAGGAGAATTGCTTGAACCCAAAAGGCAGTGAGCTGAGATTGTGCCATTGCACTACAGCCTGGGCAACAACAGCAAAGCTCCATCTCAGGAAAAAAAAAAAAAAAAAAAAGAGAAAGGAAAACCAATGCCAGTACTAGCAACTCCTCTTCCTCCGAAAAAATGAAAACAAGAATGTAGGAAGGGAAAGGAATTATACAGCTTAAACTAATGAAGCAGAAAGGACAAACTCAATTTTGAACCCACTGAATTTGCCACAAATATTGTAGAAAATATTCTCAAGGACTTTACAGTTGTCTACTTTGATTGGCACATGGTTCATACAACAGTATTTGTGTCAAGGCACATCTTACTGTTTTCTGGCGGTCTTCCTCTTTCCATTGATTTTGTCATGATGGTTGATTTTCGTTGTCACCTTCCTCTTACGGATTTTAGCTCTAACTTTTGTTTCCACATGTCTCCGTAGAGTAATGACGTCTTTCAGGCCAATTTTATTTCCTCGAAAGGAAGAAACTCTTTTCTTTGTGTGCATACAAATGGACCTCAGCCCTTGGTGAGAGTGAGGAGAGGAGAAGGTGAGAAACCTGAGGGCAAGAAGCTGTTCTTTCCCTTTCCAGGGCAAACTCATTTCCACACTATGCGGATTCCAACAGAGCCATACCTTCCTGTCTACGGCGGTTGGACCTCCAGGCTCTCTGCTGTACATCCGTGGATCCATCATGTCCATTTCGAGACCAGAAGATAGTCTTCAGGAGAGACACCTAGGAAATAATAATATAAGAATGACGGCTGGGCACGGTGGCTCATGCGTATAATCCCAGTACTTCGGGAGGCCGAGGCAGGTGGATCACGGGGTCAGGAGTTCAAGACCAGCCTGGCCAAGATGGTGAAACCCCGTCTCTACTAAAAATACAAAAATTAGCCGGGCATGGCAGCGGGCGCCTGTAATCCAAGCTACTCGGGAGGCTGAGGCAGAGAACCGTTTGAAGCTGGGAGGCGGAGGTTGCACTGAGCCGAGATCACACCACTGCACTCCAGCCTGAGCGACAGAATGAGACTCTGTCACATACACACACACACACACAAGAATGACATGAGGCTGGCACGGTGGCTCACTCCTGTAATCCCAGCACTTTGGGAGGCCGAGGCAGGCGGATCACCTGAGGTCGGGAGTTTGAGACCAGCCTCACCAACATGGAGAAACGCTGTCTCTGCTAAAAATACAAAATTAGCCAGGCATGGTGGTGCATGCCTGTAATCCCAGCTAGTCGGGAGGCTGAGGCAGGAGAATCACTTGAACCCAGCAGGAAAAGCTTGTGGTGAGCTGAGATTGTGCCATTGCACTCCAACCTGGGCAACAAAATTGAAACTCTTGTCTCAAAAAAAAAAAAAAAAAAAAAGGCCAGATGCGGTAGCTCACGCCTGTAATCCCAGCACTTTGGGAGGCCGAGGCGGGTGAATCACAAGGTCAAGAGATGGAGACCATCCTGGGCAACATGGTGAAACCCCGTCTCTACTAAAAATACAAAAATTAGCTGAGCATGGTGATGCACGCCTGTAGTCCCAGCTACTCGGGAGGCTGAGGCAGGAGAACTGCTTGAACCCAGGAGGCAGAGGTTGCAGTGAGCCAAGATCCCACCACTGCACTCCAGCCTGGTGACAGAGTGAGACTCCGTCTCAAAAAAAAAAAAAAAAAAAATGACATGAATATACTTCACACAACTGAACTGTACACTTCAACACGGTTAGATGGTAATTATCATCTTATAAGTATTTTACCACAGGTTAACATGTTTCACAACTTGAAAAGGAAGTAATTACCTTCAGCTCTCTGAGTTCTAGAATTTGTAACATTTCATCCCCTGCTCCTTCCTGATCTGCACTGGAGCATCTTCCTTCTGTCCCTGCTCTACTCAGAGTTCACTTTCCCTTCCCTCACATCAGCTTCATTGAGGCTGGTTTGAACTTAACGCAAAACATTCTCACTAATGACTGAATTCCCACCAAGATTTCCATATTATCACAGTATGCTTTTAATCTTCTAAGATATTAAATATTTCTTCTCATCATAGCTAAAATGCAATGCAAATCCCATCTCAGATGTGGGTCAGATACCTATGAATCTCCTGAGGTGGTCATTGAAATGACTTTTTCTTGAGACAGAGTGTCACTCTCAACCATGCTGAAGTGCAGTGGCGCTACCTTGGCTCACGGCAACCTCCACCTCCCAGATTCAAGCGATTCTTGTGCCTCAGCCTCCCAAGTAGCTGGGATTACAGGTGCCTGCTACCATGCCTGGCTAATTTTTGTCTTTTTAGTAGAGATGGGGTTTCACCATGTTGGCCCATCTGGTCTTGAACTCCTGACCTCAAATGATCCATCTGCTTCAGCCTCCCAAAGTGCTGGGATTACAGGCATGAGCCACCACACCTGGCCTGAAATAATATCTTTCAAATTCTTTGTAGAATTTGTTTTTTCCTGATTTCTGCACATAGGATAAAAAAAAAATCATGTACTAGGATTTCGAGAGAAGCAATGGGTAATCTAAAAAGATGAAAAGAGCAACCACGTCAATCCCACAGCTACTGCTAGATTTCATAGGAAAGGTAGCTGGCCCAGTTTGGAGCTAGGGGAAATGTCAAACACATGAAGAAATGAGAAGCCAAGAAATGCCATCACGCATGAATGCTTCATGGCACCCATGATGTCCCTGCTTAGGAGGTAATGGTATAGATGACTAGATGACAAGGACAAAGATGAGAGGTGCGAAGTTGTCCAAGTCCAACAGCTCAACTGAACTTTCCTAAGTGGAATTGTTAAAAAGTGGTAAATTTAAAAACTTCCCCTGGCTCACGTGGTGGCTCACGCTTGTAATCCCAGCACTTTGGGAGGCTGAGGCGGGTGGATCATTTGAGGTCGGGTTTTGAGACTAGCCTGGCCAACATGGTAAAACCCCGACTCTACTAAAAATACAAAAATTAGCTGGGCATGGTGGTGGGCACCTGTAATCCCAGCTACTTGAGAGGCTGAGGCAGGGGAATCACTTGAAGCCAGGAGGTGGAGGTTGCAGTGAGCCGAGGTCACACCATTATACTCCAGCCTGGGCAACAGAAGGAGACTCGTCTTCGGGGTGAGAAAAGAAAAAAAAAAAAGAAAAAAGCTTCCTCCAATTTATACCGAAAATTCTCTGTTCAGGACTAAGTGGCATAGAGAATGTTAAATGTGCCTAGATATCTTCATAACTCATATATTTTCTGTTTTCTACATATCTTGAAAGGCAGTGCCAAATGACGTGTAATTATCTAGGTGGTAAAACTGAAACATACTTCCTCTTCCCTTGAATATAAAAAAGCATTGTGGTATTAGTACTTTTATCTTGGATCATTGTTCAGAAGGAGGTTCAGCCCCCAGACAACCACATTTTTACTGTCATGAATGGCAAGACAAAATGTAGAGCTCAACTTACCCAAAGGAAAAAAGGCTCAAAAGACAAATTATGGCACAACTTAGCAGCCAAATTCTTACCAAGTACAGACTTTTGACATACTGATCTCTCTCCAGTTCCAAGTCGGAACATGCACTTTGAATGATGTCATTCAAAATTACCCTGCCCAGACACACTTTTCATTGATTCTCTTGGAGGGCAGTTCTAAGAGTCTCTGGGGCTTTCTCTGCATCATGAGACGCAGTGCAGTTCTGCCCTTCACCTTCCGGCAGTTTGTCACCTCGTCCCTATGACCTCACAGGAACTTTGTCTCAGGCCAATTGTTTGTTCCTTGGCCTCTTTCATTTCCCCTAAAAATCATTTGCTGCCCCTCTAAATGGCCTACATCTCCATCTATCTCCCTCTCCCCTCAGAAGAGGGTGCTCTTTAAGCATCAGCCATCCGGCCCTTCTAGCAGTCTCATTTTTCAGCTGGTTCCCATGTTTATGCCTGTTCTATGTTTTTCTTTTCCTGTTAAGCTGTCTGTTGTCAGCTCATTTCTGCAGTGAATCTTCAGAGAAGAGATTGGAAGCTTTCCTTCCACCCATACGATAGAACTACAAAGCAGAAGAGTTTAGAAAGAATTTCCTATTTAAGTGACGAAACCTCATACTCCATTTGTGATAAATAGCACAAAGGTTAAAAAAACTTATTTTTGACCAAAAGCTCTGTTGACATTCTATTAAACAAACACCGACCTATTTAATTTTCATAATGCAAATGGCAGATGTTTTCATAATTCTTATACTAATAAATCATTTCCCTGATTTTTTGGGTAAAACCACATATTCATAATGAAGTCCAGAAATGTGAATTGTTTTATATAATTTATTCTTATTTGTGATTACAAGTATACCTCTACAGAAAGTTAGTATACTCACCCAAAGGTAAACTATCCAGAGGGTAATGACAACTTTATAACTTGTCGGAAACGCAATAATGACATGTAACCAAGGACTTCCACCAAAGTCAGTCCCACGATGATGATGGTCAGCCAGAGTATTGATAACCTGGAATAATAATAGTTGAAATAATGAAAAGGTCAATGACACTGACAATATTTCACTCAGAAAGAATCATCCTTAGAAACCGTCAACCTCCTCCAAAAGGTAACCACATCCCTCAGATATCACCGTGGGATTCCACTGCTACAAAAAAGAACAGAAGTTAGAAGTCACATGTTTTTCAGATGGCTGGTAGTGTTTTCAGGCATTGCAAATGTGGGGTGTTGTCTTTCTTGGTATAAAGCAGGGATATCCAATCTTTTGACTTCCCTGCCTATATTAAAAGAAGCAAAGTTGTCTTGAGCCACACATAACATACACTAACACTAACAATAGCTGATGATCTAAAAAAAACCTCTTTTTTTTTTTTGAGACAGAGTTCCGCTCCACTCAGTCGCCCAGGCTGGAGTGCAGTGGTGCAATCTCGGCTCACTGCAACCTCCAGCTCCTGGGCTCAAGCCATTCTCCTGCCTCAGCCTCCCGAGTAGCTGAGATTACAGGTCTCTGCCACCATGCCCGACTCATTTTTGTATTTTTAGTAGAGATGAGGTTTCACCATGTTGGCCAGTCTGGCCTTGAACTCCTGACAGGCGATCTGCCTGCCTCGGCCTCCCAAAGTGCTGGGATTACAGGTGTGAGCCACCGTGCCCAGCCATTTTTTTGTTTTTGTTTTTGTTTGTTATTTTTGAGATGGGGTCTCACTCTGTCACCCAGGCTGGAGTGCAGTGGTGTGCTCCCGGCTCACTGCAACCTCTGCCTCTCAGGTTCAAGTGATTCTCCTGCCTCAGCCTCCTGAGTAGCTGGGAGTACAGGTGCCTGACAGTGCACTCAGCAAATTTTTGTAGTTTTTGTGGAGATGGGGTTTTGCCATGTTGGTCAGGGTGGTCTCGAACTCCTGACCTCAGGTAATCTGCCCGCCTCAGCCTCCCAAAGTGCTGGGATTACACGCATGAGCCACTGTACCTGGCCAAAATCTCCTAATGTTTTAAGAAAGTTTACAAATTTGTGTTGAACTGCATTCAAAACTGTCCTGGGCCACATGCAGCCCGTCACTCATGGGTAAGACAAGCTAAGTATAAAGTAATTATCTTATCTTTTCTTTTCTTTTTGTTTTGAGACAAAGTTTTGCTCTGTCACCCAGGCTAGATTGCAGTGGCATGATCTCAACTCACTGCAACCTCCGCCTCCCGGGTTCAAGCGATTCTCCTGCCTCAGCTACTGAGTAACTGGGATTACAGGCGCCTGCCACCACGCTCGGCTAATTTTTGTATTTTTAGTAGAAACAGGGTTTCACCATCTTGGCCAGGCTGGTCTCCAACTCCTGACCTCATGATCCACCTGCCTTGGCCTCCCAAAGTGCTGGGAATACAGGTGTGAGCCACTGCACCTGGCCAGTAGTTATCTTTTCTTTAAAGTTATTTACTTGTTTTTTAAATTGATGTATAACATTGGATGCATTTATTATATATCACATGGTAAAAGAATCCCTCTAAATAATACTTCTCTCTTGGATTATATGAATCTTTGTCATTTAAATCTCAGCATAAGTAAAAAAAAAAAAAAAATACAATGAAGAGATTACTTCATTCACAAATAAGTATCAAATTTTAGTGCTTAAAAATTAACAAGGTGGGCTGGGCGTGGTGGCTCACGCCTGCAATCCCAGCACTTTGGGAAGCCGAGGTGGGTGGACCACGAGATCAGGAGATTGAGACCATCCTAGCTAACACGGTGAAACCCGTCTCTACTAAAAATACAAAAAATTAGCAGGGCATGGTGGCACGTGCCTATAGTTCCAGCTACTTGGGAGGCTGAGGCAGAAGAATCACTTGAACCCGGGAGGCAGAGGTTGCAGTGAGCCGAGATCGCACCACTGCACTTCAGCCTGGGTGACAGAGCGAGACTCTGTCTCAAAAAAAAAAAAAAAAAAATTACCAAGGTGGAGATCATGAAAATGGCATGAATAGTGTGGGATTTCTCTAAGATTGTTGATATTAATTCCATTAGACTCTTATGTGAGTGAAGACGAAGACTTCCCCTGAGTAAGTTCAGACAGCTTCTGATAACATTTCTACGTCGATTCCTCAGGATTTAACTATATATTCTTGAAAACATCTCAATTTTAAATGTTTCTTTCAAGATGGTGAATTAAACAGAGATAGCCCTTCAACAGGTTGAACTCAGCATATGCTGAGTCTGAAATGGAAATGATGAAGTTAGAGAACCATACAACAATGGTAATGATTTCAGAAACATGGTGTTGAGCAGAACAAAGCAGACACAAAAGAGTACCTATGGCATGGCATGCATCTGTATACGCGAAATTCCAGAATAAGCAAGCTAACCTATGATAAGAAAGAGACTGGCTGGGAAGACTGAGAGTTCACTTTCTGGGGTGACATAATAGTGTAGATCTTGGCTGGGCACGGTGGTTCACGCCTGTAATCCCAACGCTTTGGGAGGCCGAGGCGGGCGGATCACCTGAGGTCGGGAGTTCAAAACCAGCCTGACCAACATGGAGAAACCCTATCTCTACTAAAAATACAAAATTAGCTGGGAGTGGTGCCACATGTCTGTAATCCCAGCCACTCGGGAGGCTGAGGCAGGAGAATCGCTCGAACCTGGGAAGCAGAGGTTGCGGTGAGCTGATATTGCCCCATTGCACTCCAGCCTGGGCAACAAGGGAGAAACTGTCTCAAAATAAATAAATAAATAAATAAATAAATAAATAAATAAAATAATGTAGATCTTGAAAGGGGGTTGGTTTATGCTGGTGTATGTACTTTCCAAAGTTAGTAAACTTACACTTAAGGTTATATATTTTGGCCAGGCGCGGTGGCTCACGCCTGTAATCCCAGCACTGGGAGGCTGAGGCAGGCAGATCACGAGGTCAAGAGATGGAGACTATCCTGGCGAACATGGTGAAACCCCGTCTCTACTAAAAATACAAAAAATTAGCCGGGCGTAGTGGCGGGCGCCTGTAGTCCCAGCTACTTGGGAGGCTGAGGCAGGAGAATGGCGTGAACCCGGGAGGCGGAGCTTGCAGTGAGCCGAGGTCCCGCCACTGCACTCCAGCCTGGGCGACAGAGCGAGACTCCGTCTCAAAAAAAAAAAAAAAAAAAAAAAAAAAAAAAAAAAAAAATTAGCCAGGCGTGGTGGTCTACTAAAAATACAAAAATTAGCCAGGCGTTGTAATCTGAGCTACTCAGGAGGCTGAGGCAGGACAATTGCTTGAACCCCAGAAGCGGAGGTTGCAGTGAGCCGAGATCTTGCCACTGCACTCCAGCCTGGGCGACAGAGTGAGACTCTGTCTAAAAAAAAAAAAAAAAAAAAAAAAAGTCATCAAACCAGATGACACAAATCAAATGACATTTCACTTTGTTTTGGTCCATTTTCTTTGTTAAAAACAAGAGTGCAGCGGGGCCATCTCGGCTCACTGCAACGTCCAGCTCCTGGGCCCAAGCGATCCTCCCACCTCAGCCTCTCCAGTAACTGGGATAACAGGTACGCACCACCAGGCCCGACTAATCTTTATTGGAATTTTTTGTAGAGATGGGGTTTCGCTATGATGCCCTGGCTAGTCTTCAACTCCTGGACTCAAGTGATCTGCCCACCTCGGCCCTCTAAAGTGCTGGGATTACAGGCCTGAGCTGTGTAATTTCATGCCACGTGATACAGCCCAGTAAAAAGGAAGAAACCCCACGGGTCCAGCGTCTACTCACAGAGATGCACTGATGGCTGATAAATTCCAGTAGGAGCCCAAAGAGGAGCCAAAAGAGCATCCACCGCACCCGCATGTCCTGGTCCTTTCAGGGCGCCCTGAGGCGGCCAGGACAGAGGTGGAGGTGGCTTAGGGCAGGGGGGAGGGAAGGGGACGGGACCGGGGCCGGATCTGAGTTGGGGAGGGGGAGGGGAGGGGGAGGGGAAGGGGAGGGGAAGGGGGGAAGTAAGGGAAGGGAAAGGAGGAGAAGGGGGCTGTTGGGCACCTGGAGGAGGTGGAGGAGGAGGAGGAGAAGAAGAAAGGGGTCTGGGAAAGGATCCGGTTCAAATTAAGTTCTCAAGCGCTGGTGGAAGGTTTAGCTACAGGTCACGGAGAAGATCAGGGAAGCAACAGGACACGCGGGGCAAGGGAGCGTGAGGCTTAGGAGCAATCAGAGGGAGACAAAAAGGTTCTGCTATCCACCAAACCTTCTTCGGTCTGGGCCCTCCCTTACCAACCCTGGGGCTTTATACTCCCTCTCCACCAATCCCTGATGACCCCGGTGGTGCCTCACAATGGACAGTGCCTCACAATGGACAATGCCAAGTAGCGCCCGCATCATTCCAATGACCCCTCCCCCATCTCAGTCTCCCACACTCCTCCCAAAGACAGGTCCTCTCTGGAACCTTCACAAACCTGATTTCTGGTCCTCCCCAACCAGCTCCCTGTCCCTGCTTCTGGGCGCTCCTTCCTTCCTGAGCTCCCAGGGTTCCTCAAGGTCACTTATGGCGACAAAACATAAAAAACAAATGATGGCAGGATGGCAGGAAGAACCTCATACCCAAGCAGAGTGCCAGGTTTTACAGCCTCCGCTCAGCCATTCATATCCTAAGCAACAAAACATCAGCAGGGTGCGGAAGGTCCCGATAGTAAACCATCTCCATCACATCCATGTAGCCATCCGTCCATCAACCTGTATCTCAGGAACAAATGTAGATACATTCATTTTAAGCATGCCTGGTACATTTACAAAAATTAACCTGACTTATTTTGTTCCAGCAAATCTCAATATATTTGAGAGCAATCAAATCACACAGCATGTTTCTGATCATATAACTGTGCTAGAAGTCAATGATTAAAAGCTAATTCAAAATTATTATTTGCTTGGAAATTCAAAGTGCCCTTATAAGACATAAACATAAGAAAGAATCCAAAATGAAACAAGATTGCCTTTCAACTCAATGATGAGATCATAACATGGCAATAAAATGTCTCCCTCTGGCCTGGGAATTCCTCTTTGTGGCACAAGGTTGTGTGATCTCAAATCACCGCTAACCCACCTAGACATTTTAACATCCGAAACCGAGTGATGACGTCCTTATCTATATCATCTTACTGCCTGTGTGTGTGGACTTTAAATTCTGAACCCAAATGAGGGGGAGAAAACCAAGTTGACTTTCATGACTGAGCTCTCAGGGACGTCCAAGGAATCTGTGCATTTCAAGAAACAAAGTTCATCAGCTTCTCTCCTAAGGTATTTGCCCACAATACCCAGAGGGCTTGGCAGCATCATGTGTGATGGGTGGGGAGCTCCAAGCAGGTGGGCAGGACCCAGGGGCCTGGTGACCAGGACAGACCCCCACTGTCCATCAACTTTCCTGGCCCTGTCCTCTGCTAAACTTCCCACAGGCCTTCTGCCCGATCACACAGAGTATGCCCAAACTCTCTCAGGCCTCTGGCAGCTGAAAACCACTGCTTTAAATCCCTTTACCATTTACTATGACATAAGGTTATTGTAAACAGGAAATATTCTATTGATGCTACAAATGGAAAGCCAATGCCTTTACCATAAATAGAAAAACAACCCTAAGAAGCAAGCAAAACAAAAACAAAACGGGCTGGGT
Organism: Homo sapiens; assembly: GCF_000001405.40. NCBI lineage: Eukaryota > Metazoa > Chordata > Mammalia > Primates > Hominidae > Homo > Homo sapiens. The sequence goes on from NC_000016.10 coordinate 29,501,206, forward strand.
GTGGTGGCTCACGCCTGTAATCCCAGCACTTTGGGAGGCCGAGGTGGGCGGATCACAAGGTCAGGAGTTCCAGACCAGCCTGGCCAATATGGTGAAACCCTGTCTCTAATAAAATACAAAAATTAGCCGGGTGTGGTGGTGGGCGCCTGTAGTCCCACCTACTTGGGAGGCTGAGGCAGGAGAATAGTTTGAACCCGGGAGGCAGAGTCTGCAGTGAGCCGAGATTGCACCACTGCACTCCAGCCTAGGCGACAGAGCGAGACTCTGTCTCAAAAACAGCAACAACTACAAACAAACAAAAAACAGGGTTAACAAAAGTATGGAATTCAATTCTTTTTATATGCTGCAGCCATGTTCCTGCCCTAGATTTGGCTGGGCATGGTGGCTCACGCCTGTAATCCCAGCACTTTGGGAGGCTGAGGCAGGCGGATCACGAGGTTAGGAGTTGGAGACCAGCCTGACCAACATGGTGAAACCCCATCTCTACTAAAAATACAAAAATTAGCCAGGCATGGTGGCACACGCCTGTAATCCCAGCTACTCAGGAGGCTGAGGCAGGACAATCCCTTGGACCCGGGAGGCGGAGGTTGCAGTGAGCCGAGATTGTACCATTGCACTCCAGCCTGGGTGACAGAATGGAATGAGACTCTGTCTCAAAAAAAAAAAAAAAAAAAAAGCAGCCCTAGATTTCGGTTGTGGTGGTTGTAAAAGGAGAGACCAAGTAAGTGGGGGTTGAAGTCAGATTAGAGCAAAAGTGAATGGCAGAGAGTACTATAATGTCCATGAAGGGCTGCTAGAGTCACCGTGATCATAGCCCAAGCAGAGATAGGGAAAGGAAGATGTGAGCAGAGTTTGGGGTCTCGAACAATGGAGGTTATTCGTGCAGCCCAGGAAAGGCTCCCCAAAGCCAGGATCAACCTCCCTTGGAGGCGGTCCCTCATGGAGGCATGGTCAGGCACCTTAGATTTGAGAACAGCTATGTTGCTGCTGACCAGCTGTGTGACCCTGGGCTGGTTTCCTTCCACACAATGGGAGTGCCAATGGCTGCATGCATGCAAAGACCGTCTGAGGATAGGAGGAAGCAATCTGTTGAGCACCCGTGTACCTGAGTGTCATCACCTCCCAAGGGCATCCTTCGTTCCAGAGCTGGCGCCTTGGAAGGCCCTTGGTCACTGAAGGCAGTGATGATGGTAACAGCAGTAAATCATCATTTACGGCTGATGAGGGAAGGCCAGGGGTAGGGCTCCTAGGTCCTGGATAAGAATGAGGGTCTGGGCACTCCTGGGGACAGCTGAGTGGTAGGACTCCTGGGTCCCCAGGGGGAAGGTCCATCTTCAGTGGCATTGGGCCTAGGCTGGGATGCTGAGTTATCCACTGGAGCATCAGCAGTACAGGCAGGCACAGAGGCAGTGGATCCATCGGAGGTGGCAGGTGTAGGATCGTCTGGTGAGCAAGTAGAGTCACCAAATCTGGCTGACCACTACCCCCACTACCCCCACTATCCCCACAGACGATGCCCTGTCCCTTGCCTCATGCTCCGGCAGGGTACAGGCTCGCACCTGGGGCCTCAAGGAGCATCTCTCTAAGACCTCTGTGTCCTGGTCATTGAATGGGCACTTGAGTCACCCAGGGCCATTGGAACAAAGAGGAAGAATCAGGCCCCACGATGTTTTGGGAGAGTGTTTAGCACAGGAAAATGCGCAGAATACATGCACGACACGGGGGCACTGTCAGTGTGGGAGCAATGGTTTACAACCTCCAGCCCTAATCTGAGCACTCTCACCTGTGCAATCTGAAAGGAACAGGAGACTTGCAGGAAAGACAGTGCCTGGATTTAACTTAAAGGAACTAAAAATGTTGGAATTTTTACTCTTGATATCCTTCCAAATCAACTCTCTCAATGTTCCCATCCTCAAAACTATCATATGGGGTAACTGAGGCAGTCAGAGATTTACTGACTCAATGTCACTCAATTGATTCTGAGTTCACTGCTGATTACATCCGACCAAACTGCTTTTTCTGAAGTCTACTCCGTTTAATCATGCTGGTGATGATTTTGTGCGGCTCTGGGACAAACTCCACCTGGCTGAAGATAAAGCAAATCTGCGGTGACTTAGTCCTCCTGTCATTTCCCATCAGTTCCCCACTCTCCTCCTCTGCCCCTCCACAGTCTCCCATGCAGGCTGACACCATATGACGGCCTTAATGGAGTCCACCGAGTATTTCAGGTTCTCTCCTGGGCCACTTGAAAGTGGATGTACCCATGGGATTTGCTTTGACCCAGGAGATGTGAGTGGAAGTGAAGCGTGTCACCTCGAGGCAAAAGAGTTGGGAGCCATTGAGACGGGCCACTCTCTCCTTCATCTCTTAGAGCAGCTGACAGCTCCCATATGGAGGCTGCTCCTTTATTCTCGTGGCAGGATGAGGGCATGTGGGGCACAGGGCACAGGAGAGCCATGGAGGATGTGCAGCATGGGCAGGAAAAGAGCCTTCAGTGGTGTACATTTCCATAGTTTGGGGCTGTTTCTTACCTACAGTGATACCTAGCCCATCCTAGCAGGCATGCACCATCTACTCCACACTCTGTGATGCAGACTAGCCTGCCGTCAGAACACGAACTGGTGGTCAGACACAGGTAGGTTTCAGTTCCAGCTCTGCCTCTTATTGACTGCAACCTCAGGCTTAACTTTCAGTCTCTGAGCCTCAGTTTCAACTCTGTAAAATGAGGTGGCTATACCATCTCAGGTTGCAGAGAGAATTAAATGAAATATAAGTGCATGTAGAGCATTGAACCCAGGGCCTGGCACACACAGTGAGTACACAATGTTAGCCAGGTAGCTTCATAATGCATACTGATTGTTAATATTCAGACAATGCAGTAAAGTGTTACCAAAAATAAAAGTAAACTTATTTGCATATGTATTCTTTCAATCTTTATTTTTAAACAGGGTAAAACTATGCATATTCTTTCATAGCCAGTGTTTTTCTCTTCATAGTATATTGTTAAAATAATTTTACTTGGACCGGGTGCAGCGGCTCACACCTAAAGTCCCAGCACTTTGGGAGGCCGCGGTGGGCAGATCACGAGGTCAGGAGTTGACACGAGCCTGGCCAATATGGTGAAACCCCATCTCTACTAAGAATACAAAAATTAGCTGGGCATGGTGGCACACACCTGTAGTCCCAGCTACTCAGAGGCTGAGGCAGAGGAATTGCTTGAACCCGGGAGACGGAGGTTGCAGTGAGCCAAGATTGTGCCATTGCACTCCAGCCTGGGGGACAGAGTGAAACTCTGTCTCAAAAAATATATGTGTGTGTGTGTGTGTGTGTGTGTGTGTGTGTGTGTGTGTGTATCTATATAAATCTCAAAAATAAAAGATCATTTTTGAGATTATCATTTTAAAAGACAAGATAATGTTCAACTTAATGACTAATTTAATTATTACTATTGGACTTTTTGTAGACTAAACAGAGCATTCAAAACAAATGAAGGAGAATAAAAAATATGTATTACATGTTGTAAAATAAATGTGATGTGGTTAACTCTTTTATTCAAAGTTATAGAACATATATATGTACTATAGAATGTATTTCTTATTATGAGTCATGTTAAAAAGTAGTTTAGAAGCTGTTGATTTGAATTTCCTTTTCAAATTTTGCAGGATAATTTTTTTTTTTTTTTGACAGAGTCTCGCTCTGTCGCACAGTCTGGAGTGCAATGGCGTGATCTCGGCCCACTAAAACCCCCACCTCCTGAATCTAAGCAATTCTCCTGTCTCAGCCTCCTGAGTAGCTGGGACTACAGGCTCACACCACCATGCCCGGCTAATTTTTGTATTTTTAGTAGGGACGAGGTTTTGCCATATTGGTCAGGCTGGTCTCGAAGTCCTGGCCTCAGGTGATCCACCAGCCTCAGCCTCCCAAAATGCTGGGATTACAGGCATGAGTCACCATGCCCAGCCTAAACTTGGCAAGATAATAAATAACCTTTTTAAGTGTCGTTGGGCACTTGTCTGGTTGTTTTTCTTTAGGTTACCATGCCAGCAATGATTCCTTTTGAGTTTCTGACAGAAGATAGTGGTTTTCATCCAAATAAGTCAACTACTCTACCCCATCCCTAAGCCACTTGTATGGAAAGAAAAAGAGGAAGAAGCCAGTACTGTGACTGCGTAAGCTTCCCCCAGCATCACCCGCTATGAGATGTGTGGCAGCTGAGACCCGGGAACTGCTCAAGGGCACCAGGCCCCATCTGTCTGCACTCACTCACCTTCCTCAGGTACTCGCATGGGCATGTCACTGACTTTACATGCTGCTGCAGCTCCTTGGTGAGCTGGCCCTGGTCATGGGACAGGAACTGTGGGGTCAGGACAATAGAGAGCTTCACCATTTGCAGAATGAGAACAGGGGCTCATGATGAGTGCCAACCTATTAGATAATTTTAAAAAAAAAGTGTTGAATGAGTGGAAAAACAAGGTGATGTTTGAGTCTATAGTGGTCAAGGGCTTCAGAAAAGGACAGAACCAAGTTCAAATTCCTGTACTTTGAATTTCTACTTCATGCCATGCAAAATTACTTTACCCCTTTTAACCTCAGTTTTCTTCTGTGTGAAACAGGAACAATAGTTTCATTCGTCATTCAGTTTCTCTCAAGGTTTCACGAGATCATACCTATAAAACATCCAAGTCATTTAAATGTATCATCATTTCTGTCATAATTAGTGGGATCCATTTCACTATTATTGGATATACAGTTCTGTGCCTGAAACCTACAAAAAAAGAAAATGTTAAGTCTAAAAAGCATTAGTGATTTCTCATTTTTATATTACTAATTATAACCCTATTTAATCACACAAGGCCTTGTCCGTGGCAGGTGCTCAATAAACACTTGTCGAATCAATGCATGTGGGCTCCGGAGCCACACTGTTTAGATTCTATTCTGCCTCCACCACTTATCAGCTGTGTGATCTGGGTAAGATAATTCACCTCTTTATGTCTGCACTTCCCTCTCCATAAACTATATATAATGAGAATCCTTAGCTCATTCGGTTGTGGTGAGGGGTGAATGATTTGGCACACAGGAGGGGCTTGTTAACATTAGCTGTGATGATCTCCTTCCAAATCTTCATTTTCAGAGCCACAGATGAGGCCACAGTGCAACCAGGTGACCTTAGAGTGTAAGTACACGATCGCCAGCTATGCTCTATCTCCACCATAGGTCCAAGACTGGGTAGTTCTGGCCTGGAGGTTTCTGCTACATCTGCCTTCTCAGTGTTCACCTAAGGACTTTTGTATTTTCCTCCTCGCATCCCCACAGATGGGGTTCAGGCTGCCGGACACAGCTGGGTGATGCCAGGGCAGTGGTCACCTGTGCCAGCCCCGTGAGGTAGCTGGAGGATCATTGTTCCTTCCTTCTCGGGCTCTGGGCAGATGCCAGGGCTGGGGTGACCCATGCCCTCAAGTTTCTTGCTTTGGTGGGCCACATTTTCCCTTGGCAAAGAGGGTAAAGGTCACAGGATGCCAGAGAGCTGTGACTTCTCTGTGCCCTGGGCCCAAACTATGAAGACCTGACACACTATGCTAAAAGTCCAAGGCTGGGTGCTCCCCAGAGCTTCTTGCCTCACCGCTTCTGCTGAGGGAGGAATGAATACTATGTCCTCCCAGAGCTTTGGGAGCTTGTAGCAAGCAGCCTCCCCAGCGCAAAATCTCTTGGAAACCTCTAACTGTGTCTGAAACATTAGTGCAAATGTTGCATCCTATTTCCCATATGTCCGCATGTTTTAGAAAAAAATCCTCAATTTCCTAAATATGCAAGAAAAATCGGTATTGTAGGACAATGTGACTTTTTAAAAAATGTTATTTAAAAATCTTCCCCACCTCCTTTTCTGCCCTCCAAGACTGCCAAATACTTGTTGAACATATATTATTAAATGCCTACTACATGCCAGCCATGATTCATGGTCTTGGGGACACAGCAGAGAACGAACTGACAGGATTCCTCTCTTATGTAACTCACATTCTTATATGATAATGATAAGGGTTAACATTAATTAAGCTGTCACTGCATGTTAGTCACGGTGCAGTCATTCCCACACATTATTACACTTAAACCTGCCAGCAAGCTTGCAAGGTAGTTGTTTTTCCTTTAAAAACTGAGTCTCGGAATGATGAAGCACTCTGTCCAATGTCACACAGCTAGTAAGTGTGGAGACCTTGCATCCAATCAATGCCCGTCTCATTCTAAAGGCCATGTTATGTGTTCTCCAGCCCATGGAGAATAATTTTAACACAGTCAATGAAATTTCTACACAACAATGTTCTTGTCTCAAGTCCAAGAATGCCTCCTACACCTCCTATAATACTGGCTTTCTGGTGAGTAAAGATGCCATTCTCATGTGTAATCAGGTGGCAAATGGAGATATGACCAAAGTAACCATCTGCCTACACTCATAACCCTGTACACACTCTTCCTGTGTCGATTCAATTCAAGTACCCCTTTTGATCACTTAGCAAATCTGACCTTTAAAAGGGTTAGGGTTTTTATATCCATGTAAGTTTCTGTATTGCTTTGGAAGTCTCTGGTTAAATTAATACTCTTTTAATAGTGACCTGTGATTCTGTTTTGATCAAGTGTTTTCAAACTTGACGTCTTTGATGGGTTTCTCCAGTGTCAAAATCCTAAATCAAGTCTTTTTGGCTTAAAACTAACTTTGGGATTTTTTTCAGCTGCATCCCTTGGGGAGTCTAAAGAATGTATCTCTCATCTTGTAGAGGTATTAAGTGATTCGATTTATTTGGTAGATTAAATGGGCAGGCATTGTCAAATGTGGCGATACTGCATGGGAGGGCACTGTCAAGTGAGGTGACATTAGATCTCATCTCAGTTATATTTATGGGTATGTTGTTGATATGCGTGTTCCAAAAATTGCATACATTTATACAAATTTAATATGATTTGTAATTTTGATAGTTATGCTAAATATTTGCTAAAGTTATATTTGTATAAACATGTCACGAATGGCTGGGCACCGTCACTCATGCCTGTAATCCCAGCACTTTGGGAGACAAAGGCACGTGGATCACCTGAGGTCGGGAGTTCCAGACCAGCCTAATAGAGTGAAACCCTGTCTCCACTAAAAATACAAAAATTAGCCATGCCTGGTGGCACATGCCTGTAATCTCAGCTACTCGGGAGGCTGAGACAGGAGAACTGCTTGAACCCAGGATGCGGAGGTTGTAGTGAGCCGAGATCATGCCACTGCACTCCCGCCTGGGTGACAAAGGTAGAATCTATCCAAAAAAAAAAAAAAAAAAGTTATTATTTCTGAAGATTGTATGAAATTCATAAAAGTCTGCTGGCCCTGATATGATGCTGTCAGTCATGATTCTGATTACTGTCTTAAAATGCTGCACATAAGTAATTAAATTTCCTTGTGAACTGGGAAGTTTCATCAGACTTTTATCATAACTATTGTTTCCATCATCCACAGTTACTGTTTTGAATTCTTCTCTAAAAATATTTGTAATTGGCAATAGTCCAAATTTTCTTTTGTTTTCTTTCCTGTTTTTGAGACACAGTCTGGCTCTGTCGCCTAAGCTGGAGTGCAGTGGTGGGATCTCGGCTCACTGCAAACTCTGCCTCCCGGGTTCACGCCATTCTCCTGCCTCAGCCACCCAAGTAGCTGGGACTACAAGTGCTGCCACCACATCCAGCTAATTTTTTGTATTTTTAGTAGAGACAGGGTTTCACTGTGTTAGCCAGGATGGTCTCAATCTCCTGATCTCGTGATCTCCGCGCCTCGGCCTCCCAAAGTGCTGGGATTACAGGTGTGAGCCACCGTGCCCAGCCTAATTTTTGCATTTTTAGTAGAGAGGAGGTTTCACCATGTTGGCCAGGGTGGTCTCAATCTCCTGACCTTGTAATCCGCCTGCCTCAGCCTCCCAAAGTGCTGGGATTACAGGCGTGAGCCACTGCAACTGACTTTTTTTTTTTTTTTTTTTTTTTTTTTGAGACAGAGACTCACTCTGTCACCCAGGCTGGAGTGCAGTGGCATGATTTTGGCTCACTGCAACCTCCACCTCCTGAGTTCAAACAATTATCCTGCCTCATCCTTCGGAGTACCTGGGATTACAGGTGCGTGCCACCGTGCCCGGCTCATTTTTGTATTCTTAGTAGAGACGGCATTTCACCATGTTGGCCAGGCTGGTCTCAAACTCCTGGCCTCAACTGATCCACTCTCATTGGCCTTCCAAGGTGCTGGGATTATAGGCGTGAGCCACCACAACTGGCTCAGTAAATACATTTTTTATTATCAAAAAAGAGTAGTGTATGGTTGGCGTATTCTGTGTAGAATGTATTTTATTGATGTCTCCTATTTTTATAATTTCTGAGTTAAGTACTTTTTAATTAATGCTTTTTAGTTTTGGGCAGATTCAGTTGACTAAAGCACCTCATTTCCCAGATACATGAAATAAAATATTTGGCTTCTTTTCCAATTTCACACTGATGTTATTTTGTGAAAATCAGTGCTTTAAGATAAATCGTTATACGTTAAGATAAACATGAGAAACTTGATCTAATATTTAATATTTATTCAGTTCTACACTTTATTAACTTCTACACCAGCAGATTTAGACATTATGTAACCATCTCAAGAAGTTTCACTTGGATGTAATGCTTCACGCTTGTAATCCCAGCACTTTAGGAGGCTGAGGTGGGAGGACTGCTTAAGGCAAGGAGTCTGAGACCAGCCTGGGCAATACAGCAAGATCCCATCTCTATTTTAAAGAAAAGTTTCACTTTGGGAGGCCAAGGCGGGTGGATCACAAGGTCAGGAGATCGAGACCATCCTGGCTAACATAGTAAAACCCCATCTCTACTAAAAATATAAAAAATTAGCTGGGCGTGGCGGTGGGCGCCTGTAGTCCCAGCTACTCGGGAGGCTGAGGCAGAAGAATGGCGTGAACCCGGGAGGCAGAGCTTGCAGTGAGCTGAGATTGCGCCACTGCACTCCAGCCTGGGCGACAGAGTGACACTCCATCTCAAAAAAAAAAAAAAAAAAAGTTTCGGCAAATTCCATCTAAGAATTCCACCAGAGTTCTGTTGTCTCCAATGTCATCTTCCACAGATTTCAAGTTGTGAAGCCCTGAACTGTTAATTTATCTTGAGAATGTATATTTAAGCTTAATTTAAGACTATATACCTAAAAATTGAGCATATAATTTCTATAATTTGTTTATGTAAATTTCTGTAAGTCATAAGTATGTGGTTTCCAAGTGTATAATTTATCTGAATGTAATAGGCATTAATATATTTTACATTACTGGGACCATAGTACAGAAATTTCTAAATGGTTTGTAAAATAACTTGTTATTTGTGTTGTTGTAAAAGCAGTTAATACAATGGAAAAACTCGTAATAAGAAGATACAGTTTAACATCAAAAAGTTTACCCAAGGTAATTATGAGTACTACCTGGCAAAACTTCACGGAAGCTGTGGTATCACTTTTATGATGGAAGAATGGTGTTTGCATTTTGTGTAAAAGTACTTGCGGCTGGGCGTGGTGGCTCATGTCCCAGTGCTTTGGGAGGCGAAGGCAGGTGGATCATCTGAGCCCAGGAGTTTGAGACCAGCCTAGGCAACGTGGCAAGAGCCTGTCTCTCCAAAACCTACAAAATTTAGCCAAGCTTGGTGGTGTGAGCCTGTAGTCCCAGCTACTTGGGAGACTCACGCTGGAGGATCTCTCGAGCCCAGGAGGCAGAAGATGAATAAATAAATGGAAGCAACTGAATGGGATGAGGTCTCTCTTGAAGGAGAGAGCAAAAGAGATTTAAATAGTAACAATTATAATAAGGCTGGGCGCGGTGGCTCACGCTTGTAATCCCAGAACTTTGGGAGGCCAAGGCAGGCGGATCGGTTGAGGTCAGGAGTTCAAGACCAGCATGGCCAACACGGTGAAACCCTGTCTCTATTAAAAATACAAAATTAGCCGGACATGGTAGTGCGTGCCTGTGGTCTCGGCTACTCAGGTGGCTGAGACAGGAGAATCGCTTGAACCTGGTAGGCACAGGTTGTAGTGAGCCGATAAATATAAAAAGTATTAGAGTACTAACAGAGGAAAGTTTCCACTGATCACCTTTTAGCTTTAAATAATGCAGAAGCATTTGCCCAGTTTACTTGTAATTAAAAATCATGCATCATTCACAATTTATATCTTTTTTGTTTGTACAAAAATGAACACAAGTTATTCTCTTTTATCTGTATTGTGATTGGTTTGGTGAGAGGGAATTAGGCCACTTGAGAGTTTGTGTGTGTTTACAATTTTCTGGCCAGGCACGGTGGCTCATGCCTGTAATCCCAGCACTTTGGGAGGCCAAGGCGGGCGGATCACTTGAGCTCAGGAGTTCGAGACCAAATTGGGCAACATGGTGAAACCCTATCTCTACGAAAAATACAAAAATTAGCTGAGTGCCGTGGCTTGCGCCTGTCCTCCCAGCTACTTGGGGGGCTGAGGCAGTAGGATCGCTCAAGCCCAGGAGGTGGAGGTTGCAGTGAGCCAAGATCACGTCACTGCACTCCAGGAAGGGCAACAGAGCAAGACTCCTTCTAAAAAAAAAAAAAAAAAAAGAAAGAAAGAAAAGAAAATTAACTTTGGTATTTCAGGTTGTATTTAAATGGAGACTTAACATGAACTATGTTCATAACACTTGACCAAATTAAGTGTAGATCGTCTCTTTAATAAAGAGATCATCTGGAACTGCAATTTCTAACTCATACATCATTGCTACAAACCTTATTTGTTTACTATTTCTCTTCCAAGGACCATCAGTCATCCTTTAAAATTCATTTCAAGCTCTGAAAAGATATTTTTTGTTACATGGGCAATTTACTTTTAGTACAGTAAAATGTTATGTGAATTTCTACAGTATGTTTGCCAAAATGAATTATATCTAGAATACGCTTAACAATATATTCTGGAGGCAGCTTTCATTTGAAATTAGGTTCACCTTCTGAGAGTATGAAAAAGTTAATGGGTTTTTGTGCCTGAAGATTTTGATGTTGCATTTGGCTACATTTAATCCACTTTCACCCATAAGTTTTAACATCTAAAAAAATTAAATCACTGCTAATGCAATTAAAATGCATTATGAAATGCATTTCTGTCCAGGCTGGAGTGCAGTGGCACAATCTCGGCTCACTGCAAGCTCCGCCTCCCTGGTTCACACCATTCTCCTGCCTCAGCCTCCCTAGTAGCTGGGACTACATGTGCCCGCCACCACGCCCGGCTAATTTTTTTTTTTTTTTTTTTTAATGAGGCGGAGTCTCGCTCCGTTGACCAGGCTGGAGTGCAATGGCATGATCCTGGCTCACTGCAACCTCTGCTTCCTGGGTTCAAGTGATTCGCCTGCCTTGCTGGGATGACAGACGTGCACCACAATGTCCGGCTAATTTTGTATTTTTAGTAGAGACATGGCTTCACCATACTGGCCAGGCTGGTCTTGAACTTCTGACCTCAGGTGATCCCACCTTGGCCTCCCAAAGTGCTGGGATTACAGGCATGAGCCACTGTGCCCAGCTTAAGATCTCTGTTTTAATGTTAATGCTGGTCAGTTGTGTCTGGATTCCAGAGGGAGGAAGGTAGAATGAGGCATGTTGACACCTCCCCTTCCCATCATGGCCTAAGCTGGTCTTTTCAGTTTACTTTGGAATGTCCTTGCTCAACAGGAAGGGTCCATTCAGTCGGATTGGGTGGCTTAGAATTTTATTTTTGGTTTACATCTCAACTATCACAGCAGCCGGGCGCGGTGGCTTCACAGCTGTAATCCCAGCACATTGGGAGGCTGAGGCAGGGGTATCACCTGAGGTCTGGAGTTCTAGACCAGCCTGACCAACATGGAGAAACCCCCCGTCTCTACTAAAAATACAAAATTACCCGGGCGTGGTGGTACATGCCTGTAATCCCAGCTACTCGGGAGGCTGAGGCAGGAGAATCGCTTGAACCTGGGAGGCGGAGGTTGTGGTGAGCTGAGATCGTGCCACTGCACTCCAGCCTGGGCAACAAGAGCGAAACTCTGTCTCAAATAAATAAATAAATAAATAAATAAACAAACTATCACAGCATAAAGTAGGAATATTTCGTTACTGTCTAGTTAAACTGGTTAATGCAGAAAGGAAGTCTGGAAATTCCAGTTTTAAAGTAAAATTTTGGACATTGTAGGATTGATTATTTGGCATAGTTGTGATGTTTGTTCCTGCGTTATGGTTTTGTTGGCAGGGCAGCCTTTAAGGACCTGTATATTTTCTTCTAGACTCTATATATTCCCTGTGAGTATTAGTTGTATGGTCAAACTGGCAAATTTTACCATAGGTATAAATAATAGAGAATGTGGAAGAATAGTGAATAGTGTCAGAGATAGTTAAAAGTCCATACAATAGTAGAGAAGGTAATAAGTAATAGTGGCTTGGACTAAATATTTGTTGAATAAATGTTTTAAAAAACAGGCTACCTACAATTTGTGTTGAAGATATGAATGAATGAAGTTTCCACACCTTTATGTGGAGACCTGATAAGTAAGCAACAATAAGGAAGGGTCCCCAGGTTGGGGAGAGCCCCAAGTTGAGAACAATAATGAACAATGATTGTATGAACAATTGTTAGAAACAGCTAATCACAAACAACCTGCGGGCACAATGACCTCATTCCACACGTAGCACCCTTCAGCAGGACCCTATAAAACTTTCCTCCAGCCCTTGCCTCTTTGCAGGTAGCCCCTTCTCTGCTGAGCTGCCCACTGCAACATATTTTCACAATTTCTCTAATAAATCTGCCCTTCTTTACCTACAACTATCTTGGTAAATGGCTTTACCACCTGCAAAACTGACCCTAGGTTGTTGCTACCCGATATGGTTTGGCTGCGTCCCCACCCAAATTTCATCTTGAATTGTAGTTCCCATAATCCCCATGTGTCGTGGGAGGGACCCGGTAGGAGGTAATCGAATCATGGGGGCAGGTTTTTCCCATACTGTTCTCGTGATAGTGAATACATCTCACTAAATCTGATGGTTTTATAAAGGGCAGTTTCCCTGCACGTGCTCTCTTGCCTGCTGCCATGGAAGACATACCTTTTTGCTCCTTGCCTTCCACCATGATTCTGAGGCCTCTCCAGCCTTGTGGAACTGTGAGTACATTAAACCTCTTTTTCTTTATAAATTACCCAGTTTCCAGTATTTCTTCATAGCAGTATGAAAAGTAACTAATACACTACCCGAGACATCTTAGGAGATTTGTAATAGCTGTAATGCCAGGTCCACCATATTTTTAGCATAAAGCAAATGTTTACGCGTGATATGACTGCACGGGCTTTCTTTCAGCTGGAGCCATAGCAACTCAAGTAGTAACCCTATCTTAGTCTGATTAAAAGTAAATATTAGTCTGGGCATGGTGGGACATGCCTGTAATCCCAGTACTTTGGGAGGCTGAGACAGAAGGATTGCTTGAGCCCAGGAGTTTGAGACCAGCCTGGGCAACATGGAAAAACACCATCTCTACAAAAAATACAAAAATTAGCTGAGCGTGGTGGCACACACCTGTAGTCCCAGCACCTTGGGAGGGTGAGGCAGGAGGATCTCTTGAACCCGGGAGGTGGAAGCCGCAGTGGGCAATGATCATGTCAGAGGTGTGTGAACCAGAGCAACTCCATCTTAAATAGGAGCCAGGAAAAATGAGGCTGAAACTACTGGGCTGCATTCCCTGATGGTTAAGGCATTCTAAGTCACAGGATGACATAGAAGGTCAGCACAAAATACCAGTCATAAAGACCTTGCTGATAAAACAGGTTGCAGTGAAGGAGCTGGCCAAAACCCACCAAAACCAAAATAGAGACAAGACTGACCTCCCATCATCCTCCCTGCTACACTCCTACCAGCACCATGACAGTTTACAAATGCCACGGCAACATCAAGAAGTTACCCTATATGGTCTAAAAAGAGGAGGCATGAAAAATCCACTCCTTGTTTAGCATATCATCAAGAAATAACCATAAAAATGGGCAACCAGCAGCCCTCACGGCTGCTCCGTCTATGGGGTAGCCATTCTTTTATTCCTTTACTTTCTCTCTTTTTTTTTGAGATGGAGTCTCCCTCTGTCACCCAGGCTGGAGTGCAGTGGCGCGATCTCGGCTTACTGCAAGCTTCGCCTCCCGGGTTCATCCCATTCTCCTGCCTCAGCCTCCAGAGTAGGTGGGACTACAGGCACCGGCCACCACACTTGGCTAATTTTTTTGTATTTTTAGTAGAGATGAGGTTTCACCGTGTTAACCAGGATGGTCTTGATCTCCTGACCTCGTGATCCACCTGTCTCGGCCTCCCAAAGTGCTGCGATTACAGGAGTGAGCCACGGTGCCCCTCCTCCTTTACTTTCTTAATAAACTTGCTTTCACTTCACACTGTGGCATCACCCTGAATTCTTTCTTGCACAAGATCCAAGAACCCTCTCTTGGGGTCTAGATTGGGACCCCTTTCCTGTAACTATCATGCTACTGCACTCCAGCCTGGGCAACAGAGCAAGGCCCTGTCTCAAAAAAAAAAAAAAAAAAGGAACATGACTTAATACATTCATTTTGGAGGATAAGTCTCTCAAAATAGGCCTTTCACTGGGGGAAAATGGTAAAAATACTCCCTGGTAATTCAAGAATTGGAGACTCCTGAGATGCTGCTCATATTAGCTGAGCACTTATCAATACTTCACTTTTTTCCATATATACTCAAGGAACAAGTGCTATTTAAAGTGTTTCACTCCACTGGGCTAGGTGCAAGACTATAAAGAGGTGTGAGGATCAACACTTTTATGAAAACCAGTGTCATTCTGGATATAGTTTCAGATGCTAGTGCAAAGGAAGCTCTTGGTATACGGAAAAAGTATTCAACAATAAATTAGGCATGGTTGCTTCCATTTTCTGCCTCACATACTTTTTTTTTCGTGGTTAAAGTGATATAATGTCTATGATATTTTAGATTGGCAGTTGCAAACTAGTGGTCCTCAGCGTGCTTTTTATGACACCTACAAGGTCTGAAGACTTTGATTTCATATTAAAAATCTGGGTTTCAGGCTGGGTGTGGTGTTGCATGCCTGTAATCCCAGCACTTTGGGAGGCTGAGGCAGGAGAATCGCTTGAACCAGGGAGGTGGAGGTTGCAGTGAGCCAAGATCGCGCCACTGCACTCAAGCTTAGGCAATAGAGCAAGACTCCATCTCAAAAAATGAATAAATAAATAAATAAAATCTGGGTTTCAGGCCAGGTGTGGTGGTGCACTCCTGCAATCCCAGCACTTTGGGAGGCTGAGATGGGCAGACAGCTTGACCTCAGGAATTCCAGACTAGCCTGGGCAACATGGCGAAACCCCATGTCTACAAATAATACAAAAAAATTAGCTGGGTGTAGTGGAGTGTGCCTGTAATCCCAGCAACGTGGGAGGCTGAAGTGAGAGGATTGCTTGAGCCTGGGAGGTTGATGTTACAGTGAGCTGAGATCGCCCTCCTACACTCCAACCTGGGCAACAGAGCCAGACCTTGTCTTAAAAAAAAAAAAAAAAAAAAAAATTCTGGGTTTCTGGCATCTCAAAAAAAAAAAAAAAAAAAAAAAAAGGAAAGGTCAGGGCACATGGCTGCTACAGTCCTCTATTAAGCAATGTGCCACAGCAGGGTCCCTGACCCCTGGGCCATGGACATGTACTGGTCTGTGGCCTGTTAGGAACTGGGCCACAGAGCAGGAGGTGAATGGTGGGTAACAATTGAAGCTTCGTCTGTATTTCTGGCTGCTCCCCATTGCTTGCATTGCTGCCTGAGCTCTGCCTCCTGTCAGATCAGCAGCATCATTAGATTCTTACAGGAGCATGAACCCTGTTGTGAATTGCACACACGAGGGATCCAGGTTGCATATTCCTTATGAGAATCTAATTCCTGATGATTTGTGGTGGAACAGTTTCATCCCAAGACCATTACCATCCTGCGCCCCATCCCTTGCCGCCTGTGGAAAAATTGTCTTCCACAAAGCCGGTCCCTGGTGCCAAAAATGTTGGGGACTGCTGTGCTTTAGAATCTGCCATGAATCTGCAGCCTCTATTATATAGCTCCCTATAGACTTTGCTTCCTACCGTCTTACGTTCTGCCTTATAGGCATTTGACTTTGCAACCCTTGTTTTTGTTAGTATGCTACGCTGGTGACATTGACCAAATTGACCACACATTAATTATAAGCTTAGTTGGTGATGACCTCAACGGAATAACGTGACATAAGTATTGTGACAATACTTCTTGCATGTATCTGCAGGTGGAATTGTAAACCTGGTGGTCCGAGATGGTCTAATTCCATCTTCCTATGTATCTCCTTATATTAATAGTGGTAACATTTGTGGTGGTGATTCAGCATTTCAATGCCTCTTCTCATGGCAACAACAAACGTTTTCCTTCTGAATCAACATTAACCTAGATGTTACTGCGGATCAAAATTAGACTCTACATTTTCAACCACAGAAATACCGAGCAGTAAAAATTTTTCTTAATATTGATTGCCTACATAGGTTGTGTAATTAGCATATGTTTACAGTTCTATGATTTCTGCGTGGCTGCTACAGAGCTGGAGGGGGTAAAGCAACAGTATTTTCTCAGTTGTCCGAGCAGCATTACATTATAATAAATAGGTAATATTAAACTGGGCTGATGAGAGTTGCAAAAGACTACTTTAATGTTCATATGGAACCAAAAAAGAGCCCACATTGCCAAGACAATCCTAAGCCCAATGAACAAAGCTGGAGGCATCATGCTACCTGACTTCAAACTATACTACAAGGCTACAGTAACCAAAACAGCCTGGTACTGCTACCGAAACAGACATATAGACCAATGGAACAGAACAGAGCCCTCAGAAATAATACCACACATCTACAACCATCTGATCTTTGACAAACCTGACAAAAACAAGAAATGCAGAAAGGATTCCCTACTTAATAAATAGTGCTGGGAAAACTGGCTAGCCCTATGTAGAAAGCTGAAACTGGATCCCTTCCTTACACCTTATACAAAAATTAATTCAAGATGGATTAAAGACTTAAATGTTAGACCTAAAGCCATAAAAACCCTAGAAGAAAACCTAGGCAATACCATTCAGGACATAGGGATGGGCAAGGACTTCATGTCTAAAACACCAAAAGCAATGGCAACAGAAGCCAAAACTGACAAATGGGATCTAATTAAACTAAAGAGCTTCTGCACAGCAAAAGAAACTAGGATCAGTGTGAACAGGCAACCTAGAGAATGGGAGAAAATTTTTGCCATCTACTTATCTGACAAAAGGCTAATATCCAGAATCTACAAAGAACACCAACAAATTTACAAGAAAAAAAAACAAACCCCATCAAAAAGTGGGCAAAGCATATGAACAGACACTTCTCAAAAGAAGACATTTATGCAGCCAACAGACACATGAAAAAATGCTCATCATCACTGGCCATCAGAGAAATGCAAATCAAAACCGCAATGAGATATCATCTCACACCAGTTAGAATGGCGATCATTAAAAAGTCAGGAAACAACAGGTGCTGGAGAGGATGTGGAGAAATAGGAACACTTTTACACTGTTGGTAGGACTGTAAACTGGTTCAACCATTGTGGAAGACAGTGTGGCGATTCCTCAGGGATCTAGAACTAGAAATACCATTTGACCCAGCCATCCCATTACTGGATACATACCCAAAGGATTATAAATCATGCTGCTATAAAGACACATGCACACATATGTTTATCGCGGCAATATTCACGATAGTGAAGACTTGGAACCAACACAAATGTCCATCAATGATAGACTGGATTAAGAAAATGTGGCACAGATACACCATGGAGTACTATGCAGCCATAAAAAAGGATGAGTTCATGTCCTTTGTAGAGACATGGATGAAGCTGGAAACGATCACTCTCAGCAAACTATCACAAGGACAAAAAACCAAACACCGCATGTTCTCACTCACAGATGCGAATTGAACAATGAGAACACTTGGACACAGGAAGGGGAACATCACACACTGGGGCCTCTTGTGTGGTGGGGGAGGGGGAAGGGATAGCAGTAGGAGATACACCTAATGTAAATGACGAGTTAATGGGTGCAGTACACCAACATGGCACATGTATACATATGTAACAAACCTGCACATTGTGTACATGTACCCTATAACTTAAAGTATAATTTTAAAAAATAAGTAAATAAATAAATAAAAAAAGAAACAATTGCTGGCTTTGCAATTCTCTTTCCTCCAAAATCGCCAAGGCCTCAATTTACTCATTGCTGAAAAAGGACGACTCTGTATATTTTTAAATGAAGAGTGTTGTTTTTACCTAAATCAATCTGGCCTGGTATATGACAACATAAAAAAACTCAAGGATAGAGTCCAAAAACTTGCCAACCAAGCAAATAATTATGCTGAACCCCCTTGGGCACTCTCTTAATTGGATGTCCTGGGTCCTCCCAATTCTTAGTCCTTTAATACCTGTTTTTCTCCTTCTCTTATTCGGACTGTGTGTCTTCTGTTTAGTTTCTCAATTCATACAAAACCGTATTCAGGCCATCACCAATAATTCTATATGACAAATGCTCCTTCTAACAACCCCACAGTATCAGCCCTTACCCCAAAATCTTTCTTCAGTTGAATCTCTCCCACTGTAGGTTCCCAGGCCGCCCCTAATCCCGCTCGAAGCAGCCCTGAGAAACATCGCCCATTATCTCTCCATATCACCCCCACAAATTTTCGCCACCCCAACACTTTACCACTATTTTGTTTTATTTTTCTTATTAACATAAGAAGACAGGAATGTCAGGCCTCTGAGTCCAAGCTAAGCCATCATATCCCAGTGACCTGCACGTATACATCCAGATGGCCTGAAGCAACTGAAGATCCACAGAAGTGAAAACAGCCTTAACTGAAGACATTCCACCATTGTCATTTGTTTCTGCCCCACCCTAACTGATCAATGTACTTTGTAATCTGCCCCACTCTTAAGAAGGTTCTTTATCATCTCCCCCACCCTTAAGAAGTTTCTTTGTAATTCTCCTCACCCTTGACAATGTACTTTATGAGATCCACCTCCTGCCCCCAAAACACTGCTCTTAACTCCACCGCCTATCCCCAAACCTATAAGAACCAGTGATAATCACACCACCCTTTGCTGACTCCTTTTTTGGACTCAGCCCGCCTGCACCCAGGTGAAATAAACAGCCATGTTGCTCACACAAAGCATGTTTGGTGGTCTCTTCACACAGACACGTGAGACAGGAGTTCGAGACCAGCCTGGCCAATCTGGTGAAACTCTATGTCTCTACTAAAAATACAAAAATTAGCTGGGCATGGTGGCGGGCACCTGTAATCCCAGCTACTCGGGAAGCTGAGGCACAAAAATTGCTTGAACCCAGGAGGCAGAGTTTGCAGTGAGCCAAGATCACACTGTCAGGCCTCTGAGCCCAAGCCAAGCCATTGCATCCCCTGTGACTTGCACGTATACATCCAGATGGCCTGAAGTAACTGAAGATCCACACAAGAAGTAAAAATAGCCTTAACTGATGACATTCCACCATTGTGATTTGTTTCTGCCCCACCCTAACTGTTCAATGTACTTTGTAATCTCCCCCACCCTTAAGAAGGTACTTTGTAATCTCCCCAACCCTTAAGAAGGTTCTTTGTAATTCTCCCCACCCTTGAGAATGTACTTTGTGAGATCCACCCCTGCCTGCAAACATGGCTCTTCACCCCCTATCCCAAAACCTGTAAGAACTAATGATAATCCACCACCCTTTGCTGACTCTCTTTTCGGACTCAGCCCGCCTGCACCCAGGTGAAATAAACAGCCATGTTGCTCACACAAAGCCTGTTTAGTGGTCTCTTCACACGGACGCGCATGAAACACACGACCGCACTTCAGGCTGGGCGACAGAGCTAGATTCCATCTCAAAAAAAATAAAACAAAAAGGAGTCACCTCCCCCGAGAGGCCTCTGGACCACCCCATCTGAGCAGGCCACTCTTCCTTCTCTATCTTACCATCTTGTTTCTGTCCCAGTAGTTAGGGCTACCTCCAGTAATCCTATTTGTCCCTTTACTGTTTAGTGCGTCTCGCTTGACTAGAAGCTCCATGAAAGCAAGAGACCCTACCTGCCTCCTTCGCCACTAGACCCCCAGG
The DNA here is from genome assembly GCF_000001405.40 of Homo sapiens. Classification (NCBI taxonomy): domain Eukaryota; kingdom Metazoa; phylum Chordata; class Mammalia; order Primates; family Hominidae; genus Homo; species Homo sapiens. Next base: position 29,521,421 of record NC_000016.10, read on the forward strand.
GCCTGGTATGTGGTGATCGCTCAGGGCCCATTTTCTTCCTTTCCTCCTCCTCCAAGGGTGGGGAAAGAGCATCAGAAGGTCTAGGTGGCCCCAGGCCCAAACAATGCTCCTTTAAAAGGAAACCAGATTGTTACAAAGGTCAGAGGCTGAAAAGTTATTTCCGCCTTTTATCCCTCTAAATTCTTCACTTCCTGAAAAAACAAACAAACAAAAAAGCCACTGAGGGCCCTTGGACTAAATCCAGGCCTCAGTTGCTGGGCAGAGGTCAGTCTTGTCCAGACATGGGAAAAAAATAATTCGAGTCAGACAGGTGGGTCACCAGAGAACGAATCCAGCCTGCAAATGGCCTGTGCAATCTTCAGCTCTGTCCAGACCTGCCTCCCTTTGGGGATGCCTTTAAAGGTGATGAATGATCTGGATGAATGGGCTTAGAAGATAAGAGGGAAAAACAAATATCACAGGTCAAATCGTTATTTGTCTTCAAGTTTAACACCGTCTACTGGACTAAAAGATGTCCAAAGAATAGTTGTTCAACTATGTAAATTCCTTTTTTTCTTTTTTTTTTTTTTTGAGACAGAGTCTCGCTCTGTTGCCCAGGCTGGAGTGCAATGGTATGATCTTGGCTCACTGCAAGCAACCTCTGATTTTAGTATTGTTAGTACAGACAGGGTTTCACCATGTTGACCAGGCTGGTCTCGAACTCCTGACCTCAGGTGATCCACCTGCCTCGGCATCCCAGAGTGCTGGGATTACAGGCGTGAGCCACCGTGCCCGGCCAACTACATAAATTCCTAACAACGTATCTCCAGAAAGTATAGGCACAACAGCACATGCAGTCATTCCTGTAATTAAGTGCTCCGGGAGGCCAAGGCAAGAAGATCCCTTGAGCCCAGGAGTTTGAGACCAGCCTGGACAACATAGCAAGACTGTGTCTCTACAAAATATACAAAAATTGGGCTGGGGATGGTGGCTCACGCCTGTAGGCCCAGCACTTTGGGAGACCAAGGCAGGAAGATCGACTGAACTCAGGAGCTCGGGACCAGCCTGGACAACATAACGAGACCCAGTCTCTACTGAAACTCAAGAAAATTAGCCAGACGTGGTTGCATGTGCCTGTAGTCCCAGCACTTTGGGAGGCCAAGGTGGGTGGATCACCTGAGGTCAGGAGGTCGAGACCAGCCTGGCCAACATGGTGAAGTCTCGTCCCTACTAAAAATACAAAAATTAGCCAGGCACGGTGGCACACACCTGTAGTCCCAGCTACTTGGGAGGCTGAGGCAGGAGAATGGATTGAACCCAGGAGGCAGAGGTTGCAGTGAGCCGAGATGGCACCATTGCACTCCAGCCTGGGCAACAGAACAAGACTCCATCAAAAAAAAAAAAAAAAAAAAAAAAAAAGAAAGAAAGAAAGAAGAAAAGAAAATTAGCCAGGTGTGGTTGCATGCACCTGTAGTCCCAGCACTTTGGGAGGCCAAGGCAGGAGGATCAATCAAGGCTAGGAGATTGAGACTGCAGAAGGAAACCCTGTCTCTAAAAACAAGGTCCAGCTAAAATCAGGGTCCAGCTCCACCACAAGCGCAGCTCCAGGGGCTGTTGAGTTTTGCCTCTACCATTCCAAGTAGTCTCTGCTCCAGACCAAGTCCCACCATCTGGCAGTCATGTCAGTCTAACCACAGTCATATCAGGGCGCTTCCAGTCATTGAGTGCCCCTTGAGGAGGCTGGAGGAGAGGCCAATGACATTTGCACTTGAGACTCCAGAGTCTAGATTTATAACCACTATGTTATGGCTGCCAGTGTGGCTGCAAGGACACTTCTTTCATTCATTCATTTACAATAGATGTAGCATCTGCTGTGTGCCAGATGCCATTCTAGGTTATAGGGAAACAAGGCAGAGCCCCTGTTTTCCAAGGCATCCACATTCTAGGAAAGACTGCTACCAGCCTGGCGTGGTGGCTCATGCCTGTAATCCCAGTACTTTTTGGGAGGCCGAGGTGGGCGGATCACTTGATGTCAGGAGTTCAAGACCAGCCAACATAGTGAAACCCCGTTTCTACTAAAAGTACAAAAATCAGCTGGGCATGGTGGCACGTGCCTGTAGTCCCAGCTACTCAGGAAGCTAAGGCAGGAGAATTGCTTGAACCTGGGAGGCAGAGGTTCTGGTGAGCCGAGATCATGCTACTGCACTCCAGCCTGGGCAACAGAGTGAGACTCCATAAAAAAAAAATAATAATAATAAAATAAAGACTGCTACTAAACAATAAAATAACCAAACCAGATAGATGACTTCAGGTGGTGGTAAGAGCTTTGAAAGAATAAGCAAGGTAACTAACTGGTCAGAGGAAGGGAGATGGGTGCATTCCCTCAGATAGACCGCCCCAGAGGTCTGCCTCTCTGACATGACATTTGAGCAGAGACCCAACAGGAAAAGGAAGAGACTGCTCTATGGCCAGGCACGGTGGCTCACACCTGTAATCCCAGCACTTTGGGAGGCCCAGGCGGGCGGATCACGAGGTCAGGAAATCGAGCCCATCCTGGCTAAGACGGTGAAACCCTGTCTCTACTAAAAATACAAAAAAATTAGCCGGGCGTGGTGGCGGATGCCTGTAGTCCCAGCTACTCGGAAGGCTGAGGCAGGAGAATGGCATGAACCTGGGAGATGGAGCTTGCAGTGAGCCGAGATCGCGCCACTGCACTTCAGCCTGGGCGACAGAGTGAGACTCCATCTCAAAGGAAAAAAAAAAAAAGAACCAAGAGGTGTCCAGGCGAAGAGAACAGCAGATGCAAAGGCCCTGTGGCAGAAACAATCTTGGTATGCTGGAGGAATAGGAAGGCAGCCAGTGCAGCTGGAGCAGGATAGGTTAAGGGAGGATCAAGGTGATGAGGGCCTGGAAAGAGGGGCTGGGGTCGAATCACCAGATCCTGTTGGTTGCAATGGAAGAGCCTGGAGTTTATTCTCAGAGCAGTGAGAAGCCACTGGAAAGTTGTTTTTTTGTTTTTCTGTTTTTGAGACAGAGTCTAGCTCTGTCACCCAGGCAGACTGCAGTGGTGCAATCTTGGCTCACTGTAACCTCTGCCTCCCAGGTTCAAGCGATTCTCCTGCCTCAGGCTCCCCAGTAGCTGGGATTACAGGCACATGCCACCACACCCATCTAATTTTTCTTTTTCTTTTTTTTTTTTTTTTTTGAGACAGAGTCTCTGTCACCCAGGCTGGAGTGCAGTGGCGCAATCTCAGCTCACTGCAACCTCCACCTCCCTGGTTCAAGCGATTCTCCTGCCTCAGCCTCCCGAGTAGCTGGGACTACAGGTGCATGCCACCATACCTGGGTTAATTTTTTGTGTTTTTAGTAGAGACAAGATTTCACCACGTTAGCCAGGATGGTCTCGATTTCCTGACCTCGTGATCTGCCCACCATGGCCTCCCAAAGTGCTGGGATTACAGGCGTGAGCCACCGTGCCTGGCCAGCCACCGGAAAGTTTTATGTAAGCAGGGGAGTGATCTGTTTTATCATTTAGAAGGATACACACCTCTTCTTCTTTTTTTAGAGACAGGGTCTAGTTCTGTCACCCAGGCTGGAGCCCAGTGGCACAATCATAGCTTACTGTAACCTCAAACTCCTGGGCTCAAGTGATCCTCCTGCCTCAGCATCCCAAAGTGCTGGATTACAGGCATGAGTCACCATGCCTGGTCACACTTCTCATTCTTTAAACCAGACCTCATTTGTCCATCTCCCCCATCCCCCGCCCCACCCCACGGACTGTCCTATAATGCCCATACAACAGGTCACTGTTTAGAAAGTGCTACAAAGTTACAAACACAGTCCCTTCTGAGCCTCCCACCAATGTTGGTGGGTACAAGGTCAAAAAAAAAAAATCTCATCTATCTAAGGGGCATAGGAGACTTTTTAGTTAGAGGGCCCAATTATAGTCCTCCTGAAAAGATGCCAAAAGTCCCCTTCAACACTTAGCAAAGATTCAAGAAAGATGAATCTCACATTCTTTGTATGGGAAATGAGGAACTTGACATCTTCAATATAATGGATTCCACTAAAATAAGATGACGATCAATAGGAACCAACTAAAAAAATACTTGACTAGCTGTTATTGAAAGGCTGAAATTCAGCTGACATAAGCAGTATTAATATTGAGCTAGAAAATAATTCGCATTGAATTCAGCCCAACTTTTGTTTTCTGATTTGGGTCTCTTCTAAATTTTTTTTTTCTTCTGGACATTGGGAACAATCCAATTTGAAGGCCTCAATGCCCAAATCTACACTCTTGTTTTATTCTATATCCTTGGTTTCTTTTTTTTTTTTTTGAGATGGAGTCTCATTCTGTCGCCCAGGCTGGAGTGCAGTGGCGTGATCTTGGCTCAATGCAAGATCCGCCTCCCGGGTTCATGCCATTCTCCTGCTGCAGCCTCCCGAGTAATTGGGACTACAGATGCCCGCCCCCACGCCCGGCTAATTTTTTTGTATTTTTAGTAGAGACGGGGTTTCTCCGTGTTATCCAGGATGGTCTCGATCTCCTGACCTCGTGATCCACCTGCCTCAGCATCTCAAAGTGCTGGGATTACAGGCGTTAGCCACCGTGCCCGGCCCACACCTAGGTGATTTTTAAAGTTCTTCTAGTAGAGACAGGGTCTCACTATGTCGGGTCGCCGTGTTTGATGTCAGTTTTCCCTGCCAGAATCTACAATCTCCTTGATCACCATTATATCCCAACGTAGAGCTCAGTACCTGGTACAAAGCACATTTGATCAATACTTGCTGAATAAAGAAATAAAAATGAAGAGGCACTCCAGCCTGGGCAACAGAGTGAGATGGTCTCAAAAAAACAAAAACAAAAACAAAAAACGACTGGAAAGGAGATGAGGGTACTTGTGAAGCCATATTATATGACACGCTCTGTGCTAGGACTTTTATATACCTTGTCTCATCTCTTCATCTCATATAATCCTTACAAGGATCTCAAAAGTGGGGAAATCCCCATATAACTGAAGACGAAGGCAGTTCAGAAGTTCACTGATTTGCCCTAAGGTTCCTCAATTTGCAAACGTCAGGCCAATGATCCAACCCCAGGTATGTTTGGCAGTGAAGGACCAGTTGAGTCACAGCTGCAAGTAACCACCCTGCAGTGGTCCCTATCTTGGCCGTTAGCTTACATTGACATTTAACACTCAAATTTACTCAGTAACACCAGCTATCATGTTTTCCACTAAAACTCCACAGCATTCTGGCAACTTTTCTATTTTAGAGCAATAAAGTAAATTGTTAGCATCCCTTTGACATATAAATATTTCTACAAATAGTAATTCTCTAGCCATTCATTTGGAGTATTTAAAACTCAACATTCATAGCACATTTTATGTGACAAAGAACTTCTGTTCAGAACACAAAAATAAGTCGTACATCTTCATTAAAAACGGGTGAAGAATTTGAACAAACATTTGCAAACTAAAATACAAATGAAATACACTCAACATCATTAGTCATCAAGAAAATAAAATTATGAGATAATCACTAATAATCACTACATATGCACCACAGTGATTAAAATTTTTTTAAGTTAAGCCACGTGACCCAACAAGGTGCATTCACTCAAGAGAAACGCAAATATATGTCCACTCAAAGACTTGCACATGAATGTTGAGAGCAGGTTTATACTGAATAGCGCAATGTGAAAAAACCCCAAAATCTAGCAAAGGATGAAGGGAGAAATAAACTGTGGTATATACATACAATAGAACACTACTCAATAATAAAAAGGATTATATTCCTGATACATGCAATATGGGTGAACCGTAAAAATATCATGCTGAGCAAGAGAAGCCAAACACAAGAGAACATGTTGTTATGATTTCACGTACATGAAACTTTAGTAAAGACAAGTCTAATCCATAGTGACAGAAAGCAAATCAGTAACTGCTGACAGGGGCAAATGAGGAGATGATCTCAAGGGAACCTTCTGGGGTAAGATGCTGTTCTGTATCTCGATCGTATTGGTGGTCACACAAGTGAAGACATGTTAGAACTCATCAAACCATACACTTAGAATGTGTAATATAAACCTCAATAAAGCAAAATTAAAAAAAAAAAACCACCTTTAATTTTCTCTTACAAAAAAAAAAAAAAGGAAAACCACTTAACTTTAATTTTCTCCAACAACTGATTCTGGTACACAGTATACCTTAATGCCTGCATCCACGGCCTCACGTCATGCTGTTTACATGAACGTAAAGCTTCGCCGAAGAGTGGAATAAGACAGTCCTGCCAGAGAAAAACCAAAATTACTCAACGTAAAACAGGCTGTTGATATGTTTGCAGATATATAGCAAGTCTTAAGTCCAAGACTGCAATATAGTTTGGCTACTTCAGATTGATTGCAGTAGTTTTATCTATTACACTATACCCTTCCATCATTTATCTTCTACTCACAAGAGGCAAGCACACAGTAAGAGAAAGCCTTTTGTTTTGAAGGGAAATCTTCTTCAGAATATTAAGTCTAATTTATCAATATACTTAATAAAGCACATTACAAAAAAAATGTCACAGCACATTTACTATAAAGCAGACTGCAGAAAAACATTACAACTAATGCTTTATTATGAAGTTCTCGAAGATCACCATTCATTCAGAAGCCCCCATCTCTGGTCGAACTTTACCCCATTTAGGATGAAGAGGAGAGATCTTTGTTTGCAGCAAATCTAAAATTTACGTAATCCGCCTAAAGGAACTGTCTTTACATACACCACCTCCCACCCCAAAAATAGAAGAAAAAACTGAGCAATTTGCCATCCTTGCGATTATCTCAGGTTCTTCCATCTGCCCCATGTACTTCCCAAATGAAAGACTGCCTGAAAACGGCATGTTAGATTTCTGGATTTACCAGCTTGCCCAACTACAAATCCTATTCCAAAAAACTCAAAAAATAAGGTCTTTGTTCTACAGTAATGACCATTAATAGTCATAAGAGTGTGCTTGTAAAAATATACAGACCTCTGTTGAAAGTCTGTTAGAAACTGTGGTCTCCAAAGCAAACGAGCAATACAGCTACAAGGTACTTAGAACTGGCAAAGACTGTGAAACTGTTAAAGTAGAAAGTCTCAGAGGTCCAATAGTGATGCGGGATGTTTGCTTCAAGTACTTTACCACATTTCTGAAACAAAATATTTACTGTCAATTAATAAAAATTACAATTCATAACCACTCAAAGAATAAAGCAATTGATAAGATGCTATCAAACTGACATCCAAAGTTAGGGGGCAGTAAGAGGAGCAGCCTGCTCTATAATAAAATGATATCAGCAAGTCAAGACATTTGCTTTTGGGGATTTTTACATTTTATTTCATTTCAACCTCAGTTTTTGTTGGCAAGCAGCATTCATATATCATATGACTTCTACAACTAAAATGAAGCTATTAGCACTAGTATTTAGTAATCTAGTAACTCTCCTTCCAGCCCTCTTCACCCCATGTATGTTTATCACATGATATACACAATGTACATTTACCTCCGTAAGAGTAAACTTACTCAGTTATAGACTGCCACTTCTGATCTTGTTCTATCGGGTTTAAAGCAGTTGCCAAACAAACAGAACTTCTTAACAATGGAACTTCAATGGATTTCTGAGGTTCCCTTGGATCTGGACTTCACATGTTACGAAGCAGTTTTTTCATGTCTACAGAAGTTAAATGAAATGTCATTAAGTTAATGTGCTTTTATTATAAATTTTGATTTATGTTTGGCATTATTAAGAACTAATCACCAATGAACAGCTCCTTTAATATTTCAGGCAGTTAAACACTATAAGCATTACTGAGAGCTATATAAAAATCATACTTCATACAAAATTACTGTACCTCAGACCCCTAAAAAGCAGTTGCCTTCAAAGGCTCAAAAATCACTAAGTCGAGGTCAGGTGTGGTGGCTCACGCCTGTAATCCCAGCACTTTGGGAGGCCAAGGTGGGTGGATCACGAAGTCAGGAGTTCAAGACCAGCCTGGCCACGATGATGAAACCCCGTCTCTACTAAAAATACAAAAAATTAGCTGGGCACGGTGGCAGACACCTGTAATCCCAGCTACTCAGGGGGCCGAGGCAGGAGAATCACTTGAACTCAGAGGGCGGAGGTTGCAGTGAGCCGAAATCGCGCCACTGCACTCCAGCCTGGGCAACAGAGTGAGACTCTGTCTCAACAAAAAAGAAAATCGGTAAGTCAATCTACTATTTAAGGGGACAAATCTAGACCTGCATTAGCAAGTCTTGCTCAATCCAGAATACTCATTAAACTTTTTAATAACATCTTATCAAGTGTTCCATTTGTGATAAAGAACTTAATGAGCCACATCAAGATGAAAATCAAGAAAAATATTTAGCTGAAACACTACTTTGTCCTTTATCAAACAAAATGGCTAGATAAATCTCAAAGTATTAAGGTGGTCATTTTTTTTATTTGACTTAATTTTAAGTGCTTTTCATTTCCCAAATCAAACATAAATAGGGCAGCCCTAAATTTGTTGCTTCACATGGGATTCTGCCCCCACAAAAATGTAAAATAACTTCCAGATTTTCCAGTAAAATATACTAAGCCAAACATTTTGAGCAACTTGTCCACTAAAATAACTTTAAAACTATTTTCTCAAATACCTACCTATTTTTTCTTTTGACCCTCCAGCAAGTAGATTGATATTTTCTCCTGGTAACAATTCTAATTGCTCGGTACATTTGACAAATTTTCCAGACTCAAAGCTGCTTAATGATCTGTAATTAAAATATTGCTTAGCTTGTATTCCTATGCAGCCTGTGGAACCATTAAAAAAAACAAACAAACAAAAACAGAACAAATCCTAGGAAGACAGCAAAGTACACAGCATTTTTCTGACAAAATTCCTTCCACGAGGATGCCATTATTTTGGTTTTTATGTTGAAGATGTGACTACCACTTAATTAGTACTCAAATTGGAGTGGCAAACCAGAAAGTCACAGCTACAGACTTTCAGTGGAGCTGACTCGCCCCTGTGTCTCCTTCCTGTTTTCATGTGTTGCAGCCTGTTCTCTTCAGAGCCTGACACACTGACAGTAGACCTCTGCAGGACAACTTTGACACCCAGTTCTCTCCAAGCTGCCAGTGAGCTCCCTGTGCAGCCTCACTCCTCACCTACAGCATGAGCCCTTGCAGCTCTCCCAGCATCACAATCTTGTATCTCAGTCCTGGCTTCTTTCACTGCTGGCATCCCTCTGTCTCTCCCTTTTTCACCTACTTTTCTTTTTTCAAAGAATTCTTCTCTTTCATCTGCTTATATGAAAAATAATGACACCTCTGAAATTCTTTCCTGTAGTTCTGCAGCATCAATGCCAGGAAGACAGGCCTCATCCTCCCAGCTTCTATGCTGCTCCTTTCAGATCCCTTACCCTGTCCCCATTTTCATGACACGGGCTCTCCAGCCAGGAAGAAGACACTGTTTCTCACTCTCTCTTTTCCATCTTTGCCTGTCCCTCTCGCTGTGTAACTTCCCTTATAACTCAGCCTGAGGCCAGTGCTAGAAAGGCACATCACCTGACTTATTCTGTGCCTGATTCTACCTAGATCAGTGCAACCACTGGCTTCTCAGGGGGACCCTTGAGTACTGGGCACTGATGAACTGCTGCCAACACAGTCATCATTTCTGCCATTAAAAGGTCCTAAGTCCTCTCCAGTGGCAGGTTCCCCAAGTCCCCACTATGCTCTATAATGCCCTATGCTTTCAGCTAATGACTCAGTCCTCAGAAAAAACAAACAAATAAACAAAAAAACACAGGCTTTAATTTCCTCTACCCCTACCCCCAATCCACCATACACTGCCGAAATTCTGTCTATACCAACTTTGACTGCTTTCCTTGAGGCAGAGAAAAGGTGAGGGCCAGTTAATCTATCAATGTTCTTTCTCCTGTTTCTTCAACCTCTGCTTTCTAGTGGCTCCTTCCCCTTGGCCAAAAGAACATAATCTCTCCAACATTTAAAATAAACATCTCATATTTCCCTCCAGCAACAGCTTCCTATCCTCGACTTCAAGAAAAACTCACTGACCAAATAACTTACCTCAAGCTTTTCATTTTCAAATGTCTCTACCACTCAATACTATTCAATCTAGCTTCTTCTGTCTCTCTACAAAACTCTTTTTCCTTATAATCCCTAGAGCATCTGACAAGGCTGACTACTCCCATCTGGATGTCCTATATCTAGGGCACTTCCCTTCTCAATGTCCCTGTTATTTTTTTGAATGGCTTCCTCTTCTATCCTTTCACAAAAATGCTAAACTAGGATTCTGACCCAGGCCTTCCTTCCTCTTCACTCACTATTCTCCAGAGGCTTCTCTCTGGTTTGGTTGCTTACAAAGGCTCTAGAGTATAGAGACTGAAAAGGAAAGAGGGCCTTTTCTGTGTACTAATCATCTGCAAATCTCTCAAGCTTAGACTGTCTCCTTAGTTCAAAATCCAATTCTTAACAGCTTACCCAACAATCTCATCTGCACATTTCATTAGAAATCTTAAAACATGGCTTGTTCTCTGTGTGCTCCTACTCCAGTTAATAGCATTGTTTCTCTTCCCTCTACCATTGCCCCCATAAATTAATGGTCTCCATGCTTCCATACTTGCCCCGCACCTCCAGTCTCTTCACCACAGCAGAATGAACCAAGTCAGATCACAACACATCTCTGTTCAAATCCCACCTGAAATTTTCAGTCTTACTAGAATAACAGCCAAAGTTCTTCTCAGTTCCCAGCTACTTCTCTGCCCTTATATCCTACTGTTTAAGGCGCTCCTAAACACACAGGCCTCCCAGCTATTTCCAGAACACTCCAAGCCCATCATTCTCACATCAGGTCTAGGCCCAAAGGGCATCCTGATGGGCATGTCTTGACCTTGTGTCTTCCCTCCAAAGAAGGTCAGCTTTACCTAACTGCTTTCCTTATGGCACAGAAAAGGTGAGTGAGGTCCAATTAGTCCTTCTATCAATAATCTTTATCTAATCTTTGCTTTAAAAGGTTGGAATTTGTGTCTGTTTTATGTGCTGCCTGGGTCACAGCACATGCTCAGTGAAGCAATTACACATTAACCCATTTAGCAGTAGAAGTATCAGACAAAGTCTAATGACCTTTATCTTCCCAGCCAAGTGTCTGCAACAGAGTGCTCAGTTTTGAATTACAGAATTAATAAAAGCACAGAGGAATGAGAAGAAAGTTTAATTTACAGATGTTCACAAACTCTGTCCTCATTAGAATAAATGTTTTTGATATATTCAGACCTCATTTAGAAACAAAGCCATCAAATGTGATTCTTTCTAAAGCAGTACAAATTTTTCTTTATATTCACTCTGGCATAATCTTCAAACTGTATTAAGGTTTTAGAACAACAGGTTCTGAAAATTAATACCAAATGACTATCTCAGCAGTGTTTTCCCATTATACAAATACCTTCCCTCATCTCTGATGTCAGTTTCCTGTTGTCATTTTCATAATGGCAGTAAGTTAGAAATATAACCATTTTGTATTACTACATATGACCAATTTTAATATTTTTTTGCCATAGGAAAAACATCGTAGTTATTGGAAATTTGTTTTATAACTGGAAACAGAAAGCCTTACTTTATATAGTTGAAGTCAGCTTTCAGGTTGAAGGAAGTGCTACTGGTACTCTTTTTCAAGTCATGGATAGCGTTCTGCCATTCCTGCACAGCAGCCCAATCGGCAATTGAGATGTAGCACTCACATGCTTTATTTCCTAAATAATTTATAACCTCAGGGGAAGAGTCAGTCGGTTTGGACAGCACAGTTTTTCTGGATTCACCTGAAAGTATTTTATAAAGTAAGAAGAGAGAGATTCAGATCAATTAGAAATATTTCAAAGAGCACAGAAACCTAAAAACATGATAAGATCATCAGTACGAAATATATTACTATAACTTTTGCTTTATTTAAAAATACTGAACGCTCACCATTCAGACAATGTTTCGGGCTGGCACTGTTACACCCAGCATTGGCTAAGGTGAGCACCGATTTGTCAAAGCTGGAGATGCAGCAATGAACACCTATCATGGCACACAGGTGTTCCTGGTACTCCACAGAGGCCTTTTCAAACCTGAAAAGCAAATTGAAGCAGTCTTATTTCTTTATTTATCTACTTACTTACTTTTTTTTTTTTTTTGAGATGAAGTTTTGCTCTTCTTGCCCAGGCTGGAGTGCAATGGCACTGTCTCAGCTCAATGCAACCTCTGCCTCCTGGGTACAAGCGATTCTCCTGCCTCAGCCTCCTGAGTAGCTGGGATTACAGGCGCTCGCCACCATGCCCGGCTAATTTTCTTGTATTTTTAGTAGAGACGGGGTTTCACCATGTTGGCCAGGCTGGTCTTGAACTCCTGACCTCAGGTGATCCGCCTGCCTCGGCCTCCCGAAGTGCTGGGATTACAGGCATGAGCCACCGCGCCTGGCCTTTACTTACTTACTTACTTGTTTTTTGAGACAGTCTTACTGTCACCCAGGCTGGAGGGCAGTGGCATGATCATGGCTCGCTGCAGCCTTGCCCTCCCAGGCTCATGCAATCCTCCAACCTCAGCCTCCCAAGTAGCTGGGACTACAGGCGCCCACCACCACACCTGGCTAAAACAAGGTTTTGCTCTGTTGGCCAGGGTGGTCTCAAACTCCTGGACTCAAGCGATCCGCTCACCTCAGTCTCCCCAAGTACTGGGATTTCAGGCGTGAGCCACCGCGCCCAGCCCCAAAGGAGGCTGTTATTTTAAACACACATATCTCATTTCCCCCCTCCCACAAAAAATGGTGCAAGAATAAACTGAGCTAAAACAGTGAGTTGACTATGGTGGGGGGAGGTTTGATGTCTTCCTCACAACTATGAAACTAAATTTAAAAGTGGTTAAATGTTTTTTAAAAAATGTAAGAGTATAAAAGAACTAGTGGAAAATATTGATAAGTAACTGATGTCAGTGTGTGGAAAGGCTTTGTAGAAGGATAAAATGCAAGAAAAGATGCACAAGTAACAGCATCTAGATGCATAATGCTGAAATACAACACTAAACATTAAAAACAAATTATAATCAAGAAATTGGATAGCATCAACAATCTTAGTATTTAATGAAATTTCACAGATTAACACAGGAAAAATTGAGAGGCCATGAAGACATGATCCATGTTTTAAAAAATCACAAATGGTCACTATATGGGGCAACTTCTACTATTAGTCATTAATACATATAGAAATGTAAAGTACAATAACTATTTTCGCTGATGGTGGTGGCAGCATTCTTGTTTCTCAGTGACTCTCAGTATCCACAAAGGTGAAGGGAAGGGGGTACTCTATTATTAAGGGTATACATTGCAGCCATCTTTTCTGTAGAGTAACTTAGCAATAGAATATATCATAAGACTTATGGTTTGGCAGCCTTTCTTCTAGTAAATCAGTTTATGAGAATGGATTCCAAGAAAGTAATCAGAAATATAAGCAAAGATATTAAGTGCTATGGTACATTTAGTAAAAAAAAAAAAATCAGAAACAACCTTAATGCCCAACAGTAAGAAATATTAAATTATGGTACACTCATAAATACAAATCTTTATTAAAAATAACACTGTAGAATACTTAACATGGCAATTTTTTTTTTTTTTTTTTTTGAGACAGAGTTTTGCTTTTGTTGCCCAGGCTGGAGGGCAGTGGCACAACCTGGGCTCACAGCAACCTCCGCCTCCCGGGTTCAACCGATTCTCCTGCCTCAGCCTCCCAAGTAGCTGGGATTACAGGCATGTGCCACCACACCCCACTAATATTTTTTGTATTTTTAGTAGAGACGGGGTTTCACCATGTTAGGCTAGTCTCAAACTCCTGACCTCAGGTGATCCACCTGCCTCGGCCTCCCAAAGTGCTGGGAATACAGATGTAAGACACCGAACCCAGCCTACCTAACATGGCAAATTTTTTTTTTAAATATTGAGTGGGAAAAACAGATCATAAAACCATGTGCCTATGTATGCTGCTGTTTTGGTGAAGAATGGAGAAAACGACATGAAAGAAAAAAGAATTACAAAGCATATGGATATGGAAATATGGGACTACAAAAGGACACACAACAGAAGTTACTACAAAGATATGGAAGAATGAGCAGTTCTTTTATTTTCCTAAATTCGCAAGATTTCATTAAACTAACATAAATGGACACAGAATATTATGGTACAAGCTCCTCTATCTGGAGGAAGCAATGAGTCTGAATGTAGAGTTCACAGGACTAATGAGCAAATACTCTGACAATAAAGGGTAATTTGTATCAGACTCTGAGGGGGAAGGAGCTCAACTAGGGATCAAGTTCAAAAGCATTTATAAAACAACTGACAGGTCTTGTTTTTCAGTGTGATTTGCCACTAATTCTTAAATAAGAAAGGCACTCAAGTATTGCTGCTAACTAAAGAACAAACTGAAGATGCCTCCTGGTGAAGTGATTTATAGCAAGCTTCAATGCTGAAAGCAAACAAAGCTGTTTTAAGATTTGGCTACAATGTCAGTGAGTAATACAAAGAATTTAAACATAAAGTAATTCTATCACCCATTTCCTTCCCTCCAACCTACCTCCCTTCAGCCTGTTGAGCCACTGAGTTAATCCACAGAAGATTTTTTCCAACAATAGATGATGACCAGACAGCAATTCCCTGTATAGCTTCAGGACAATGAAGTTCACATAGTGCTTCTACCACCATCATAATGGTTACTTCCAATTCATTCCCCTGAAAACGCATTCAGAAAAGTTAGTCACCCAATACCATTAAAACATAAATCCCTATAAAATTTACAACTGATCACAGTCTGTGCCTGCTTAAAGCCAAATGTATTTAACAATTATTTTCACAATTTTCACATTATTTAGCTCAGAATTCTTTAAAATGTTACATATAAAATAGCCACAAAGGGTGACTAACAGAACCTTAGCAGCACATGGATGTTTGCACCCCCACCCCAAAGTTACCCAAACATTTAACCTGTGACCTCTGTAGGAATAACACATGGAGTAAAAAGAAAGCAAAAATTAAATATAAATAAACAGGAATTAAAGAATGATTAACTTCATGTGTTTGAATACTGCTTGACATTACCTGAATTGCTAAACATTTTGTTATTTTTGGATTCCAGTTATTTATTGTGAGCCCACTTTCAAGCCAGGAATTACTCAAGCATTTGTCATACGTTATAAAAACAATTTCTCCTGGCCAGGTGCAGTGGCTCATGCCTGTAATCCCAGCACTTTGGAAGGCCAAGGTGGGCGGATCACTTGTGGTCAGGAGTTCGAGACCAGCCTGGCCAACATGGTGAAACCCTGTCTCTACTAAAAATACAAAACTTAGCTGGGTATGGTGGTGGGTGCCTGTAATCCCAGGGACTGAGGCAAGAAGAGGCTTGAACCCGAGAGGCGGAGCTTACAGTGAGCCGAGATCACACAACTGCACTCCAGCCTGGGCGACAGAGTGCTGTGTCTCAAAAAAATAAATAAATAAATAAAAAATTTCCCCCATAAACAAATTTTCAGAATTACCTTTAAAGTTCTAAACTTTGCACATAAGAAATATAGTTTTAACATGTTCTAAGATGAATATTGTTTTAACATGAACAAAAACATGAACATTATTTTAACTTCTAACACTGTTTTAACACGAATAAAATAGGTAACTCTGGCAGTTGTTGCTTTTACAAAATACAGGATCAAAACCTTTGAAAATGAATCCAAGCTTTAACTTATTTTATCCATAGATTAAATCATACCAAAGGAATTAAACCATGTTTTTCTTATTAACAGACTTAAAATGAATTTCAAACACACCACTTTACCTGAGATAGGCTGGTTGTTTTCATCTCTGTAAGCAAGTCAAAGCCATGTCTCACTGTCACTGCAGGCTGGCCTGCCAACAATCCTACCCTCATGATGGAGAGTCGAATCCGCGTTAGCCAGTCCTGACAAGTTTGGCGATTGGTATAGAAAAAAGTTCTAGTCACTTTACGATAAGAGAAAGAAAAGCTCAGGACTGGTTCAATTTGTAGGTAAGGATGTCTCACCTATATATAAACCAAATACACAAGTCTATTGTGATTTCAGCTCTGCACATACTGCCAGCTGTGACCATTAAACTGCTATAAAACAACACTATCTCATGGAAACCAACCTTGGGAGGTGAAGTTAATGCATTAGCACATCCCTCGTATGCATTATACATTAATTTCTCCAGATATTCCAGATACTGCAGAAGAAGAACAAGTCTAAGTTGGTTGTTACCATGGCCTTCATCACTGTCTGCAGTTGTCCACTGACTAACATCCTGATCAGGGTTTAATGTGTGAGCTGCGAGACTTCGAATGATACCTGAAAGCAAAGACAACATTCTGAATTTTTAAAAATCTTAAAAGTTCCTAGAATAAGTGTGAGTTTTTTATGATCAATTCACATTTATCAAGTATCCTCTGTCTACCCATCATTTAAAAATAAAAAATCCCAACATGAAAGATCTTTCATTTTAGGGGAAAAAAATATATATTTTTTCCACACAACTCCCATAAGTTTTGGGAAAAAAACAAACATATTTCCAATGCAATTATTCAATGAAAGCTTATTCTAACAAACATACCTGAAAATTACTGACTTCTTTTCAAAAAAATCATATACTCTCAAATCTTTAACAAAGATTTAAAAATCCATTATTTCTTAATAAGGCTTTGAAAGTATTCACATCACAAAGCTTGAGCGAGTTACCTTCAATTGTCTGGAAGGTGTCTTGAGCTCTGCCCAGTGGGGTTCTCAGCTTAGAAAGAACAGTGAATTGTGCAGCTTCCCATACGGCCCACTGCCAAAGGATAGCATCTGTCTTCAGGAGATTGCGTGGAATTGTTGACTGGTCATGCTTATCCAGTCTCTGGCAGCTATAGAACAGTCTTTCCAACCAATTGTCCTTCCTGGGAAAAGTAGTTTCATATTTAAAAGACAATGACAACTTCATTTTAATAATGAAAAAAAAATGCAAGGGGAATGGGAATAAGGAACTGTAATTTTCCCTACTCCAAAAAAAGGCAAAACCTATGAAATTGAGAAGCATTATGTCCCCCCCCTCTTATTTTGAGGTCTTTTATAGTTAACAGGATGAGGTACAGCGTGGAAGGATGATTAGGGTAAACGGCTCATGCCGGTCAGGAATGAAACTCATTCAATGCAACTAAGCATCTCTAGAATATCTCCACCCCCACCCCATTCCCCAAAGTGTTAATGACATCACATCAGTTAACTGTTAACCACATTTCATTACTCAATTTCAAAGCCCATTTTTGTTTCTACAGATGCTATCTTCAAAGTAATTTTCCTATTGATGAAAACTGAAATAACCCATATGAGAAGAATGTTACTTGATACTCTGCCACCCCCAAACATATTTTCTCTTCAAAACTGCATGTAAAGTAAAGGGAATCTTAAAATTATCTTTCCTAGATAAAATAGTCAAAGAAATGCCTTACCCTGTTCTATGAGAGTTCCCATACAAAATAAAACTAATAACATCAGAGAAATCTTGGGGGTGGAATGTATTACTTGGTGCTTTACTCATGTGACTTCTTAATGCTAAAGAAATTTCTTGAATTTCTGTGTGATTGTTATTGCTGTAGACAGAAAATAAAGTTGTTGTTACGCAAAATATTTTAGCTTAAAAGGTTAGCACATACTGTAAGTGGATTATTTACTTATTAACTCACTGGAGGTAAAAATATAGAAAAATTGAGACTTTCAAATGGATACGGAGATGTGATTACAACTTTAGATCCTTTTTTTATTCACTTCAGATGGGTCATGTGCCGACATCATAAGAGGATTTGAGGGAGGCATATCAAACATGTGAACATAAAAACCCAATCATTATGCTTATGTATTACAAAAGGATCAAGTTTAGGCTCTTAAAAGCTCCCAAATCAACTTGATCAAAAACAATAAAAGATTACTGTTTAGTTTTTCAAATATCTGAGCTACTAAGAAACATATTTTGGCACTACATGAGTTATTCTATACTAATTATTGTGAGCCTATAAAGCTCATTAAAAATTTTTAATTTTCTTGCAGACCTGCAAAATTTGATTATTTGACATCACTTCAATCACTGACAAGCAGGGCCATAAAAGATGTGTCATTAATGCTCTAATAGGTGATCTGTCTTCTCCTAAAGTAGACAACCAGTAGAGGCTGTAAATATCACAGAATGTCTTTGCTCCAAAACAACTGTTATACCTTAGGATAACATCTAAAGGAATTGATTTCAACAGTTTTCCAAATGCTTGTCGAATACGAGTTCCACAGTGCACTAGTTGAACATGGCAAACATCAACACATCTATGAAAGAACGAAATAGACAAAGCAGGTGTGTTAACATTTCAAAGTTATTAGGATTAATGTCAAAAGACATGATCTTAATTTCATACCTCTGTAAAAGATCATCTGGCAAGGAAGAGGACAGAGCAGGTAGACTGCTGCATGCCTGCAGACAGATATTCACATCTTCAACGAGAACTATTAAACATTAAAAGACAGCTACTTTCAGCTGGCCAAAAGAAATTATATCCCAGTTTGTCATAATTATCTGAATCCATTCATTCATTCAACAAAGAGTGAGTGCCTACTCTAGACTAGGCACTGTTCTTGTCCAGAATCCTCATTGACTGTCATGTTTGGAAAAATGACACATTCAACAAAACCCACGTAATGTAACTGATGGGTCATCACACAAAACTTTTTCTGAGAGAAAATGTAAAAGTATATGCAAACTATAAACATTCACGTAAGCTTAAAAATGTGACAATCACTTCAAAACATTTTTCTAATACTAAGAATGAAAAAAAATCAAGACTGTGTATCTGTCATTAAAATGAGGATTACACATCTGCAGGTCAGGAAAAGAGCTCTATTGATGACCATCTCCCATTACCAAGGATTGATAAACAAAATAGAAAAAAAAAAACAGAGTCTTACTGTTGGCTAAAAGGCCTTTGCAAAATTTATGGAAAGACGGAAGACAGAATAAAGGTGCATATGTTTCGGACTTCTTCATTAAAACAGCTACTTCCAAAGCCCAAGTCATTAACAGTTTCCTGAAACACAAAATATACAGTTGACTGTACATTAAAAACAATAACAAAAACAAAAAAACGTTAAAAGCCTAGTCTTCTTACATTGGTTTTCTCTTGGTTTTTCAAATATCTCAAACAATAAAAAATAAAAATAAAAAATGAAACTATAGAAATTACTGTCAAAATTGTTGTGTGCCTTTTAAGAAAACCTCCCAACGCAGCATGATAATAGCAAAGAGGCCGGGCGTGGTGGCTTACCTGAGGTCAGGAGTTCAAGACCAGCCTGGCCAACAACATGGTGAAACACCATCTCTACTAAAAATACAAAAATTAGCTGGGTGTGGTGGCGGGCACCTGTAATCACGGCTACTTGGGAGGCTGAGGCAGAAGAATTGCTTGAACCTGGGAGGCAGAGGTTGCAGTGAGCAAAACTCCGTCTCAAAAACAAAAAAAGCATAGAATATTAAAAATCTATATATATTCTTCTATGAAACACTGGGGGTGGGGGATTGAGGTTTTTCATGTATTTCTTTTCAGAAAGAATAAGAAAGCCTAGATTAAATAATAAAACCAAATTATAAGGTGTTTGACAGTAAAGAAGCTGCTCTACCTCACCTCTATAATCCACATTTTTTAAAATTTTTTGTAATTCACATTTCTTATTCTCAAATTATAAAGGCAAATTAACAAAGTTAGGAATAGTTAATACTATATAAAATCTGTTACCTCGTGTCCTGGTTAAGGTTATCTTTCTTAAGTAATATTCACAGAAGATTTAATATAATTGAGAAATGTTTCTTTGTGGCCGTAGTTACAGTGCTAATCACAGCTCCATCAAACAAAGAAGGAGAGGAAGAACTGAGGCTACTAGAGATAAAGTGATCATGCCTGAAAGACAAAGCATAGATTATCTTTTCATCTTTAATCAAAGAAAGCAAGCAAGTCCAAAGTTAAATCAACATACATCTTTAAAATCTATCCATTAAAAAAATAAAATGTTTTGTGGGGTTCTTAAGAAAAATTTGTGAATACAGTACCTGGTACAATGAGAATACAATGTGTAGAGCACAGCATACTGAATGGCAGGGAAGTGAACAGCCAGGTCACTGTGCACAATCATCAGATTCTTACTCAGAAGTGCAAAGACAGTTGGAGATAGCGCCCACATCTGATCATGTACAAAACAAAGTAAGTTTATGGCTTCTCCAAAATAAGCACAAGCATACAGAGTTTATCCTTCAAAACAGGGGTATTTGGACTTTTTTTATTTGGACATTTTTAAATTAAAATTACAGATTGGAAGGGATCTAGTACACTACACCTTGGACAAATACTTTTTTGTGAAGTCAGTAAAGCCTTTGCGTGCAATATAGCATCTCTATGCAATGCAGCAACTCCTTGTCTATCGCTACAGTAAGAAAACAGCCACAGGTCAGGTGTTGTGGCTCACACCTGTAATCCTAGCACTTTGGGAGGCTAAGGTGGGCAGATCACTTGAGCCCAGGAGTTTGAAACCAGCCTGGGCAACACAGCGGGACCCCATCTCTACTAAAATTACAAAAATTAGCTGGGCATGGTGGCGCACACTTGTAATCCCAGCTACTCGGGAGGCTGAGGCAGGAGAATCGCTTGAACCTGGGAGGCAGAGGTTGCAGTGACCCGAGATCATACCAATGCACTCCAGCCTAGATGACAAAGTTAAGACTCTCTCTCTCAAAACAAAACACCAGCCACATACGAAACACAGGAATGAGAGTACCTGTGTTCCAAGAAAACTTTCTTGAGTCGGAGTCTCTCGCTCTGTTGCCCAGGCTGGAGTGCAATGGGGCGATCTCAGCTCACTGCAACCTCTACCTCCGGGGTTCAAGCAACTCTCCCTGCCTCAGTCTCCCAAGTAGCTGGGACTACAGGTGCCCATCACCACGCCCTGCTAACTTTTGTATTTTTTTAGTAGAGATAGGGTTTCACCATGTTGGCCAGGCTGGTCTTGAACTCCTGAGCTCGGGTGATTTGCCCGTCTCGGTCTCCCGAGGGATTACAGGCGTGAACCACTGCGCCCAGCCCAACGAGAACTTTCTTTACAAAAACAGGCACTAGTGTTGCGATGGTTGTACACTTCTGTGAATATACTAAAAATCAGTGAATTATACACTTAAAATAACAAACAAAAAACAGGTGCTGGGCTGTATTTGGCCCACGGACCATAGTTTGCTGATCTCTGGTCTAAACAGAGCCCTTTGTATGTGCCTTTTGCGGAAGTAGACTGTATTTCTTCAATTTTCCATATACTGCAAATGGCAAGGTGCCCTGTTCAATAAGGAAACAAAGGCACACCCTGCCACTATACACCTTTTCCATCCATCTTGTTCCTTTACACTGCCAAGACACTCCATTCCACCTGACTGCCCCAGCCCCACCCACTTTCTCCTTATTTCTAGAGTACAGGACATAAACATCTTTGAATCTGCAAATAATGTGAATAATTTTCCTCAAAAATCAAGCTTTCATGTTTGAAGAAGAGTTTATTGTGACTTCAAACATAAGCTGTAACTGGTAATAAGCGAAGCAGCTATGGAATTATACAAGGCAATCCAATCAAACAACATGGAGCACACTGAAGCGCAAACATCAAATTTTACCTTTTTCCTCCTAAAAACTTTATTCCCTAATTACATCCATTACTTTCTTTCTTTGTTTCTTTCTTTTTTTTTTTTTCTTTTGAGACAGAGTCTGGTTCTGTAGCCCAGGCTGGAGTGCGGTGGTGTGATCTCAGCTCACTGCAACCTCCACTTCCTGGGTTCAAGCAATTCTCCTACCTCAGCCTCCAAAGTAGCTAGGATTACAGGTGTGCACCACCACCCCTGGCTAATTTTTCTATTTTTAGTAGAGGCGAACTTTCACCATGTTGGCCAGGCTGGTCTCAAACTCCTGACCACAAGTGATCAGCCCGACGTGGCCTCCCAGAGTGCTGGGTTTACAGGTGTCAGCAACCGTGCCCAGCCTACACCTATTATTTTCTATTAAAAATAATGTTTTTCAACTCTGTGTGGTCCAATAGGAAGAAGAAATACACAAACCATAAACAATAAATACAAATCAAGAGCAGGGCCACGTCGAATTACTTAAAAAAAAAAACACACGGGCTGGGCGCGGTGGCTCGTGCCTGTAATTCCAGCACTTTGGGAGGCTGAGGCGGGTGGATCACCTGAGGTCAGGAGTTTGAGACCAGCCTGGCCAACATGGTGAAACCAAGTCTCTACTAAAAATACAAAAATTAGCCCGTCGTAGTGGCAGGTGTCTGTAATCTCAGCTACTCGGGAGGCTGAGGCAGGAGAATTGCTGGAACCCGGGAGGCAGAGGTGGCAGTGAGCCGAGATTGCACCACTGCACTCCAGCCCAGGTGACAACAGCATGACTCTGTCTCCAAAAAAAAAAAAAGCTTTTTTTTTCCCCCCTCCTAAAAGAAAGACTACAGGTTGAGTATCCCTTATTCAAAATGCTTGGGACCAGAAGTGTTTCAGACTCTGTATATGTTTGGATTTGAGAATACTTGCACATATATAAAATGAGATATGTGGGGGACGCGACCCAAGTCTAAACACGAAATTCACTTATATTTCATAGACGCCTTCTATTCATAGCCTGAAGGTCATTTTATGCAATATTTTAAATAATTTTGTGCATACAACAGTTTGGACTCATCACATGAGGTCGGGTGTGGGATTTTCCACTTGGGGCATCATACTGGTGCTCAAAAAGTTTCAAATTTTGGAGCATTTTAGATTTAGGATTTTCAGATTAGGGGTGCTCACCAGTAAGTGTTATGAAAATATTCCAAAATCCGGCTGGGCATGGTGGTGCCCACCTGTAATCCCGGCATTTTGGGAGGCCAAGGCAGGTGGATCACCTGAGGTCAGGAGTTCACAACCAGCCTGGCTAACATGGTGAAAACCCATCTCTACTAAATACAAAAAAATTAGCCAGGCGTGGTGGCGCATGCCTGTAATCCGAGCTACTTGGGAGGCTGAAACAGGAGAATCGCTTGTACCCGGGAGGCGGAGGTTGCAGCGAGCCAAGATTGCGCCATTGCACTCCAGCCTGGGCAACAAGAGTAAAACACTATCTCCAAAAAAAAAAAAGTATTCCAAACTCCAAAATCAAAAACACTTCCAGTCCCAAGTATTTCAGATAAGGAATATTCAACCTGTATGAATGTTCCTAGGGAAAAAAAGACAGCCAAAATATAAGACCATGTATAAGAACTAACTTCAGTAGACAGAAAGAAAAAAGTACCAGGGGAAGAAAGAGACCGCATTTTAAAACAACTATACAAATTTGAGCTGTAAGAAACACTGACATTTTCTATAAGCATGCTAGAGCAAATGGGAGAAATTCATAAGACGTTTTCTAGAAAATAAAACTAATATAAAAAAACTTATCAAGATTTGTCAAGGAAAAAGAAGAAACGTTAAATATAATGGCAAGAAAACATTCCTACCAATTTTATTTATCCAGGCATGTCTTAAATATGGCTGTTTGTTACATACAGTGATTCTGCAGACATGTTGACATGACAGTGAAATACATAAATATGTAATGAGAAAAGGCTTAACTGTGGATAAAACAAAGTCATTACAATTAAAGACTCGAGTTTTTGGCATTTCCAGTTGTAGTCAGGGCACTGAGGTCAAATTTAACTACAAATTTTGCATTGTCTACATTGAACACATGATTCTTAAAAGCCTCATGTTTTATTTCAGAACAGGCCTCAGGAAGTTGCAGACTGTGCAGGAGGTTGTTTAGGGCACAAGTCATTTCTCCCAATATTAACTTATAGGCAGTCTCCAAAACAGGAATATTCTTCAAGCTGAGCATTGCTTGATAAACAGCATGGGCTACAGCAACAACCTGAAAAACAAAAAATTCAAGGAAGTGATAAATGGAAAATAAATCTTCTAAAATTATATGGAAAATAAATCACTATCTGTATTAGTGCTGATGATACAAATAAATTTAAGATTGATCAATTCACTGTCCGTAGCACTTAATATTTTAATTTTTAAAAAACCAATCAGAAAACTGACACAGATCAGTAAGCTATTTCAAATCTATTAAGTTTTATCACAAATAAAGAGTACTATAAATGAAAACTGTCAATAGGAAATTTCCAAAATGGCCGTTTTTTTTTTTTTTTAAATAATCAACATCAAAAGACATATGCAAACAGCAGTTTAAGACTGGGTTTCTTAAATCTACCAGGAAAGTCTGTGGTGGATTTGACTAGGGGGTGGTTGAAAAGCCAGTCATTTTTGTTTATAAAATATACAGTACTTAATTTATAACTTTATAAATGTGTCAACTTGTTTTACCCTTATGAAAATTTAATAAATTTAATAACAGCAAGAGATGCATAATCTGAAAAGAGTATCTGGCACATCATTCATGAAAGTATTCAGTATGATTATCAAGAAATATAAATTTAAAAGAACAAATACAATCACTATATTCTAAATCAAACATTTCACATTTCACTCAATTTCACTTATATAGCCTGGTAAGCAACATTAGGTCCAACTCTTCAGTGACTCAAGTTGTCAAAATTCATTATCAGTATATTACTTACCTCTTTTTCTTTATGATAACGCAAGAATAGTAGTTTAGATGATGGTATAAACAGTTTTTCTACAAATGATGATGGCAGTTTCGTATTTATCTGTTCAACAATCTAAAAGAATAAAATTTTTAAAAAATGAGCTTCTCAAATTACAAAAAGACATGGAGAAACCTTAAATGCACACTGGTAAGTGAAAGAAGCCAATTGAAAAGGCTACATACTATATGACTCCAACTACATGGCATTCTGGAAAAGGCAAAACGATGGAGACAGTAAAAAGATCAGGGGTTGCCATGGGCTTAAGATGGAGGGAGGGAGGAGTGGGGAGAGGGAACGAGGAAGGAGTGGGTAGAACATCAAAGATTTTTAGGGAAGTGAAACTATCCTGTATGATACTGGTAATAGGGGATACATGTCATTACACATGTTAAAGTCCATAGAATACATAACACAAAGTAAACTATAAAATTAGTTAATAATAATATATCAATATTCACTCCTTTGTAATAAATGTACCACACTAACACAATATGTTAATGAGGGGGAAACTGTTGGGATGAAGAAGGTATATGGGAACTCATTGTTTTCTGCTCAATTTTCTGTATATCTAAAAAATAAAGTCTTTTAATTTAGAAAAATATATCTAAGCTATATTTTAAGGCCTTAATACTGTGACATTAAAGTGTTTAGACACCTAAATAGGACACACGTATTTTACAGTTATCATGGGCATTTTTTCACATTAGCAAAGAGAGGTGTAAATCTGGCAGAAATGCTCAGCAGAATGTCATCTAGAATTTGCTTTAAAATAATCCAGCTGGAGATGAAAGGATAGCAAAGAGGCCTAGATGAAACCAGATGGGCCATTTGTTTCTAATTATAGAAGCTGAGTGTTAAATATGTACAAATTTATTATACCATGCTCCCTATTTTTATGTGCTTCAGAATGTCCATAATAAAAGTGGGGGGAGGATATTTATGGTTAAGAAATTAAAGGAGGCCGGCCGGGCGTGGTGGCTCACGCCTATAATCCCAGCACTTTGGGAGGCCAAGGCAGGCAGATCACGAGGTCAGGAGATCGAGACCATCCTGGCTAACATGGTGAAACCCCGTCTCTACTAAAAATACAATTGTGCCACTGCACTCCAGCCTGGGCAAAAGAGCGAGACTCCGTCTCAAAAAAAAAAAAAAAAAGAAAGAAATTAAAGGAGGCCAGGCATGATTGCTCACACCTGTAATCCCAGCACTTCGGGAGGGCAAGGCAGGAGGATTACTTGAGACCAAGAATTTAAGGCCAGTCTAGACAATGTAGTGAGACCCCTTCTCTCCAAAAACTACAAAGGTTAGCCAGGCATGGTGGCATGCATCTGTAGTCCCAGATAGTCGGGAGGCTGAGTGGGAGAATCACTTGAGCCCAGGAGTTTGAGGCTGCAGTGAGCTCTGATTGTACCGCTGCACTCCAGCCAGGGGAATACAGCAAGATCCTGTGACAAAAAAAAAAGAAAGAAAGAAAAGAAAAGCAAAAAAGAAAGAATCTGGTGCATAGAGCAATGTTTCCTCAGAAAAAACGAGTAAAGCTACACTGAGACTAGCTATCAACCACTAAAAATAGAGGCCTGGCAGAGTGGCTCATGCCTATAATCCCAGTACTTTGGGAGGCCAAGGCAGGTGGATTGCTTGAGCCCAAGAATTCAAGACCAGCCTGGGCAACATGGCAAAACTCCATCTCTACAAAATAATATAAAAAATTAGCCAGGTGTGGTGGTGCACGCCTGTAGTCCTAGCTACCTGGGGGGCTGAGGTGGGAGGATCACCTGAACCCAAGAGGTCAAGGCTACAGTGAGCCAAAATCATGCCACTGCACTTCATCCTGTGCAACAGAGTGAGACCCTGTCTCAAAAAAAAATTGCATTAAAAATAAAAGTAAATAGACACTAAAATGAAAGCATAGATTATAAGACTGATGAATGTACTCTAAAAAATAATATAATAAAGCAAAGCCCTTATTTTTTTTCTTTTTTGGAGACAGGGCCTTTTTTGTCACCTTGGCTGAGTGCAGTGGCACAATCAGAGCTCACTTCAACCTCAAGTTCCTGGGCTTAATCGATCTTCCTCCCTCAGCCTCCCGAGTAGCTAGGACTGCAGGTGCACACCACTACACCAAGCTAATTTTTGACTTTTTGTACAGATGGGGTCTCACTACATTGCCCAAGCTGTGCCAGAATTCCTGGATGCAAGCAATCCTTCTGCTTTGGCCTCCCAAAGTGCTGGGATTACAAGCATGAGCCACCATACCCAGACAAAGTCCTTAATTTCTTACATATCGATTTAAGGGCCTGAATAAACCAACACATTAAAAAGGAAAAGAATAATTCACATACCAGCGTGAGTAAATTCAAGACTGAGATGATATAATTGGTACCACAAGTCTGGCAATTCTCCAGTTGGTCTAATCCATATGTAATGACCATGTCACAATGTATAGTCATGCTAGGATCCAAGCTGCCGAGCAAAACACCAACACACTCATTAGCAGCTGTCAACACAGCCTCAGAAAAAAACACCTGGTTTGCAGCCGTCACACATCTCATTACTCTGTACAGAACCTGTAAATGGGGAAAACAAGCAGCTTTTTACAAAAATTCACGTGCTTCCACAAAGCAAGAAAATACTTTTTATTTAATGCAATTTCAACTGAAAATTAACTGCTTGCCTTGCCAGCAGTCTCTTAATATTCTAGTTCTCAGTAGCTGAATAATAATGATCCCTTTACTACAATATGTAAACATGATCTTGGCTAAAAAATCCTAAAGTGCTACTATGACAGGAAATGGAACCTGCCATCCTCTATTTCCCATATACCCAACTTCGTTTCTCCCAATGTCACTAAATGGCTGAAGCTCAGAATCTTTATCATGAAATACACCACGACAGTAATGGTATTGACAGCATGGGAATAGCCTGCCCACACATACTACAAGCTAGCTCTTGGGCTTTTGGGAATCAATCTTTCAAAACTGAACATACAAGTCACTTTAAGCTTATTAAAGTTTCTATCTACTGATGGTCTCTTTTGAAAGATAAGCACTCTCATGCTTACCACATAATATCTTCAAAAATCATATTATTTCCAATACACACACAAACAAAATCCCCCACTTAACTATAATGGCCAATAATTGTGTACTAAATTTCTAATAAAATGGGGGAGAAAACAGAGCAAATGTTTAAAAATATTTCTATAATATTTAACAACCAATACATACAGGATTTTATTTAGTCTACCCATAGTTTTCATTAAAAGTATCCTTGGAGGTTGGGCATAGTGACTCACATCTATCATCCTAGCACTTTGAGAGGATTAGCTGGAAGGTTCTCTTGAGTCCAGGAGTTTGAGACCAGCCATGTCAACATAACAACACCTCATCTCTACCAAATTTGTTTTTAAATTAGTTGGGCGTGGTGGCTCACACCAGTAGTCCCACCAACTACTTGAGGCTGAGGTGGGAGGATCACTTAAGCCTGGGAGGTCAAGGCTGCAGTGAGCCAAGATCGTGCCACTGCACTCCAGCCTGGGCAACAGAGACCATGTCTCCAAAAAAAAAAAGAGTGGGGGAGAGAGGGCGGAGGGGGAACCATTCTTGGCCATGCATGCACAGTGGCTCATGTCTATAATCCCAACACTTTGGGAGGCTGAGGTGGGAAGACTGCTTGAGGCCAAAAGTTCAAGACCAGCCTGGGAAACACTGAGACCCCATCTCTACAAAAATAAAAAATTAGCAGGAGCTGTGGTGGGAGGATCACTTGAGCCCAAGATACAGAGGCTGCACTGAGTCGTGATGGCACCACCCCACTTTAAAAAGAAAAACAAAAAAAGCTGGGTATGGTGACACCCGCTTGTAGGGCTGAGTGAATGGGAAGTTCACCTGGGCCCAAGAGTTCAAGACTACAGTGAGCTATGATTGCACTACTACACTCCAGCCTGGGTGACAGAGTGAGGCTCCAGCTCCAAAAATAAATAAAAAAAATAAAAACCCCACCATTCTACCATTCTCAAAGGCCTAAAAGATCCTCATAAATCAATATACACCTATCCTATAAATTATGTCCCTTTTATTTTATGTCTGAATTAACGGCTTTTTATTTCAACTCTGTACAGTCTTCAAACAACCACCTTTTAGACATTAAAAATGAAGCAAAGATATTAAACCATTTTGAAACCATATTGGTTTAAAATACCAATATGCTGGTTTCATTTATCTTTAAGTTCTGACATTTCTGCTCAAGTACACAACTTACTATATAATCAATATCCTATTTTATTTAGCAACATGTTCAGCAAAAGTATATGCTCCTAAAAGCGAGTTTTATCCTAACAGTAAAATTTTCATCAGTTAGATTAAATTTTTTATGACTGTATCACACATGCTTCTTTCTCCTTATTCAAAGCAGAGTACAATGCCTGGGGTTCACTTCTTGTGTCTTTTCCACTGAACCCTCATTGGATGTGCTATATACAGTGCAGCTAATGTTTGAGGCTGCTGAAGTGTGGCAATCTAGCTACCTCATTTTTAATTTGTTTATGTTCTTTGATATCAGGCTATCAAAGAATATAAAGATATACAAGTTTTCATATGAGTTCCATCTTATGCTCAGAGAAGGTTACTTTCTGAGGCTTCTCCTATAGTGTGCTATTCGTAATATGTTGAAAAACTAAAAGGAAACCCAATAATTTAAAAGTAAAATTATAAGATATATTATTTAAAAATGAAAGAATAAGATTTAAAAATTCAGAGTGGCCTTTTGTCATGGGAGGGTAGGGGAGTTGGATGAAAGGAGGATGAGATATAACAGGATTCCCTGCTTTTCTGGTTATTTAAGAAAGCAGTCAGACAATATATACATATATACATACATACACACATGCTAAACAAATGAAGGATTAATAACAGTTCACCTGGTAAAGAGAATCATTTACAATGTAAAACAATTTTATTTTTGAATGACACTTCAAATGCCCAAAAGCACTTACAACTGTTACGTATGCCTCAGTAATTGGAGGACCCGAATTGGGCTGAAGCGTTCCCCAATGCTCCTCAGCACAGTACTAAATACCCGGAGAAGCGCAGCCAGCTTTGGTGATGACACTGATGGAGGAGGGACGTCTTCATCCACTGATTCCCCAGAGGCCACATGGCTGAGGTCCTAGATGTGAATTCACAGCATTCTTAATAAGTAGTACATTGTTTAAAAAAAAACAAAAAACTCTAAAATATTTCAATCAATTCATTTTAGAATAGATTTTTAGGCTTTTAGAAAGAGAACTGTGGCCCATGAGAATATTCATGACTCTGAATATAAAAATGGGTTTTACCTAATTATTTCAAAAAGCCAACATTAAACCCAATAGACAACAAATTAAGGAAATAATCTCTTAAATCAACTCAGAAAGCTGTTGGGGAAAAATAAATTCTAGCACATATGCTCTAGTTATATGTAGGTATAAATGAAGACGGAAGCTTTTGCCACTCCTGAATTAGTTTTTGGCTAAAAATCTCATTCTAGGTATTCTTTGAGCCACTCAGCTCAACAGTAAGTCCTCCAAACCAAGAGCATGCACATGAAGAGCAAAGGGAGATTACAAGACCTGGTCTACAGATGTGTAACTGAAGAAGTACGATATATGAAAAGGACAAGATTCGCAAAAACTAGGATACTAGAACCAATGTATACATCTACCTAAAATTAAGCACCAAAATAACAGAAGAGAATGAGATCTTAAGGATAACAAGGGGAAACATCTCTACAAACTAGAATGTGTGGCTTATGAGAGGTAGATCAGCTTTAAACGTGGGCTGTGAAAAAAGACATTCTAGGTGTGGGGGCAAAGAAAAAACAACGCAGAAGCAAAACATTTCCTTGCTTTTCTAGGAAAGAGTAAACACATCAGTACAGCTAAAGGTACTGAATTCCTGTTGACTACAAGCAGCAAAGATGAAAAAAACAAGATGAGGCCAAAATCTTTATGGGAGCCTTGATTGGTTGATCTGAATAGGGGAGAAACACAAAGAGATTCAGATAAGAGATGGCACAGAGTTAAGCCATGACAGTGCGGCCAGAAAAGCCAAGTACCAGTAACAGAGGCTTCAGCAGCGCTCTTAAAGCTCCTATGCTATATTCGTACAGCCACAAAAGCTGGCTGAAGCCAAGGCTTGTCCTCCAAAGTACGATTCAAGTTCTCCTGTACATATGTAAGAGGAAAATCTTTAGGAGCTTTTGGTGTTTTGTGTTTTTTTATAACACAACATCAATTTGCTTTAAGACTCTGAAGACTGGGGACAAAAAATAAAAATAAATAACAAAAAATGTCTTTAGAAAAATACCAGCTACCAAGAGTATGTAAAGCTTTGCGAAATACGAAGCTTGCAACGTTTCTTTTAGTCTCTCCAGTAATTCTCCTGGTAATTTAAACACATCTGAAATAAATGTTTAAAATACTGACTGGGCACGGGGGCTCATGCCTATAATCCCAGCACTTTGGGAGGCCGATGTGGGTGGATCACCAGTGGTCAGGAGTTTGAGACCAGCCTGGCCAACACGGTGAAACCCCGTCTCTACTAAAAATACAAAAATTAGCTGGGCGTAGTGGCGGGCACCTGTAATTCCAGCTACTCAGGAGGCTGAGGCAGGAGAATCATTTGAACCCAGGAGGTGGAGGTTGCAGTGAGCTGAGATCGTGCCATTGCACTCCAGCCTGAGTGACAGAGCGAGACTCCGTCTCAAAAAAAAATTTTTTTTCAAAATATTGCGATGGGCTTGTAATTTCTGCTTAAATGTCAGGAGGTCTGAGCCATTTTAAAATAAATCTAGCACAATTTTAAGATTTTTTCTTAACCAAAATTTTAAGAAACAGCTTTCTATATACTCACCTCAGCATATGCTTCCATGTCTTCTAGAAACTGACCAAGAAGAGTCGTAGGAAATGCAAGATCAGCTACCCAAAATGGCTCCAAACTCTGCAACCACCCTTGGAATCGTATAAGAAATTGTGAAAGGGTAGGGGGGAGAAAAAACACCAAAAAATCCAAATTAAAAAAATATAAGAGGCTCGTTTTAAAAAGTATCTGGTTTTCAAGCAGCATACCCTAAAACATGTCCTATATCATAAAATTAAGACTGCTAAACATGCTGATCACGATTAACCAATACCTCTTTAATACCTCTTTAATTTCTGCAGAAATTAACTTGTAAATGTTATTTCCTTACTTTTTCAGTAAATTTCATATCTATATTGTCACTACACATGACTTAAGACTAAAATGCCACAATCTACCATTGGCCTGGCTAATCCCAGGGCCACATCTAACCATTAAAGGTGTATACTCATCTCCTCAGTGAAAATGAAACAGACCACTATCACCTGAATATCCTATTTTCAAAAGTTTATTACACCAAGTAAGTTACGAGAAACTATGACACTTGAAACAAGCTGAAATGTGCAAATGAGCCACGCTAGTCATTCACTTAAATCCAAAAAAATGGGAAACAAAACCATTTCTCATTTATGACAATTCTCCAAATTAACCCTATATTTCCTTTTTTAAAAAAATAACCAGAAAAACAATAAAATGTGACAAATAACTTGGATCTTCCATTGTCCACTTCAGGGTATTGCCACTGCAATATATTCTTACCATATACTTTCCTACCAGTACAAACTACAAATAACTTGGGTAAGTCCTGTCTGTACTTACTCTACCCACCTACTAGTAATTTCCTCTGAAAATATATATTTAGCTAACAAGTCACGTTCATTTACAATAAAACATTTCTCTGAATTAGTTTTCTTGCATTATTAAAGAAATGGTATTGGCCGGGCGCGGTGGCTCACGCCTGTAATCCCAGCACTTTGGGAGGCCGAGGCGGGTGGATCATGAGGTCAGGAGATCAAGACCATCCTGGCTAACAAGGTGAAACCCCGTCTCTACTAAAAATACAAAAAATTAGCCGGGCGCGGTGGCGGGCGCCTGTAGTCCCAGCTACTCGGGAGGCTGAGGCAGGAGAATGGCGTGAACCCGGGAAGCGGAGCTTGCAGTGAGCCGAGATTGCGCCACTGCAGTCCGCAGTCCGGCCTGGGCGACAGAGCGAGACTCCGTCTCAAAAAAAAAAAAAAAGAAATGGTATTGATAGATGGTCACTGGGGGACCACTGCTCCTCCCCGACAGTATTTAAATAACTGGTATAGGCTGCAAGACTTACCAGATACCTGCTGCGTGAGCGAAGGTTTCTGAGTATGATCTCTATGCCATCCAACTAATATATCAACTGTATCCTTGATGGAAACAAAGAGAGAGGGGGCCAATCATTTTAAGATATTACTGCCATTCACCTGTGGACCATTTCACAGCAAAAGATCCTAAAAGGAGCATCTATGTTCTACCTACTTGACATTCTAGAAACTTAGAAAGGGGAGAGGGGCAGGAAAATAAAAGAACTACATTTCTGACAACAATGAAATAGTTTATTTTCTTCAAATATTTTAAGGTACGAACGTCAGAAAGAAAAATGCGGCATTTAACCCTGGAACCTCAAATATCACTGATTATATTCAAAGGAGCAGAGGCATTGTTTTCCATCTGATTCCTCAGTTCCTCACACACACAACCATCCCCCTCACCCCATGATCTGAACAACGGAATGAGGAACTCACCCTAAAATTAGCGCTGAAAATATGAGGGTAACATCGAGCCACCAAAAGAATGCACTTAACACATTTGCAAAGCAATTCTGGTGTATCCACATTTTCAAGAATTGACTGCAGGCTGGTCATTACAAGCTTAAAAATAAAAGTTACAAACCGTGAACATTCAACAAAATAGGGAGAAAACAAGCAAATTAGGTTCATTATTTACTGACTACATAAAAAACTGAGTATGAGACCAAGAAAAATAGATTCTGTAGTTTTAGTTAAAAAAAAAAAAAAATTCACTTGTAAATCCCAACTGCTTGGGAGGCTGAGACACAAGAATCGCTTGAACCCAGGAGGCAGAGGTTGCAGTGAGCTGAGATTGCACCGCTGCACTCCAGCCTGGACAATACAGCCAGAGTCCATCTCAAAAAAAATAATAATTAATAAATAAATAAATAAATTGAAAATATTTCGCTCCACTAAGATGTTAAGCTAAAAACAAATACTGCTTTCTCCTCTTCAATGTTTGTTAATATTAGTCCTTTGACATCAGTTAACATTAGTCCTTAATAACATCTGTTTACAATATCCCTAAATGCTCTCTTTAAGATTCTACCTGTGATTAAATTTCAAATACAAAAAAGTAAAATGGATTTGGGAAACTTTTCTATAAAGTACAACAATTACTTTGCAATCCAAAATATAAAGCAAATTTTATATAATTTATGCTTTAGTATATTAGTACTTGCTTCATATTAAAATTAAAGAAGATCAGTATGGCACCACACATGAATAACATGCAGGCTCAGGTTACCATTATACATAAATTTTTAAAATAAATATATGGCAAAAATAAAATAATAAATAACTATTTGTCATTCCATTGAAAGAATATTTATTTTGCAGCTGTTAAAAAACATTTTTCCCTAAAAAAGGAAAAGCTGCGCTTTACATAGCAATCTTATAAAAGAAATGCTAGAATCAGAAAACCATCATTTTACGCTGGGTGCAGTGGCTCACACCTGTAACCCCAGCACTTTGGGAGGACGAGGCAGGTGGATCACCTGAGGTCAGGAGTTCAAGACCAGCTTGGCCAGCATGATGAACTCCGTCTCTACTAAAAATATAAAAATTAACAGAGCACAGTGGCACATGCCTGTAATCCCAGCTACTCAGGAGGCTGAAGCAAGAGAACTGCTTGAACCTGGGAGGCGGAGGTTGCAGTGAGCCGAGATCGCGCCACTGCCCTCCAGCTTGGACAATAGAGCAAGATTACATCTCAAAAAAAAAAAAAAAGAGAAAAAGAAAACCATTATTTTGCAATAGCCAATGTTATAATCTACACAGGCACAGACTATCAATGCTAAAAATCATTTAAAAGACATCTTAAGGGTAATTACAGAAATTTGAATATAGAACACATATGTAATAAAATTCATTTTCTTAGGTATGATTACAATATTCTTGTTATACAGAAGAAAAACCTTATTCTTGGGAGATGCATACTAAAACATTATGGGGTGAACTGTCATCATGTATATGGTTTTCAGATGCTCAACAAAAGTGTGTGAGAAAATAAAACTGTGGCAAAATATTAGTAACTGGTAAATCTAGGTGAAGCATATATTATGAAATTATTATCGTATTTACAGGTATTTATTTTACTGGTGCATCTATCTTTCTATGAATGTGAGAATTTTCACAAGAGATGGGAAAATGTTCATAATTATGCATGCAGAATAAGCCCAAGCTGGTGGCATTCTGTTCAGTTACAGGTAATTTTCTGAATCCTCCCTCAAATTTTTCTCAAACCTCTATAATCAAGGGGGAAAATGTTTCGTTTTGTTTTGCTTTTTTGAGACAGGGTTGCCTATAATGGAGTGCAGTAGCTTGACCACAGCTCACTGTAGCTTCAACCTCCCAGGCACAAGCGATCCTCCTGCCTCAGCCTCCAAGTAGCTGGGATTACAGATGCATGCCACCACGCCCGACTTTTTTTTTTTCCTTTTTTTGATAGAAACAGGGTTTCACCATGTTGCCCAGGCTGGTCTCAAACTCCTGGACTCAGGCAATTCACCGGCCTCAGCCTCCCACAGTGCTGGGGTTACAGGAGTGAGCCACCATGCCCAGTTAAAAATACATTTTTTATTTAAAAAAAAAAAAAAAGAACATTCCTTATATTTCCTTTATATTTTTTAAACTACATACCCAAAATAAAGCATATCAAAAACTGTATTAAAAAAAAAACCCTAATATCAGATATTCCAAACACAACAATACCATAATTTAATCACTTAAAATCTTACTCAAAACTAAATCAATGATCTTTTAGGCCAGGTGTGGTGGCTCATGACACTAATCACAGTACTTTGGGAGGCTGAGGCAGGAGGATCACTTGAGGTCAGGAGTTCAAGACCAGCATGGCCAACACAATGAAACCCCATCTCTACTAAAAATACAAAAATTAGCCAGGCTAATGGCACACTCCTGTAATACCAGCTACTCGGGAGGCTGAGGCAGGAGAATCGCTTGAACCTGGGAGGCAGAAGTTGCAGTGAGCCGAGATCATGCCACTGCACTCCAGGCTGGACAACAGAGCAAGACTCTGCATCAAAAAAAAAAAAAAGGAATGATGTTTTAATATATTCAGATACACAAATGTGAAATAAAACTAAGTAGAGCTGGTATTCATTTACACATAATTATCTTATACCATTTGGAATAAGAATTTGGGGCACGTTAGCAAACCAAAAGGCTCAGAAAGAAGTTGTGATATTTAGTTCTTGTCTCCCTCTACAAATGTGAAGCACTCTTCTATCCAGCATTCCTAGTGGAGTTCCTATTTTCAAATTTGCAAATCATTCTGGTCCTAAGCAATCTCAAAAAAACATTTCTAAAAACCAAAGAGGAAAAAAATCCTTTTTTTTTTTTTTTTTTTTTTTTTTTTGAGACAGAGTCTGGCTCTGTTGCCCAGGCAATGGTGTGATCTCGGCTCACTGCAACCTCGGCCTCCCGGGTTCAAGCGATTCTCCTGCCTCAGCCTCCTGAGTAGCTGGGACTACAGGCACGTGCCACCATGCCTGGCTAATTTTTGTATTGTTAGTAGAGACGGGGTTTCACCATGTTGGCCGGGATGGTTTCGATCCCTTGACCTCATGATGTTCCCACCTCGGCCTCCCAAAGTGCTAGGATTACAGGCATATAGGCCACCGCGCTTGGCTGAGGAAAAAAATCTTAAAACTAACTTATTTCAAATCTAACTTCAACGTGTATCTTTTTTTTTCTTTTGAGACAGAGTCTCACTCTGTTGCCCAGGCTGGAGTGCAGTGGCGCGATCTCGACTCACTGCAAGCTCCGCCTCCCAGG
The DNA here is from genome assembly GCF_000001405.40 of Homo sapiens. NCBI lineage: Eukaryota > Metazoa > Chordata > Mammalia > Primates > Hominidae > Homo > Homo sapiens. Next base: position 29,558,212 of record NC_000016.10, read on the forward strand.
TTCACGGCATTCTCCTGCCTCAGTCTCCCAATTAGTTGAGACTACAGGTGCCCACCACCACGCCCGGCTAATTTTTTTTGTATTTTTAGTAGATATGGGGTTTCACTATGTTAGCCAGGATGGTCTCGATCTCCTGACCTCATGATCCGCCTGCCTCGGCCTCCCAAAGTGCTGGGATAACAGACGTGAGCCACCGCACCCGGCGTGTAAGCCAATTTCTTAGAAGAAATCTCTCCCTCTTTCTCCACATATATGCATATATGTATGTAGCACTAATCCTTGAACAGTGTATCCTTTACTCAAACTGAGAAAGAGGAATTTTTAAAACATATTTCCTATCAGTAGATAACCCCTATTCTATGTTTCCCTTCTTCAAGCTCCCCTCCAAGGACATGTGTTAAGGGACAATTTTCTTCCCAAGTACATCATGCATTTTTCCCCCTTCATTCTTACCTGCATTACAGATGAAAAGGCTTTCTTTTCTCCTACAGTCTCTAGTGCTTTGTAGGTGGCACATAAGTAGAGGAGTTTAACTTCATCTTTTGCAGATGAGCTAAATTTGCTAAAAATCCACTTGAAGATCTTCTCAGCCTCATAGCTCAGAGAAGCACAAAGAAGGCCAAGACAGCAAGCTCCCTCCTGTCTCAACTCCTGAAGCAATTTGCTACTGTGTTTATTTTAATGCAAACAAAAAACACACACAAAAGGCTTAAGTTTTCTATGATGACACGAGTAATACATCTTACAAAAGAATGTCTTAAGTGGTTTTTTAAATTTCTATTCAAACTACATAAAAGGTTGAAATTTTCTCCACTCTAAATACTACATTCTGTCTAGCCTGCATTGCCCTCAAGTATCTGTCTGACATTACTTTCTTTTTACAAAATCAATTATTTACAAACAGTGAGGGAAGGCCCAAAAATGCTAAATTCCATCTCAAACTGTATTAAATAACTCTCAGAAAAGGGCAGCAACAAATAATTAGATAAAACACTCTATACATAACTACATTCTACATAATATCCAATATGTAATGACTATAAAATAAAAAATGGTAATAGTTAAATACAGAAACTTAAAAGGATAACAGTAATGATTTACATAGAACTTTAATAAGTAACTCTATAAAACAAAACCATCAAAAGGCACTAAGGTTTATGACCAGCTGAGATAAATTTTGGGTACTTGCCAACACTGCAAATCTTTGGGAATCACCATAACAAAAAATGACCACACACCTCTGGAGACGCTAATAGCCAGAGAATATATGGTTTGGATCCACTCTTACCCAAAGAAGGAAATTCCTTTTTACCTCTATTCTCTAAGCAGTTTCAAATTCTCTAGTTTACAAAAACTAATTTTATTCTTCATGCCTGCATCAAGAGTTTATGCCATTCCATAAGTCAAGACTCAGTTATCCAGTGAGACTAGTAAATTAAAAAAATAAAATATTCCAGCCAGGCACGGTGGCTCATGCCTGTAATCCCAACACTTTGGAAGGCTAAGGTGGGTGGATCACCTGAGGTCAGGAGTTCCAGACCAGCCTGGCCAACATGGTGAAACCCTGTCTCTACTAAAAATACAAAAATTAGCTGGCAGTTGTGGTGCATGCCTGTAGTCCCAGCTACTCGGGAGGCTGAGGCAGGAGAATCACTTGAACCCGGGAGGTGGAGGTTGCAGTGAGCTGAGATCGCACCACTGCACTCCAGCCTGGGCGACACGGTGAGACTCTGGCTCAAAAAATAAATATTCTTTTCAAGTGGATTCCATTTGTATTCAACCGTAATTAACACATAATTAATGCAGATAAAAATGACAAGACCCACTGAAATGTCAATAGATGTTCATAAACAAAGCCAGTGGGTTTGTCTTCTTGTGTATTGTTAAGTAATTTCTAAAAATATATTTTAAAGTCATTTAAACCGAACCATTATTAGTTACTTACCTTTCATTAAGCACATCATGTGCAGCAGCCAAGATATTATCCAATTGTTTAACTAGTACCTTTAAAAGAAAACACATTTATAAAAACTTCAAATTCCTATACTTTTAAGAATAGCATTGTGTACTTTTTTACTTGTCTTCCCCTCCAAATTCTAATTCAACAGTACTTTACTTTCTTTATTATTCCCACTCCCCAATGAGCATGTATCAGGAATGTCATGTTTCCTTTCAGCCTATGAAAGAAATTCACCCACTGGAAACATAGAGCTGTGATCATCAACAAAAAAATAAACTCAAAAAGTTTGTTTTATTTACTTTGAAATCCATTTGAAAAATTGACTGATGGATGGAGGGATAGATGGAGAGATATGTGACAAGGCAGTATTTAGGGCAAAACATTAACGACAAAAATTAGATGATGGGTTTAACAGATTCAATGTCAAATTCTTTCAACTTGCTATATATTTGAAACTACTCATAATAAAATTTGGAAGGAGGAGAAACTTGCTTTGATCCAAGTGTCATCTGCCTCACTAGACCATTTTCATTAATTTTCTCCTGCTCATTGTCAAGTTCTTTTTTTTTTTTTTTTTTTAAGATGGAGTTTCACTCTTTTCGCCCAGGCTGGAGTGCAATGGCGTGATCTCAGCTCACTGCAACCTCCGTCTCCTGGGTTCAAGCGATTCTCCTGCCACAGCCTCCCATGTAGCTGGAATTACGGTCATGTGCCACCACGCCCAGCTAATTTTGTATTTTTAGTAGAGATGGGGCTTCACTATGTTGGGCAGGCTGGTATCGAACTCCTGAACTCAGGTGATCCGCCCACCTTGGCCTCCCAAAATGCTGGGATTACAGGCATGAGCCACCACACCTGGCCCATATCAAGTTCTTAATTGGTGTAAAGAAAGTGAAGAAAAAAATTTAACCCTTCCTATACTTTGTTACATTTCTGTTGTTGTTTTAAGAGACAAGGACTCCCTCTGTCGCCCAGGTTGACATGCAGAGGTGTGATCATATCTCACTGCAACCCTGAATTCCTGGGCTCAAGTGATTCTTCCACCTCAGCCAGGTGTAGTGGCACATGCCTGAAGTCCCAGCTACTCAGGAGGCCACAGCGGGAGGATAGCTTGAATCCAGGAGTTTGAGACTGCAGTGAGCTATGATTGTGCCACTGCACTCCAGCCTGGGTGAGAGCAAGATCTTGTCTTTAAGAAGAAAAAGAAATTACATATTAGAGAGCATTAAGTTCTTGATCATCATAATACAGACTTTCCCCATTCTTAAACTACTCAAGGTAGCATTACCTAGTTTATTATGGAAACACAAAAATCCTCATATTTCCAAACATACTATACTTACCAGCTTATTTTCTGGTTGCTGAATAAATTCTTTCAACTGCTTTACAGTGACCAATCTTCAGTCTCTGTCGTCTTCCCGGGTGATCCTCCGAAGAAGATTTGACAGTCGAGACTCATCACAATAAGACATCGATCTCTCTGTGAATATATAAACATTTTGTTGTCCATTGAGTATAAATAAGCAAAGGAATTTTTAAATTTTAAAATAATTTTTAAATTTTTAAAATTAAAAATTATTTAAATAATAATTAAATTATTATGGTGGCTCATGCCTGTAATCCCAGTACTTTGGAAGGCGGGTAGATCACATCAGTTCAGGAGTTTGAGACCAGCCTGGGCAACATGGTGAAACCCTGTCTCCACAGACACACAAAAAATTACATAAACTAGCCAGCCAAGGTGGTGTGCACCTGTAGTCCCAGCTACTCGGGAGGCTGAGGCAGGAGAATCACTGGAGCCCATGAGGTGGAGGTTGCAGTGAGCCGAGATCACCCCACTGCACTCCAGCCTGGGTGACAGAGCAAGACCCTCTCTCAAAAATAAAATTACATCAAAAGTCACAGTCCACTGGTCAATAAAAGCTCAGGGAATATAGGTCCTATCGCTCTTTTGTTCAACTCTATATTCCAAATCCCAGCAGAGTGCCTGGCACATAACAGACCCTCAAAAAAATATTTGCTGAAGGAAACGAGAAATGAATAACCCTAGGCCAGCTGAACACCTCATTCCAGAGGACTGGCTGGGAGAGAAAAAAGAAAGGCCTTAGTAACAACTTCCTTTGGGTCCATTCCAAACTGTTTTCAACATGCAGGTAAAGAGCCTGGGTGTAGGTAAATTAAACAACTTCCAAGGGGTACGGATAAAGCCTCAATCGAGTAAAAACAGGATATAGGCTTCTACTTATCATCTAGGTATCCCACTGGAGGAAAGCCTCTTATTCACATTATCATCATTTCCCTGGGATGAAGTTTTGGGGAGCCATAATCACACATTTAGTTCAACAAATGTCTAATTATCATCTACCACATGCAAGGCATGCCTCCACTAGAAAGGTAGCAAACCACAACTTTTCTCCCCTTATTTTTTAATCACAAGAACAAGCACACAATAGTGAATACTATTAGTATATTAACAATGCCTTTAAAAACTAGATTTTTGCTGGGCGAGGTGGCTCTTCCCTGTAATTACCCAGCACTTTGGAAGGGCAAGGCAGGCAGATCACTTGAGCCCAGGAGTTCGAGACCAGCATCGGCAACATGGTACAACCCCATCTCTACGAAAAATACAAAAATTAGCTGGGCACAGTGGCACATGCCTGTAATCCCAGCTACTCAGGAGGCTGAGGTGGGAGGATCGCTTTAGCCTGGGAAGCAAAGGTTGCAGTGAAATCACACTAGTGCATTCCAGCCTGCGTGACAGAGCGAGACTGTCTCAAAAAACAAAACAAAACAAAAAACTCAATTTTTGCAAAACATTTTCAACTGTGCTATTTACCATAATTAGCCAATACATACGTAAACAACAAATCACAAAGGGTCTGACAGTTTCATTTCTAAGGTATGAGAAAAAATTGATAATAAAAGAAACCAGAAGGCTGGGCGTGGTGGCTCACACCTGTAATCCCAGCACTTTGGGAGGCCGAGGAGGGCAGATCACGGGGTCAGGAGATTGAGACCTGCCTGGCCAACATGGTGGAACTTCGTCTCTACTAAAGATACAAAAAATTAGCCGGGCATGGTGGCACGCTCCTGTAATCCCAGCTACTCGGGAGGCTGAGGCAGGAGAATCACTTTAATCTGGGAGGTGGAGGCTGCAGTGACCTGAGATCGCGCCATTGCACTCCAGCCTGGGTGACAGGGAGATACTCCATCTCATAGATAAATAAATAAATAACTACAAGGGGAGCAAAACACACTGGATCCTTTTGGAGGGTGGGGGGTGGGAGGAGGGAGAGGATCAAGAGAAACAACCAATGGGTACCAGGCTTAATACCTGGGTGATAAAATAATCTATACTACAAACCCTCATGACACAAGTTTACCAGTGTAACAAATCTGCACTTGTATCCTGAATTTAAAAGTTAAAAAAAAAAAAAAAAAAAAAAAAGAAACTACAATGTCTGAGAGAAGAATAGGATTTTTACAAATCCGTAGCCCATAGAGTATTTCAATAAGGACAGATACCAAAAATGTCATCAAGTTACCAGCTGGGAAATTAGGCTCTACTTACAATTCTGTCACTAGCAAACTACCTTTGAAGAAGAGGAATTGTTTACTGAACTACTTTAGAGTCACTGTTTAGCTTCTATAATATCATAAGTCTAAGGCTTCAAACACTCTGTTTTAACAAACAGCATACATAGCCTTTGAATTCATTCCACTTGTGAAAACATAAAAAGAAATCAGTTTTTTAAAAGTTATATACCAACAATAAAAGCTACAGGCACAAAGATTTTCACCAAGATACACGAAGCACACACACAGTATAAAAAAAAAAAAAAGTCAAAAACTAAATGTCCAAAAAGTAATTACATCTGACAAAGCCCATAACTCAGCTTTACCGATAAATTTCTCTTTAAGGAAAAAAATTATCATTACCTCTAATCCTCTGAACTTTCTTTTTTGTTGTTGTTTTTTTGAGACGGAGTCTCGCTCTGTTGCCCAGGCTGGAGTGCAGTGGTGCACTCAGCTCACTGCAAGCTCTGCCTCCCGGGTAGCTGGGACTACAGGCGCCCACCACCGCGCCCAGCTAATTTTTTGTATTTTCAGTAGAGACAGGGTTTCACCGTGTTAGCCAGGATGGTCTCGATCTCCTGACCTCGTGATCTGCCCGTCTCAGCCTCCCAAAGTGCTGGGATTACAGGCGTGAGCCACTGCACCCGGCCAATCCTCTGAACTTCCAAGGCACTCACCTATACAGTGAGGCTACGCCATAAGGCAGAAATGCTATCAGTGTATTTAACTTTAGAAAAGTGCCCACTCTAGGCAGGGCCCAGTGGCTCACGCCTGTAATGAGCACATGTGATCACTTAAGGTCAGGAGTTCGAGACCAGCCTGGCCAACATGGTGAAACCCTGTCTCCACTAAAAATGCAAAAATCAGCTGGGTGTGGTGGCATGTACCTGTACTCCCAGCTACTTGGGAGGCTGAGGCACGAGAATCACTTGAACCTGGGAGGCGGAGGTTGCAGTGAGGAGAGATTGCAGCACTGCGCTCCAGCCTGGGTGACAGAGCAAGACTCTGTCTCAAAAAAATATATTGAAAACAACAACAAAAAAACCAGAAAAGTACCCACTCTAGGGGGCGGGGGGAAGGAGAGCATCAGCAAGAATAGCTTAATGGATGCTGGGTTTAATACCTAGATGATGGGATGATCTGTGCAGCAAACTATCATGGCACACGTTTACCTACATAACAAACCTGTACATCCTGCACATGTACCCTGAACTTAAAAGAGAAAAAAAAAAAAAAGACAGAAAAGTACCCCCTCTATATATATATCTATATCCTCCACAGGCCCAAGAGTTCAAGGACTTGCTGTAGTAAGAGCCTACTATGCACTATACATTCAATATCCACGATAATTGGGTAAACCTTTTCTGTAAGATCTTATCCAGTCTTCTAATCTTGTTTTAAGAGAATTCTCTTTTAAAATGTACTATAACCTTTCTAGTGGGAAATTAACAATTCACAGGAAAAGAATGTAAACAATTTTTACCTGCACAGTAGACTAATCAACTTATGCCTGTGCAAGGCGTTAGTAAGAGGCATCCAGAATAAGAGGAGATACAAGTCTTTGGAAGGTGTATGTGATTGGTCCCCATTTTCCCAGACTTACCCTGTGATTTCCTCATGTCTTTGGTGGCTAAAGCACGACTGCCATGCTGAACACTGGTGAACTCAGGGCTGGTCACATTGTTAACCCTCAGCTCTTGCCCCAACGACTTCCGACCATAAGTATTTTCCCCAGATCCTCCATTGACACTGTAGCCACCTACAAACAGCAATGTGTACGTTATTTAAATATGATTGTTCGTTTCATTCAGTCAATTTCCTGATAGCTCAGGATCTTACTACTCAATCTGCAGCTCAACCAGCCTTTGCTTCTCCTACCTTTTTCCTGTACTGTCTGCCTTGAAAATCATTTTCATTTCTTTTAATACACCTTTGAAGTTAAATTAATTTTATTTTGATCCCTTCATTGGAAAATAAGCAAAGAAATGAAAACTAAATTAAATCAAATTTTGCACCTTAAAACTTTCTTGAAGTTTAGAGACAGTAGCCAAGAGGAACTTCAACCTTAGCTAAATATTTTTGAAAATAAAAACAAAAATAGTATTGTATCTTTTTTGTAAGAAAACTGCATTGATGAATTATGTACGGAAAAATTTTAAATTTTAAAAATAATAAAGTGGATAAACGTCCTATGAAGTTTTCAGAAATAACACTGCATTTGTTATTCGTATTTTAAATATATTAGAAGAAAGCGAGAAAGTTGGGGGTGTAAGAAGGCAAGAAGGTGGGATAGGTAGGTTCAAAAAACATGCTTGTAGCAATAAGAAAATATATATACCCTTTTCGTCATTCTGTATGTCAGCGTGGACTCTGGTATCATCGTGCCTTTGCCGAGACACCACAGCTGAATTTGAAGGTTGCAGTCCGTAAGAGGAAGAACCACCTCTATCTCTGGATGAAGAATATTTTAAATTACCTGGGTCAGCTGATGCACTATCAGTTCTATAAAAAGAGAAAAGTTTAAGATTAGAACTTTAAATAACATAAATAAATCTTTCTTTAAACAAGCCTCTCTTCTCCCAAATTTTACATTTAACCATTACTATTGTATTTAATGTAATATGTACTATATATTATATGTAAGCACTCAGCCGTCTAATAAGAAGTCTTTCACTGGGAAGAGATTCTCAATGGATGAAATGCCAACTTTTCAGTCTCTTCTACTGTTCTAAAGACCCATTCAGAAATACGAATAACTACTGGGATTAGGGTGACTTTGCTGGTTTTAGCATTGAAAGCCTCCTGTCCCAGGCAAAACAGGACAATTGGTTACTCTGGTCCAGTGTTCTCCTCACATGACTTGATAATAAGAATAATTCTTTCTAAATTCTCCCCCATGGAGAGGGTTAATCAGTCAAAACATTTCAGCCTTTCCTATCATAAAAATAAAAAACACTGGCAGCATGTCAGGGACAGGCAATGTCTTACCAAGTTATTTTCTAAGTACTGATTAGGTACTGTAGTATTGAAGACCCCATTGAAGATGCCTTAATTGTAAAGGTAGCAATCAAAATTTTAAAAAGTAAAAAAGAAGACATTTTAAGAAAATAAAAGGTATCAGAAATGCAATAACGTTATATCGGAAAGTTGTAGTTCATAATCTATTTAAAATTTAGGTACTGTTTAGAATAATACCTGATGCTTATTAGTAAACAAGTAGGGTACAGCCAAGGGTAAAAGTTTGTCCTCATCTAAGTATCTGCTCTACGCTTCAACTGCCTCATAAGTAAAACAGAGCTGAGTTACAAGACTTCTCACGAGTGTTACTCTTTCAGCCATCAATCATAAACTATTAAGAAAGAAGACAACAAAATAATCTGTTATAGCATATGAAAAATCCAAGTAAGTTCTTCCCCTACTGATTTTCTCCTGAGAGGAACAACTTTGAGGAAAAAAAAAAAGAAAATCACTTCTATGATATTTACTAAAAATGCTTTCTCAACCTTTTAGAACCTGAATCTTTTAGAAAAGTTTAGGACACTGGCAAGGCCAGAAACTAACCTATTCCTCTACGCTTTGCCCCTCTATGGTGTAAAAGTGACAGCAGTGTTTGTATACTGTATATATTTCATTTAGAGTTTATTAGTCTTTCCTTGCTCCCAAAAATACTAAACATAAAACTTTGCATGAGCTCAATCAGTTGGACACCTTGATCTGCACTTACTGCAATCACTGTTAATACAGAATGCAGACAATAGGTCCAATTAAACTTGGATATCTAACTGGTACAAGTCATTACTTACAAAGGATCTCAATCTGAAACTTCATGAAATTCAAAACCTAGCATACTAAAATGACTACGGCTCCATAAGGAGTACCTTCTAATATTCAGAGTTCGCTTATTCATAAAGCTAAGTACTTCGAACATAAGGGAAAATTAAATCTATGGAATTTCAAGAAAAATGTATGAGAATATTTTCTGAGTATACTAAGTCTATAAGCATTAAAATATTAACTCAATGGACCATAACTTTTTTAAACTAATGAAAAGACATTCCTTATGTACCTAAAAATAGCACATTTAACATGCGTCTATATAAATCATAGCATACCATTACTTTCTGAAAGGAGACTGAAATGTAAGAGAGCTTATAATCTTTTCTGACAGGGTGTGAACTTTATATGTACGCCACAGTAAGCTCTTATTAGATGAGCAAATAAAATAAGCACTTGACTAATTCAGAAACACAAAGATAACTGAAGTCTGCCAATATTTAAACATATCTTCACTTCCTGTTTTCATCATGTTTACTTATCTCCTATACTACCTTTACTATTAAGAGTTAAATGTTTGTATCATTTTCTGGTGACACAGTAGTACCATAAGGCAGCAGAGAATACAAGTTAAAAAAAGATCTGGGCTCAAATCCCAGCTCCAGCACTGAAAAGTATGTGTGCCTTTGCACAAATTACTTGATCTCCAAGCCTTGGTTGTCTCTTGCATAAAATGAGGATGATACCTATCTAACATGTAAGGTTGTTGTGAGGCTTAAATAAGATAATGAATTATAAAGAAACACTTAGTTTGCAGGGTATGTTAAAAGTTATTATGACCATAATACAAAATAAACTCAGTTTCCAGTCTAAAAGACAATGTACAAACAGTTCATGAGTATATGAATATAATCAAAACAAGTTTTTACAGTCAATATAGAGCAACTTAAATACTTCACTGAAGAAAGCAGGTAATCTGTGGCTACCAACAATGTGTTTCCAACTAGGAAGCATCTGATTTCAAACTAAACTGTAAAACCAGGAGCAGCTTCCCCATTGGTTAGAAATAAGGTTTCTAAATCCCCTAAGTTATGAACACTGAGATTTTTTTCCCAAAAAAATTTGTGTTTTCAGAAATATAGCAAAAAAACTGGAATAGAGCCACTGTCTCAGAAATACCTGAAAACTCCCTAGCTGCCAAATTATTTTAATACAAATTGATCAAAGCATCCCCAACCAGAACTCAGGTTGTAAGCATTCTGAACCTAAAAGCACAAAATGGTTTAGCATTTATACGAAATTTCTATTTTTATACAATCTTGACTGCTTAGGTTTCAAAAAATGTCAATGTCAGGCTGTTAGCACCAACAAGATCATCCCAGTCCAATAAATAGAAAACTGTTAAAGAACGGGAATGAGAACTTAAAATGAGGCAATCAAAGCCACAAAATAGAAACTGCAGATTTGAACTCCAAGAAGCAGGCATGAATGTTAGGCTAGTTAGTTAGAAGAGCTGAAAGGGATATCATCTGCCAGAATTAGTGTCTCAATTTAGTGAAAAAAGAAAATCTATCTGTTAAGTCTAAGAATCCTAACAAGGATCCAAAAATACTTCTACAGCCCCTTTAATATTCTAAAAATATCATGGAGAGAAAAAAAAAGAAATGCATAAATTTCCCCAAAACGATCAAACTAAAGTTAAAGCCTGAGGTACATGCCACATGAGAGGTAAGTTTCTAAAGCTCATACCTCAAAAATCGCATACTGTGTAACATGGAGCCTTTGTGATGTTTTGCATCAAGTCAATCTGTAAGACAGTAGTTACAATATTAGTGAAGACAGTGGGTTAAAACATTTGTTGTTCAAACATGGAGCAAATATCATTCATGAGTTAGGTGCCTTTAGTTGAACTATGGTCCCATTAGGGTTCATACATTAAAGCAAAAATTGAGGTGGAAAGCCACTCCGTGCCTTACAGGATAAAGAGGCTTAATGTGGCAACCAAAAAATTTTTAGTACATAAGAGAATTTAAATGTTAACTATAACATACAAATCACATGCAAATATAGTTACCACTTATTTTAGTTACCTCTTCTCAATATACAGAAAAATGCCACAAATCTAGGAGGCCACTGGTTTCAAATGACCGGAATCCTTAGACCTCACACCAACAATCCACCATGTGGTGGGGATGGTATCGCCTGACTAAATGTAGTCTTGCAGTCCATTCTTGTAAGTATTAGAGAGAAAAAGAGAGAGAGCGTCATCTCTGCAAAGTGTGAAGTCAGGGACTTCCCTACTAGGAAGCATTTCCATAAAGCACCCCAAAATGACTTGATGCAAACACCACACCTAGTGGTGTCACTGGAGTAAGCATCATATTACTTCAAATTGCTTTTACCTAGGTTTATTAAGGGATTTTGCTCTCATGCTGAGATCTAATTTGTAATGGATATAAACCAGGAAATGAGATTTGCACTAAAGCCAATGAAGTAGGAATGTACTTATTCTCTAAAGTAGCAAAGATAGTCTCACTGTCACAGAGCAGTTATAGGATATGTTGCTTTCCATACTAATGGTTAATACCACTTGGAAATGATTTACCCTTCAAAAATAAATTCAAGGTTTTCCCCTGTAATGCCTCTTACCTGGATTCAAACATGCTTTAATGAGGAATAAGAGAAAGGGTGAAACTATGAATAACCCCGGGCCTTGTATCATTACATTAGAAACACTGCTCTAAATATGAGTCTATGGCTAAAATATTAATTTGAGAGGCTCAGGGAATTTATTATACAAATCTCTTCTTGCAGAGAACTTTAAGTTCAAATTTAATAAAACAAAACAGAACCATTCCACGTCAAAATTGTAAATGAGTATGCATCAGTTTTGCAATACTGAGATACTAAATTAATATAATTTATTGGTAAAACTAGTTTAACTACCTCAGTATTAAGTGTCTATAATAACCAAATCTTAATTATCCATTTATGGGTGATTTGTTTCCTTTTTTGAGACAGGGTCTCACTCTGTCACCCAGGCTGGAGTGCACTGGCATGACCATAGCTCACTGCAGCCTCGACTTCATGGGTTCAGCCTCTCAAACAGCTGGGACCACAGGTGCATGCCACTCCATTTAGCTAATTTTTTATTTTTATGTTTTTTGGAGACAGGTGTCTGATTATGTTGCTCAGGCTGCTCTCAAATTCCTGGACTCAAGCAATCCTCCTACCTCAGCCTCCCAAAATGCTAGGATTAGAGGCATGAGTGACCACATCTGGACTGTCACCAATTTTTAACTGTCTCTCAACTAAACAGCCAATATAGACTGATAAAATATACTTAACTATTGTAAAATTGTAAAGAATTGTATCTTCACCAAGGAGAGGTCTGGCTTTTACCTGTGAATTCTGGAAGGTAATCTCTAAACTCTTGAAATGTCATACCTAATAAGAGGGTCCTGGCCAGGAGCAGTGGCTCACACCTGTAATCCCAGCACTTTGGGAGGCCAAGGCGGGCAGATCGCTTGAGGTCAGGATTTTGAGACCAGCCTGGCCAGCATGGTGAAACCTGTCTCTACTAAAAATACAAAAATTAGCCAGGCATGGTGACGGGCACCTGTAATAATCCCAGCTACTCAGGAGGCTGAGGTTTCAGTGAGCTGAGATCATGCCACTGTACTCCAGCCTAGGCAACAGAGCAAGACTATCTCCAAAAAAAAAAGGGGGGGGGGGCGGCGGTGGGGGGAAAGTGTCCTTGTTCATCTGGGGGCTTTAGGCCACAGCAGAGTCTAATAATGTGGCTTATGGTGGGGGCTTTGAGTCACATGGATCAGCTTGACCTCCAGTGGGGCTGGAGACTAAGGTTAGCCACATGGGCATGCAACCATGGAACCCCAGTAAAAACGTTGGACATAAAAAATAGAGTGAGCTTCCCTGGTTGGCAATAATCCATGAGTATGGTCGCACACCAGTGCCACCAGGAAGGTGTCATTTTTCACAACTCTACAGGGACAGGACAATTCAAAACTCCAACATTTGGAACTTCCCCGAACTCTGCCCTATGCACCTCTACCCTTGGCTCATTCTAATCTGAATCCCTAAACTGCAATAAACTCTAACTATGGGTATGAGAGCTTTCAATGAGTTCTGGTGAGTCCTCCTGGCAAATCATCCAACCTAAGAGTGGTCTTGGCCAGGCACAGTGACTCAAGCCTGTAATCCCAGCACTTCGGGAGGCCCAGGCAGGCGGATTACTTGAGCTCAGGAGTTTGAGACCAGCCTGGCAATATGGTGAAACTGTCTCTAAAAAATATAGAAAAACTAGCCAGGCGAGGTGGTGTGTGCCCATAGATCCAGCAACTCAGGTGGTTGAGGTAGGAGGACTGCCTGAACCTGGGAGGGAGGAGGTCAGGGCACAGTGAGCCGTGATCATGCCACTGCACTCTCGCCTGGGTGACAGAGAGAGGCCCTGTCTCAAAAAAAAAAAAAAAGAGTGGTCTTGGGAACCCCCAAACTTGCAACTAGTATTAGAAGCAAGGGTCATCTTATGGACTGGACTCCCTCTTACTCTGCACTCATATTTAAAACCATTAAATATACTGTAGCTCAAAAAAAATTGCTCCTTTGTTTTGAAAAAGGGTCTCACACTGTCGCCCAGGCTAGAGTGCAGTGGCGCAATCCGAGCTCAAGCAAACCTCCCACATCAGCCTCCCAAGTAGCTGAGACCACAGGCTTACCCCACCACGCCCAGCAACTTTTGTATTTTTTTGTCCCATTCTCTACAACATTCCCAAAATGTTGCCCAAGCTGGTCTCGCACTCCTGAGCTCAAGTGATCCACTCACCTCAGCCTCCCAAAGGGTTGGGATTACAGGCATAAGCCACTGCACCCGGCCATAAATTTTGTTTTTTAGTAACATTTCTAGCAAACATGATAAAGATTTGACTTCAGTGTTGCTTATTTTCCTTCCAAGGAACCTCTAATATTCTCTATTTTCAGAACTCCAATCAAATTAGCCAGAAAGAGCAAACGAAGCCAATAAATCTAGGAGGGCAATAGATCTGATTTTAACCCTTGTTTCACATGCACAATTGTCTTCAGAGAAAAGCTGAAGAAAGTACCCCCTCACCTCCATGCCCCAATGCTCCTTTTCTCTGACTTCAAGTGGGCCTCTGATGCTGCCCACATTTCCCTCACCAGGTTTCTTTCCTTTCCAAAACATCTGTAAAACTTTCTGCACCTTCTTCCTTCTCCCACCACTACCAGTGGATGACCTTATAGATTTCTGCTCCATGAGAAATAGAAGCCATTTGACAGCACCCTCAGCAAGAGCTAACATTTTAGCTCCTAACAAGAGCTAGTGGGCAACTGATCCAAGCAGTTTACAAATGTTTATCATGTCATTTCGTGTTCAACACAATCCTATTAGTTATAACTTGATAACTAAGGTTTCATAACTGGCCTAAGGTTGCACAGCTTGTAAAAGGCAGAGTCAGAACTCAGACCCAGTACTGTCTAATGTTTGAGCTCTTCAACACTCCATCGCTGCCTGTCATCTTCCTTCTAATATATCCACAAATTCACCTGCATCTGCACATACACCTTTTCTTCCCATCATCTTCCCATAATGGAACAAATAAACCTCCTATCCATAGAAATCATCTGGATCTGTCTATTCCCCCCATTTTCCAAGGTATGTCTTGTCTTTTTTTTTTGAGATGTAGTCTCGCTCTGTCGACCAGGCTGAAGTGCAGTGGCGTGATCTCGACTCACTGCCTCCCGGATTCACGCCATTCTCCTGCCTCAGCCTCCCGAGTAGCTGGGACTACAGGCGCCCACCACCACGCCTGGCTAATTTTTTGTATTTTTAGTAGAGACGGGGTTTCACCATGTTAGCCAGGATGGTCTCGATCTCCTGACCTCGTGATCTGCCCACCTTGGCCTCCCCAAAGTGCTGGGATTACAGGCTTGAGCCACTGCACCTGGCCTGTTTCTTTTGTACGTTGCAAAATCTCCCATTTTACTACTGCTTATCACATCGTCAACATATGAGCACTCTCAAAAGTCTTACTTTAAAAAAAACAAAAACAAAAACAAAAACAAAAAATGGCCGGGCACGGTGGCTCACGCCTGTAATCCCAGCACTTTGGGAGGCAAAGACAGGCAGATCATAAGGTCAGGAGATTGAGACCACCCTGGCCAACATGGTGAAACCCCATCTCTACTAAAATAGAAAAAATAAAACTACCTGCGCATGGTGGCACGCACCTGTAGTCCCAGCTACTTGGGAGGCTGAGGCAAAGGAATCATTTGAACCCGGGAGGCAGAGCTTGCAGTGAGCCGAGATCGTGCCACTACACTCCAGCCTGGTGACAGAGCAAGACTCTGTCTCAAAAAAAAACTAAAGGCCGGGTGCAGTGGCTCACGCTGGTAATCCCAGCACTTTGGGAGGTCAAGGTGGGAGGATCATGAGGTCAGGAGTTCAAGACCAGCCTGGCCAATGTAGTGAAACCCCGTCTCTACTAAAAATACAAATATCAGCCAGGTGTGGTGGCGAGCGCCTGCAATCCCAGCTACTCAGGAGGCTGAGGCAGGAGAATCGCTCGAATCCGGGAGGCAGAGGTTGCAGTGAGCCGAGATTGCACCATTTCACTCCAGCCTGGGCGGCAGAGAGACTCCATCTCAAAAATAATAATAATAATAAAATAAATTTAAAAATTAAGAAAATAAGGCCGGGCACGGTGGCTCACGCCTGTAATCCCAGCACTTTGGGAGGGCGAGGCAGGCAGATCATGAGGTCAGGAGTTTGAGACCAGCCTGGGCAACATAGTGAAACCCCGTCTCTACTAAAAATACAAAAAATTAGCCGGGTGTGGTGGTGGGCGCCTGTAATCCCAGCTAGTTGGGAGGCTGAGGCAGGAGAACTACTTGAACCCCGGAGGCGGAGGTTGCAGTGAGCCGAGGTCGCGCCATTGCACTCCAGACCGGGCAACAGTGTGAGACTCTGACTCAAAAAAAAACAAAAAACAAAAAAACCCTTTAACTGCCTTTCTCCCTCTATCAATCTAATAGCCTGGACTCTTCACAGACAAACCTGTTGAAAAATTTATCTTCCTTGCCTTCATTTACTTTTTAACCCACTTTAATCTGGGTTCCACCTGCAACACACCACTGAAGCTATTCCTACTAAGATAGGAACTGCCACTCAAGGCCTTCTTGGCTCTAAAAGCCCATGAGCCTTTATCAGTTCACCTTACAATTTCTCAATACCATTCTAAAGTTTATGAGTTTTTTAACTTTAATTCCAGTGACTCTTTCTACTTTATCCCAATCCAAGTATTCTCCTCCTTCTTTACTTTTTTTTTTTTTTTTTTTGAGACAGACTCTGACTTTGTTGCCCAGGCTGGAGTATAGTGGTGCAATACTGGCTCACTGCAACCTCCACCTCCAGGTTCAAGCGATTCTCCTGCCTCAGCCTCCCAAGTAGCTGAGATTACAGGCCCCTGCTACCACACCCGGCTAATTTTTGTATTTTTAGTAGAGACAGGGTTTCGCCATGTTGGCCAGGCTGGTCTCGAACTCCTGACCTCAAGGGATCCACCCGCCTCGGCCTCCCAAAGTGCTGGAATTACAGGCGTGAGCCAACGTGCCCGGCCCCTTCTTCACTTCTTTAACCAGCTTAGATTTCATTGTGTATCATTTCAACAACACTCTTGCCTATACCCTTAACTCTTAAGATTTTCATCACAGCCATCTGGCAAAACCCCAATCCTGGATAAACCCAACGATCCATCAATAAGCACCACACTCCCAGGTCCTCCAGTGTTTACTTCCCATTCTATACATGCACTATCCAGACATTCCCATTCTCTTCAAATTCCAAAATATCCTATCCACCTGCCCTCCCCATACACACATTCTACTTCACCAACAACAAAAAAAAAGGTACCAGCTGGGCACGGTGGCTCACACCTGTAATCCCTGCACTTTGGGAGGCCAAGGCAGGTGGATCACTTGATGTCAGGAGTTGGGACACCAGCCTGGCCAAAATGGTGAAACCTCATCTCTACTAAAAATACAAAAATTAGCTGGGTGTGGTGATGCGCACCTGTAATCTCAGCTACACGGGAGACTGAGGCAGGAGAATCGCTTGAACCCAGGAGGTGGAGGCTGCAGCGAGCCAAGACTGCACCACTGCACTCCAGAGCCTGGGCAATAATAAGAGCGAAACTCCGTCTCGGGGTAGGGTGGGGAAGATACCATAAAATATCTGCACCCGATTCTAGACCTTACTGAGGATTCCATCTACTTCCACCTTACTGTAACTTTGCAAATACTTTTCCCACTGAACTAAATCCCCCCCATAAACAAGCAACACTTTCTAATGTATCCCATTGAAAAATACAAAAACATATAAAAAGGAAAAACTCCATCAATCCCACATGTCCCTCCATCAAACAATCTGCCTTACTTGCTGCAGCCAAACTAAAGTTGTCTAGACTCCCCTCTCCCATTTCTTCAGTTCTTCTAGCTCCTTAACACACACTGGTCCAATTTCTGCCCCATCACTCTTGGCAAAATCCATTATGACCTCCAGGCTGCTAAATCCAAGATACAGTTCAGGCCTCAATCTGCTCATCCTTTCAGCAGCTTTCACAGGGCTGCTGAGTAGGGTTGAGCAGTTTTGCCCTGCACACAGGTGCCCTGCAGAGGAATGAGGTGGGCTGAATGAAACTCCTTTTTTAAAAATTCTCGGCTGGCATAGTGGCTCACGCCTGTAATCCCAGCACTTTGGGAGGCTGAGGCAGACGGATCACTTGAGGTCAGGAGTTCAAGATCAGCCTGGCCAATATGGCGAAACCCCATATATTAAAAATACAAAAATTAGCTGGGCGTGGTGGCGGGCACCTGTAATCCCAGCTACTCAGGAGGCTGAGGCAGGAGAATCACTTGAACCCAGGAGGCGGAGGTTGCAGTGAGCCGAGACTGCGCCACTGCACTCCAGCCTGGGCAACAAGAGAGAAACTCCATCTCAAAAAAAAAAAATTGTTTATGCCAACTAATTGTACACCTAAATGCACCAAGTTCATGACTTTCTCCTTGCATTTATTTATTTATTTATTTTTTAATTAGGTCTCACTCTATGTTGCCCACGTTGTAGTGCAGTGTGTGATTACAGCTCACTGCAGCCTTGAACTCCTGGGCTCAAGAGATCCTCTGGTCTTAGCCTCCCCAGTAGCTAGAACTATAGGTATGGAGTGGCTCTCTGCCTTTATTTCTAACCCAAGCTACCTTACAACCTTAAAAAGAGACGCTGCTTCGCCAGGCACAGTGGCTCTCGCCTGTAATCCCAGCACTTTGGGAGGCCAAGGCGGGCGGATCATGAGGTCAGGAGTTCGAGACCAGCCTGACCAACATGGTGAAACCCTGCCTCTACTAAAAATACACAAAAACTTAGCCAGGCCTGGTGGTGTGGCGCCTGTAGTCCCAGCTACTCAGGAGGCTGAGGCAGGAGAATCATTTGAACCTGGGAGACAGAGGTTGTAGTGAGCCGGAGGTTGTAGTGAGCCGAGATCACGCCGCTGCATTCCCACCTGGGCGACAGAACGAGACTCAAAAAAAAAAAAAAAAAAAAAAGAGAGAGACCCTACTTCAGCTCTCAATTGCATCGCTTATCTTCCCCTTTTGTCAGTTAAGTCCTGGAAGTACCCTAGAAACCTATCATTTGGCCTGGGAAATTGCCAAGATTGAAAGGAAATGTCTTACTCTATGACCTCTTTAACAGATGAAGGACAAAAAAGGCTGAAAATGTACAAAGATATGCATCCCTCCCCCACCAGTTAAATGCCAAACATAGGCCAGCCACAGCTGATCACACCTGTAATCCCAGCTGTTTGGGAGTCCGAGGCAGGCAGATTACCTGAGTTCAGGAGTTCGAGATCAGCCTGGCCAACATGGTGAAACCCAGTCTCTACTAAAAATACAAAAAAATTAGGCAGGCGTGGTGGTGCACATCTATAATCCCAGCTACTCGGGAGGCTGAGGCAGGAGAATCGCTTACCCAGAGGTGGAGGTTGCAGTGAGCCGACAGCTCGCCACTGCACTCTGGCCTGGAGAACAGAGTGAGACTCAGTCTCCAAAAAAAAAAAAAAGGCCAAACATAGCCCATTCCAACCAAGATTAAGAATCACTAAGAGTTACATTGCACCACTGCACACCAGCCTAGGTGACAGAGCGAGACTCCGTCTCAAAAAAAAAAAAAAAGAGTTAGTTACACACTGCAGAAATCTAAACAATCTCAAAAGTAGACTGGGACTTTATAATCAAGGTAAAGGTGAAGTGATGTTTACCAATATAAGAAATGAATAGGCCAGGCGCGGTGGCTCACGCCTGTAATCCCAGCACTTTGGGAGGCCGAGGCAGGAGGATCACAAGGTCAGGAGATCAAGACCACCCTGGCTAACACAGTGAAACCCCGTCTCTACTAAAACTACAAAAAAATTAGCCGGGCGTGGTGGCAGGCGCCTGAAGTCCCAGCTACTCGGGAGGCTGAGGCAGGAGAATGGCATGAGCGCGGGAGGTGGAGCATGCAGTGAGCTGAGATTGCGCCACTGCACTCCAACCTGGGTGACACAGCGAGACCCCGCCTCAAAAAAAAAAAAAAAAAAGAAATGTATGCAACCATTTTTTTCAACTCCTGAAAATAGTCAGATAATAACTGTAGTTATTCTGATAAAGTTCCTTTAGCCAACAGGTTGAAGCACATTCCCAGGGAATAACATGTTTATAAGATTTTCTAACAATTGCATATGTTAAATCTTCTCTTTAAAAATAATCCTGGCCAGGTGCGGTGGCTCATACCTGTAATCCCAGCACTTTAGGAGGCCGAGGCAGGTGGATCACTTGAGGTCAAGAGTTCAAGATCAGCCAGACCAACATGGAGAAACCCTGTCTCTACTAAAACTACAAAATTAGCCAGGTGTGGTGGTGCATGCCTGTAATCCCAGCTACTCGGGAGGCTGAGGCAGGAGAATCACTTGAACCTGGGAGGCGGAGGTTGTGGTGAGCCGAGATGGCGCCATTGCACTCCAGCCTGGGCAACAAGAGCAAAACTTCATCTAAAAAACAGGAAAAAATAAAATAAAATAAATAAAAATAAAAATAATCCTAGGCCAAGCTGGCTACAGTAGCTCACACCTGTAATCCCAGCTACTCAGGAGGCTGAAACAGGAGGATCACTTGAGCCCAGGAGTTTGAGACCAGCCTGGGCAACACAGTCAGACTGTGTCTCTAAAGAAAAAAATCGTCATCATCCTAGGCCAGTCCAGACAACATAGCAAGACCTCCAACTCTAAAAGAAAATGAAATAAAAAATTTTAAAAGTCAATTTAATTAGAGGTCTCAAGTAATTCCAGAAGATACAGTCTCACAAATCAAATACTGAGAAAGGAAGACACCTTTCAAGATAATCACACTATTATTTTAACTGTAGGAAAATGTATTAAATGAAGACAGCTTTTGCTAGCTGCTGAAACATACTAGTAAGAACAGGAAACGATGCTCCCACCATGCTCAGCAGTAGCCAGAAATTTACTGAGGTCTTTGTATTTAGCCTTAAGTATAAGACACCTAGGAAACTTCAAAATCATCACTTAAGCCACTTTAAACCCACAGTCTATACAAACCCTTTTTCTTTTGTTACATTTTATACTAAACACACTTTAATCAGACTGACATAAGTGATTTAAAAGTAACTTTTATAATTCCCTTTTACAAGAAAAAAAGAAACAATGTTTCCAGATACTAAGTTCCTTAAGAGACAGCAATCATTTATTATAGATTTACAGTACTACAATTTCAAATAGTACCAGAATCTTTTTTTTTTTTTCTTTGAGACAGTGGCACAATCACAGCTCACGGTAGCCTCGACCTCCTGGGCTAAAGCAATCCTCCCACCTCAGCCTCCCAAGTAGGTGGGACTAGAAACTCATGACACCATGTCCAGCTTTTTTTTTTTTTTTTTTGAGACAGAGTCTTGCTCTGTCACCCAGGCTGGAGTGCAGTGGTGTGATCTTGGCTCACTGCAACCTCTGCCTCCAGGGTTCAAGCAATTCTCCTGCCTCAGCCTCCCAAATAGCTGGGATTACAGGCATGCACCACCATGCCCAGCTAATTTTTATATTTTTAGTAGAGATGGAGTTTCACCAGGTTGGTCAGGCTGGTCTCGAATTCCTGATCTCGGTGATCTGACAGCCTCGGCCTCCCAAAGTGCTGGGATTACAGGTGTAAGCCACCATGCCCAGCCAATTTTTTTATTT
The DNA here is from genome assembly GCF_000001405.40 of Homo sapiens. Classification (NCBI taxonomy): domain Eukaryota; kingdom Metazoa; phylum Chordata; class Mammalia; order Primates; family Hominidae; genus Homo; species Homo sapiens. The sequence continues at coordinate 29,579,842 of NC_000016.10, forward strand.
TTTGTAGAAACGAGGTCTCACTATGTTACCCAGGCTGGTCTCCAACTCCTGGGCTCAGGTGATCCACCCACCTCCCTGCCTTGGTCTCCCAAAGCACCACCATGCCTGGCCCAAAATCTTGTAATTGCTTAATACTGTATATACATTCTTATAATGATATGATATTTCCCATATTTGTGTAGAAGATGCATGTGGTTCTTCTCCACCCCCTCAAGTACTTAAAACTATCACATTGGCAGAGTACAACCTTTAAATGTTTCTGGCATCCTCCCTCCTCCCATTAAAAAAAAAATTAAAATAAAAATATGTATATACACGCCCATACACACTACAACAGAGGGAAAAAAGCAACTCATTGTTCAACTGGTGTTCTTATAAGAATCAGTTCTTAAATTCCAACTGTGTAGTAAAAGGTAAGCAAGCTATAAGCTACCTTTTAACCTATCCTTTCTCTATATACGTTCCATTTACATTGTACTTGCCCTCCAATCTATGCAAACAGTCACAAAGATTAGATTATGTTTGCTGGCTTATCATTTCAACTAGTAACAAATTCTTAAGGTGTGAATACAAGATATGGAGAAAAAATGATGATGCACAGCTATGCTGAAATTTCGTATTGTTCAACTTGAAATACGTTTACAGCCTAATGGGAGTACACTAGAAAATGTAGAAAGAGAGCAGGCACGGTGGCTCACACCTGTAATCCCAGCACTTTGGGAGACAGAGGTGAATGGATCACAAGGTCAGGAGTTCAAGACCAGCCTGGCCAACAAGGTGAAACCCCGCCTCTACTAAAAATACAAAAAAAAAAAATTACCTGGGTGTGGTGGCACATGCCTGTAATCCCATCTACTCAGGAGGCTGAGGCAGGATAATCCAGGTGGCGGAGGTTGCAGTGAGCTGAGATCGCACCATTGCACTCCAGCCTGGGGGACAGAGCGAGACTCCGTCTCAAAAAAAAAAAAAAAGAAAAGAAAAAAAAGAAAATGTAGAAAGAGAGCCACTCCACTGCAGAGCAATTAATTCTATCTCCACTAATATTTTTCTAAATATTCACTGAAACAGTTTTAAAAATAATTTCCTGAACTTTAACCCTCCCAACATCTTCAAAAGGCAAAAATTACCCCCTCAGAGGGACACAGCTGGTAGTGCCAATACAAAAGATCTTTGTCTTCCCATTCTTAGTCCATAGCTTTTTTCATGACACCAGCCTCTCTTAAGATAAATATCTGTGAAGGATCAACTTTTTAAAATACACACATTCTAGCTGGGCACGGTGGCTCACATCTGTAATCCCAGAACTTTGGGAGGCTGAGGCGGAGGTATCACCTGAGGTCAGGAGTTTGAGACCAGCCTGGCCAACACGGTGAAACCCGTCTCTACTAAAAATACAAAAATTAGCCAGGCATAGTGGCATGCACCTGTAATCCCAGCTACATGGGAGGCTGAGGCAGGAGAATCGCCTGAACCCGGGAGGTGGAGATTGCAGTGAGCCAAGATGGTGCCAACTGCACTCCAGGCTGGGCAACAGAGCAAGATGCCGTCTCAAAAAAAAAAAATATATATATTCTTAAAAATAAAGACACTTAGAGAGGAATCTAAAACACACTGGTTCTATTTTTAACTTCACCAATGCTAAGACAGCGGGTGTTTTTTTTTTTTTTTTTTTGAAAAAGAAAAGGGAACAAATTTCACATAGGAGAATAGTTTTTGAAATCTTTGCACAACAGGGTGGCCATAGTAAATAATGATTATTTATTTGCAAAGAGAAGACAGAGATAACAATAGCAATAATAATAATGTATTTCAAACAATTAAGAGTAAATTTCAAATGCCTCACCACAAAATATAAGTAAGCAAAGTAAGGCGATAGTATGTTAATTAGTATGATTTAATCATACTACATTACACACATATATATAAACATTACGTTGTACCCTATGTGTACAATTATGATTTCTGAATTAATATTAGAGTGGGGAGAACAATAATGATTAATTTTTACTTCTTCAGTAAGATTACAATGAAAATGTAGAGAGCACTAGCATTATAGTAACTATACGATAGGCCACTTTAAATAAATGGCATCTTTTACAAAATTTTTAGTCAATAAGTTGATTACGACATACTTACGAACTATTTGCTATTAAGTGTAAGTTAATTTATAATTTTAGTATTTTCAAAAAAGGAACATATTAAAATCCTATCAATATTTCAAATAATGACAAAATTAATCATTTTTAATAGAATCCTTACTCAGGTCCTCCAAAAACAATATAAACTATGACTTAAGGTAAATTCCTTTAAATCTGACTAATGAATAAATGTTAAATCTCAAATTTCATAGTCCCAGTGCTGGAAAATCTATATTTTTATTTTTCTTCACGTTTATACAAAGAATGTACAGACAGGCAAGAAATGTAATCAACCTTTTTAGGAAAGAATCCCAGGATTTGTTTTCTTTTCAATTAAATATATATGAATTCTGGGGGATACTGGTGATCATCTCTGGATCTTTTTACTCATCTAATGAGAAAAGAGTCTCATTATACAAAGAGGATAGTCAAAAAGCCTAATGATTTCCTCACATAAGTAGGTTTTTCTGTCTGGCAAATCTGAAGAAGTCAACATAGAATCTGTCATTAATGCATTGAATCTGAACTTCCACTATTCAAATCAAATTAGGACCTGGAAATAAAGTGTTAACACTTCAGACAAGAAATTCCAGGGTTTGTATCATCAGGAATATAAACCAGGGACACTCTCAAGAGGCTGAAGAGCAAGAGTCATGCACTGCTTCAGAGAATTAAATACTCCAAGATGAAAGTTAAAATTTCAAACACACATATCACACATACACATCTTTTAACATCAGGTTGAAATGCTAAAGGGAACAGAGTAAAGGTATGTTTTTAATTAATAAATTTAAATGAGAGAAAACTTTAAATTCAAAGAGCTTCAGTAAAAAAAAAAAAGAAAATATTAGCAATGTTATCAAATGTGGACGAAAAGCTAATATATGTCACTATGTAATCCAAGACATATTCATTAGTGGCGCCTTTTTTCTGGGCTATTAATATATTAGATGCCATCCAAAAACAAATATCTAGTAAATATTAAGTTTAACGACTTCTTAAAAACCTGTAGGTTCCCAAAGACATATACATGTATGTGCAGTGAGGCCACTGCTAAGCCTCTAATAATATTCTTGTAGACTACTAAAGTTCTCTATGATGATAAAAAGGGTAATAAAAAAAAAATCTAGTGTCTCCCCTTAATAAACAAAGAACGAGCATAACTTAGGAAGTTCGGTAACAAAAACAATCTATAATTCTGGTACCAGAAATCCCTCTGAGGCTGGGCGAGGTGGCTTACACCTGTAATCCCAGCACTTTGGGAAGCCAAGGCAGGGGGGATCACCTGAGGTCCGAAGATGAAGAACATCCTGGCTAACAGGGTGAAACCCTGTCTCTACTAAAAATACAAAAAATTAGCCAGGCGAGTGGCACATGCCTGTAATCCCACCTACTTAGGAGGCTGAGGCAGGAGAATCACTTGAACCCAGGAGGTAGAGGTTGCGTGAGCCTAGATCGTGCCCTTGCACTCCAGCCTGGGCAAAAAGAGCAAAACTCCATCTCAAAAAAAAAAAAAAAGCAACAAGTCCCTCTGAAAAAAGTTTTAAATAATAAACAAAAGTCTATAACAGGTTTTTAAATAACTATAAAGTCCTACACATATTACATGAATACCAACATAATAATATGAATATGAATATCAACAGGGTATCCAATTCCTTTTTTGAAAAGGTCTGAAAATTAATATGAAAGAAGTAATTCTGTATGTTCAGAAATCTGTTGATTCTAGGCCAGGTATGATGGCTCACACCTGTGTTATCCCAGCACTTTGGGATTTACAAAATGGGATTTCCTCCTCACCTAAGGTCAGGAGTTCAAGACCAGCCTGGCCAAGATGGTGAAACCCCATCTCTACTAAAAACTACAAAAATTAGCCAGGCGTGGTGGCAGTCGCCTGTAATCCCAGCTACTCAGGAGGCTGAGGTAGGAGAATCACTTGAACCCGGGCGGCAGAGTTTGCAGTGAGCCAAGATCTCACCACTGCACTCCAGCCTGGGTGACAAATAAAATAAAATAAAGAAATCTGTTGATTCTGGAATATTTGCGTTTCATTCCCCAATCAGCAGGTATCCAATTGGCAAGAAGTGTGTTTCCCCAGGCATTCTAATGGGATGCCAGAAGGCTCAACCCAGTGCTTAAATTTTTAGTGATTACATTGCTTAAATAATGTAGACAGATACAATAGATTCAAGATAAATCAATATGTAAAAAGACTTTAAATATGTGCACAAGGTATTTTTCAAGATGGATAAAACATATGAATCTTAAATTACCATCTTTTTTTTTTTTTCCCTGAGACGGAGGTTTTTTTCCTCTTGTTGCCCAGGATGGAGTGCAACAACAGCATCATCTCCACTCACTGCAACCTCTGCCTCCCAAGTTCAAGCAATTCTCCTGCCTCAGCCTCCTGAATAGCTGGGACTACAGGCGTGTGCCACCATGCCCAGCTAATTTTTGTATATTTTTTAGTCGAGATGGGGTTTCACCATGTTGGCCAGGATGGTCTTGATCCCTTGACCTCATGAGCCGCCCACCTCGGCCTCCCAAAGTGCTGAGATTACAGGTATGAGCCACTGCGCGTGGCCAAATTACCGTATTCTTTCTTCTGTAAAAAGATCTGGCCACTCCAGTCCATTACGATACTGTCCTTTTGAGCCTGCTCAATCAGTTTGTTTAAGCCCTGCCTCAGGCTAACAGGGCTGCCATAAGAGGAATGCTTTCCCCAAAAACACATCCTACAAGAACAGTGTTGTAATCTCTAGAGTTAACACTTAATATAAAAACACAAACTTGCAGGATCTCGTTTTCATGAATTTACTTGAGGAAAGACACAAATATAGAGTGGATGCTATTTATTGATGCACTTAGTAGGAAAGAAGGGGATAGCAAAAGTAACAATTTTACCAGATCCATGCACATATGCAGATTGTATTTTACTAGAGATGGCACACATAAAAATTCCAGATAGTGGTAAGGATATGAAAAAAAGTGGCAGGAATGGGTGTGATAGTGAAAAAGTCACTGCATATCTGTACCTTGACTGAGGTCATGGTTACACAGGTGTATACATTTGTCAAAATTTACTGAATTTAAGACCTATACAGGCCGGGCGTGGTGGCTCACGCCTGTAATCCCAGCACTTTGGGAGGCTGAGGCGGATGGGTCACCTGAGGTCAGGAGTTCCAGACCAGCCTGGCCAACATGGTGAAACCCCATCTCTACTAAAAGTACAAAAACTAGCCAGGCGTGGTGGCAGGCATCTGTAATCACAGCTACTCAGGGGGCTGAGGCAGGAGAATCTCTTGAACCCGGGAGGCGGAGGTTGCGGTGAGCCATGATCGCACCATTGCACTCCAGCCTGGGAGATAAGAGCGAGACTTCACCTCAAAAGAAAAAAAGAAAAAAAAAAAAACCACCACCACCTATACATACATAAATTTTATCTCAAAGAAGCACCACAATAGAATTCAAAAACGAAATCAATTTAAAAAGGAAAAGTACACTCGATTAATACAAGATGGAAAAGAATAACATTATAAAACCAAGTATCTCTGCATGAGCGAACTCCACAAGAATTTAGTAAGTTATACTCTACATTAAAAAAAAAACAAAAAACAAAAATACAGAATAAGGAAGCATTTCCTATACATATGAAACCACAAAATTTCTGTAATCTTTACTGTTAGGCCTCTATACAAGGGGAAGTATGTTTCATTTTATAGTTCCAAAAATAAAATGGGCTCTGAAAAACTTCAAGATAGTCAAAGACAGGTAACCAAAATGATGACAATGTGAAAAGATTAACAAACAGCTCCTCTAAATCATTAAGGGTGGTCCAATGAAAGGAGCCTCAGGGATTTGTTTTAGGTGATTAGGATAAGGAACAAGAGCCAGATAACAAAGGCAGAAAATCCTAAAGAATTTAACAATTCAATGTTCCCAAAAGACACCATGGACCACACTCCATTTTATATGACACTTAAATGACATTCCATACATGTGTCTAACATGAAGATTGAGCAGATAAAAAGTATCACTTTAGTAATCATCCTCAATCAACACCAGATAACAAATGAGGGGCTTTTGCTTATGGAAATTCTCACATATTGAGCTGAACACTTTTACCTTAATTAATTAATTAATTTATTTATTTTTTGAGACAGAGTTTCGCTCCTGCTGCCCAGGCTGGAGTGCAATGGCTCGATCTCGGCTCACCACAACCTCCGTCTCCCGGATTCAAGTGATTCTCCTGCCTCAGCCTCCCAAGTAGCTGGGATTACAGGCATATGCCACCACGCCCGGCTAATTTTTGTATTTTTAGTAGACACGGGGTTTCTCCACGTTGGTCAGGCTGGTCTCTCCCGACCTCAGGTGATCCACCCACCTTGGCCTCCCAAAGTGCTGGGATTACAGGTGTGAGCCACCATACACAGCCTTATCTTAATTTAAATTGTTAAATATAAACATAATACTCAGGTCCTTAGCAGCCCCTTCTCTATATTGTTCCAATTAACTGCCTCCCACTGCGATCTCTCTTGCACGTGTGTGCACGCACTCTAACACACACACTTTTTTTTTTTTTAGACGGAGTCTTGCTCTTGTTGCCCAGGCTGGAGTGCAACGGTGCAATCTCAGCTCACCACAACCTCGGCCTCCTAGGTTCCAGCAATTCTCCTGCCTCAGCCTCCCGAGTAGCTGGGAATACAGGCATGCACCACCACACTCGGCTAATTTTGTATTTTTAGTAGAGACGGGGTTTCTCCATGTTGGTCAGGCTAGTCTCGAACTCCCGACCTCAGGAGATCCACCCACCTCAGCCTCCCAAACTGCTGGGATTACAGGCATGAGCCACCATGGCCAGCCCACACACTTTTTCAAGAAGCAACTAGATTTAATCTTCCTAAATTGTGCCACTTTCCGGCAGGTAAAATTTCAATGATTCCCTAAAGTCACTCCAAATACACTTAAACTGGGCCAGGGTGGTGGCTCACGCCTGTAATCCCAGCACTTTGGGAGGCCGAGATGGGTGGATCACCTGAGGTCATGAGTTCAAGACAAGCCTGACCAACATGGTGAAACCCCGTCTCTAGTAAATACAAAAAATTAGCCAGGTGTGGTGGTGCGTGCCTGTAATCCCTAGAGCTACTTGGGAGGCTGAGGAAGGAGAACTGCTTGAACCCGGGAGGCGGAGGTTGCAGTGAGCCAAAATGGCACCATTGTGCTCCAGCCTGGGCAACAAGAGCAAAAACTCTGTCTCCAAAAACAAACAAACAAACAAACAAAAAAACACCTGAACTATGATTAAAGGTCTACAATAGGGTTCCCAACCCAGTGCTTCAGCTTCACCTCTTATTTATATTACTCCTCATAAGTACCCAATTCCTCTACACACTGACAATTTGCACCTGGCCTTATCCTAATTTTCTTCTATTTTGGGGGGGATTCTCCCCCAAATTCACAGTGAAAACTGTACAGACCAATTCCATCACCCCATTTTCCCTCCTCTGACCCTCCAAGTTTTTGTTTTTGTTTTTGAGACAGTCTCGCTCTGTCACCCAAATTGGAGTGCAATGGCATGATCTTGGCTCACTGCAACCTCCACCTCCTGGGTTCAAGCGATTCTCCTGCCTCAGCCTCCCAAGTAGCTGGGATTACAGGCACCCACCACTGCATCCAGCTAATTTTTGTATTTTTAGTAGAGATGGGGTTTCACCATGTTGGCCTGTAACCCCAGCACTTTGGGAGGTCAAGGCGGGCAGATCACCTGAGGTTAGGAGTTTAAGACCAGCCTGGCCAACCTGGCGAAACCCTGTCAATCATGCCACTGCACTCCAGCCTAAGTGACAGAGCAAGACTGTCTCAAAAAAAAAAGAAAGGAAGGAAGGAAGGAAGGTATACTGAGAATTACATCACAAAATCCACATGCTCTCCCCTTCACAAAGCCCTTTACTTTTCTCCCATAATAACTTATAGCCTCCTTGAAGACAGTGGTTTTACAAGTCATAAAAATCCTGGCCGTGGCCCAGTGCAGTAGCTTGTGCCTGTAATCCCAGCACTTTGGGAGGCCAAGACAGGCAGATCACTTGAGGTCAGAAGTTCGAGACCAGCCTGGTCGACATGGCGAAACCCCGTCTCTACTAAAAATACAAAAATTACCCAGGAGTAGTGGCACATGCCTGTAATCCCAGCTACTTGGGAGGCTGAGGCAGGAGAATCGCTTGAACCCAGGAGGCCGAGGTTGCAGTAAGCCAAGATTGCACCAGTGCATTTCAGCCTGGGCAATACAGTGAGACCCCATCTCAAAAAAAAAAAAAAATTATGGCCGGGCACGGTGGCTCACGCCTGTAATCCCAGCACTTTGGGAGGCCGAGGCGGGCGGATCACAAGGTCAGGAGATCGAGACCATCCTGGCTAACACGGTGAAACCCCATCTCTACTAAAAATACAAAAAATTAGCCAGGCGTGGTGGCGGGCACCTGCAATCCCAGCTACTCGGGAGGCTGAGGCAGGAGAATGGAGTGAACCCAGGAGGTGGAGCTGGCAGTGAGCCGAGATTGCACCACTGCACTCTAGCCTGGGCAACAGAGCAACACTCCATCTTAAAAAAAAAAAAAAAAAAAATTTATACACACACACACACACACACACACATCTCCCTAGAAGCATCAATATTTACTGAATTAGAGTATTTTATTACCTGTTATAAAAAACAAACAAAAAAACCTTCCATTATACTAATTTATAAAGGAATAAAAACAAAATGGGTTGGGGAGTCCAGGCACGGTGTCTCACTCCTGTAATCCCAGCACTTTGAGAAGCACAAGGTGGGAACTTGAGGTCAGGAGTTCGAGACCAGCCTGGCCAACATGGCGAAACCCGGTCTCTAATAAAAAATTAGCCAGGCCTGGTGACATGCACCTGTAGTCCCAGCTACTCGGGAGGCAGAGGCACGTGAATCACTTGAACCCAGGAGGTGGAGGTTGTACTGAGCCAAGATCGTGCCACTGCACTCCAGCCTGGGAGACAGAGTGAAACTATGTCTTTAAAAAAAAGGCGGGGTGCAGTGGCACACACCTGTAATCCCAGCACTTTGGGAGGCCGAGGCAGGTGGATCACCTAAGGTCAGGAGTTCATGACCAGCCTAACATGGTGAAACCCCGTCTCTACTAAATATAAAAAAATTAGCCGGGTGTGGTGGCACATGCCTGTAATCTGATCTACTTGGGAGGCTGAGACAGGAAAACAGCTTGTACCTGGGAGGCGGAGGATGCAGTGAGCCAAGATTGCACCATTGCGCTCCAGCCTGGACAACAAGAGCAAAACTCCGTCTCAAAAAAAAAAAAAAAAAAAGTTGGGGTGAGGGGAAGGTTCAACTTAAAGATACGATTACTAACTGTTTCATAAGGAATGACTTATTTCATACTGGAGTAGGAGTTTGACACCAGCATGGGCAACATGGGGAGGCCCCATCTCTACAAAAAAATAAAAATAAAAAATTAGCGTGCCAAGCATGGTGGGTCACACCTGTAATCCTTGCACTTTGGGAGGCCAAGGAGGAAGGATCACTTGAGCCTAGGTATTCAAGACCAGTCCAGGCAGCATGGCAAAACCCCGTCTCTACAGAAAACAACAAAAAAAAAGTAGCTGGGGGTGGTGACATGCACCTGTGGTCCCAGCTATTGGGAGGGTGAGGTAGGAGGACTTATTGAGCCTGGAAGATGGAGGCTGCAGTGAGCTGAGATGGTTCCACTGCACTCCAACCTGGGCACTGGAGTGAGACTCTGTTTCAGAAAAAGAGAGAGGAGGCCAGGCATGGTGGTTCATGCCTGGAATCCCAGCACTTTGGGAGGCCAAAGCGGGTGGATCACCTGAGGTCAGCAGTTCAAGACCAGCCTGGCCAACATGGTGAAATCCCATCTCCACTAAAAACAGAAAAATTAGCCGGGCATAGTGGCATGCACCTGTATTCCCAGCTACTTGGAAGGCTGAGACAGGAGAATCACTTGAACCAGGAGGTGGAGGTTGCAAGTGAGCTGAGATTGTGCCACTATACTCCAGCCTGGGCAACAAAGTAAAACTCTGTCTCAAAAAAAAAAAAAAAAAAGAGAGAGAGAGAGAGAGGAAAAATAAATAAATTAGTCAGGTGTGGTGGTATGCACCTGTGGTCCCAGCTACTCAGGAGGCTAAGGCGGGAGGATTCCCAGAGCCCAGGAAGTCAAGGCTGCAGTGAGCAGTGATTGCACCACTGCACTCCAGCCTGGGCAACAGAGCAAGAGCATATCTCAAAAAAGAGGAAAGAAAAGAAAAGAAAAACATAAAAACAAACGTTCCTTTAGTTTTAATTTTTATTTTTTAGTTTATTATGGCCGTTTTACTCTCCCCCAAGTAAAACAGCCATGCACAATTTGCTGAAATTTTCCTTAGTGTACTTTGAAATCTGTGGAACAGAACTGGCAATCGCTAAATTCTATTTGACTCTAGTTCCATTTAATATTAGACTGGTGTGAAAGTAACTGCGGTTTTTGCCAAAACCGCAATTACTTTTGCACCCACCTAATAAGTATAAAATATGTAACTTCACTTAATTTTATCCTTTATGTATTTCCCTATATTATGTACCTATGGACATCAAACTTAGTACAGACTGATAAAAGGCTGAACAGACAACTCTGGTTTCAAAAATCCAGCTTCTCACAACATCAGACATACTAGTATACAGCTTTTCTAATTTCACAACACATTTCCATTTTTTGGTCTTTCACAATAGAGAAGATGTGTATACTTTTGAATACTCTGATCTGTCTACAATCTACCAAAATTGGAAGGTGTTTTTATTATACAGTTTCATCCTTTTAGAAATATACAAAGATCCTAAGTTTGGGCACAGTAAGACACTCAATATAGATCTACTACTAAACAAGTAAGACCAAGTACATAATTAATGTCCTAACACCCCCAGTGGAGAAGTAAAATCTACTTGTTTTCTGTTGACTTGAATGCCTTCTCTTCTTTGTTGAATTAATCAATCTACTTGACTCCAATGTCAAATTAATCAATGTCACTTTAGAATATTAAAATGTACAATTATGAATTACACATTTAAAACACATCATTCTGATCTCTGTCTTGATTGATACTAGAAGATTATCTTCCAAACTAAGGTGGAAAAAATGACAGACTTTAGCTATTGGCAATGATAGGTCATTTTTTTAGGGAAGAGGAGTAAAGAGGGCAACCTCCATAGGTCAGATATCCCTTTGTTCTAAGAAGCCACCACCTCTGTTTCTTCATATGAAAAAAACCAGAGGCATCCAGTGGTTCCCAAAACCTTCTCAACTTTACGCTTGAGGAACCCACAGATTTCAAATAATACAACTGACCTAAGACCACTCATTTGTTTAACCATTCTTTTTTTAATTTTTTATTTTTTTTTTTGAGAAGGAGTCTTGCTCTGTTGCCCAGGCTGGAGTGCAGTGGTGTGATGTCGCTCACTACAACCTCCGCCTCTCAGGTTCAAGTGATTCTCCTGCCTCAGCCTCCCGAGTAACTGGGATTACAGGCATGCACCACCACATCCTGCTAATTTATTTATTTTTTTTTTTTTTTGGAGAGACGGGGGTTTCACCATGTCGGTTGGCTAGGCTGGTCTCGAACTCCTGACCTCAGGTGATCCACCAACCTCAGCCTCCCAAAGTGCTGGGATTACAGGCGTGAGCCACTGCCCCCAGCCTGCTTAACCATTCTTAAATGTCGGGTGCGGTGGCTCACACCTATAATCTCAACACTTTGGGAGGCTGAAGGTGGGCAGATTGCTTGAGTTCAGGGGTTCAAGACCAGCCTGGGCAACGTGGTGAAAACCCCATCTCTATAAAAAATACAAAAATGAGCCGGGCTGTTGGCAAGCGCCTGTAGCCCCAGCTACTTGTGGATGCTGAGGCAGGAGGCTTGAGCCTGGGAGGTCGAGACTGCAGTAAGCCAAGTATCTGTGCCGCTGCACTCCAGCCTGGGTGACCACAGCAAGACCCTGTCTCAAAAAAATTGACAGAAGAGTTGACTGAGAGCACAGTGAATGAAAAGGAAGACTATAAGCCAGTGCCATATAAATGCTTACTGTTGGAGGTATGCTTCTATGGAACACGGGTTTGCTCTCTTGCCATATGACATTCACGTATTCAGCCACCTGGAACACTTCCTGTCTGTATGTGTGAAGTATCATGTGTGGTCAAAATTGACTCAACAGTCATTTTCCACACCAACTGGCAAACTAACACTAAAAGAAATCAACAAGTATTGCTTTTTCAAAAGCCTAAATCGGCTGAGTGCGGTGACTTACACCTGTAATCCCAGCACTTTGGGAGGCCAAAGCAGGCGGATCACCTGAGTCAGGAGTCCAAGAACAGGCCGGCCAACATGGTGGAATCCCGTCTCTACTAAAAATACAAAAATTAGCTGGACGCCTGTAATCCCAGCTACTCAGGAGGCTGAGGCAGGAGAATTTTTCCCTGTAAGCGGGAGGCAGAGGCTGCAGTGAGTCGAGATTACACCACTGCACTCCAGCCTGGGAGACAGAGCAAGACTCCATCTCAGGAAGACAAAAAAAAAAGCCTACATCAAGGAAAACAGAACCAAAACACCAGGGACAAAATGGTACATAAGAGGCAAAAAAAATTTTCACCAAAATTATTCAGATGAACCATAATAAATGTGCCTGCATCTGAAGATGTTCTAAACCTTCATTTAAGCAAGAAGCAAGATCAAGATCCGTTCCGTCAGTTACCTGGAGTCTGTCATCTTTCTGAATAGGGGACAGAATCACCTCAAATTTAACTAATAAAAATTTATGACTTGGCAAACACCCCAGGTATTTTTATTGACTAACAAATCAGCTATGACAATCTTAGCAACAAATCAAGTTATGCTATGGGGTATGTCCACACTTTCCTGTTCCCTCTACAACAGGAGAAAATCAAATCTTTCCAACATCCTAACAAACTGTTACTCCCTGTAACCAAATGTATCACAGTATCGTCTACCAAGGCGTTACATCCTGAAACTTTCCTACAAAAAGCACAGCTTCAAAGAAACCTTGCAAGCTTTCTTGTAAGCTCCTCCCTTCCCACATCGCCCCTCCCCAGAGCCAAGAAATAAAGCACTTGAAAGAAACAACATGGATAATATTTATTAATAGCTTATGTACATATTCCATAACTACATAAGCCATTTGGCTTCATACCTGTCAGCAATGAAGTCAGCTGGCCCTAGCACGTGGCTGCGACTCTTCTCTATTTATTTAGAACTACAAACTACAATTTACACTTTACAAAAGCTGTAGGACTATTTGGGAAGGCACTTTATTCTTCTAAAAGGTTACTAAATTCTCTTAAATACTTATACTGATCACAATACTGAAAAATAATAGAAAATCCATTGTCATTCATTTACCACCTGATTTGTTAGATGCCAGATAATCAAATTTCACACATTTCAATAAAAAGGCAAAACTAAGCATGTCAATCATAGGAAGAAAAATACTTAACTAATTTTATTTAAAGCACTCACAAACTCTTAAGTGGTACAAGACAAGTCAACGCTGTTTATCGAACAATATTTTTTTTTTACGACTAAACATCTCAATTCTAGACTCAGGCACTAATTATTAAAGTCATCTAGTTATATACACCAATTCTCAACAGACACAGTTTTTTTTGGAAAGGCATATTAAACAGACTAAGATGTGTACTACCCATTAGCCAAAGATAATTTTATTGATTTTTCTAATGAGTCTTCAAATGTTACATTCTAACATCTTAGCAAATTATTTCCAAATACTGCTGGAATTACATGTAACTATCAGGAAACAAAAGGGCTTCTCAACAACTTGTGCGTTCTACATTATCTGGCCAGTTTCCGGACAATTATAATACAATTGTGCTCCAAAGTAGGAGAGTTCCATGAATCAATTGCCCCTAAAATATATTTCTGTATATTTAAGGAGTTCTAAGCATTGGGTTAAATTCCAAACAGACTCTGAATACAAGCATTTATTTAGTAAGAGAGGTTAGAATAAATCAATCCTAAATTAGGCACAGCTGCCCTCCCCCCATTGATCAAAAAGACAGGAAATTACATTTATTTAAAAAGTTAATGTTCCTAATATATTCAAATCTAACTAAGCCCCAAAACGGTCTGAGATCAAATCCTCCATAAAAGAGGAAATTCTCTAGACTTCTAAGTGGGTGCCCAAAGAGTTCACTCAAGTGTCCAGGTATGAATTACGATTCACCAGAGTAACCGGCCTTGCACTTAGGGAAAACTTCCATCGCCCAAGACCAGAGTGGGTCGATCCCATCAACAGTCACACAATCTCATCTCATGCTCCACTAATGAATGTTCTGCCTAAAGTCAGAGCAATGCCTTGGCTGGAGTTTTGTTTTGGTTTTTTCAATATTACCACGTGGGGGTCACAGAAAGGGAACAGAGGTTACAAGAGCTCTCACGTGGCGGCTGAAAGACTGGGGAACCGAGAAAGTGAATGAGTAACAGGGAGGGTCCTGGACTCTCAGGATCTCCCAACTCGGGGTCAGGGGGAGGCGGTAAGTGGAATGCCCCCCCACCACCCCCGCCTCTTTCTCACCTCCTGGTCCCGACCCTAGGCCAGTGCCACCGCCGGGAGCCCCGGGTCTCGGCTTCAGCCCCAGGCTGAACATGCAGGGAGGGGAGAGGCACTTAGGCCTCGCCTCCCCGTGGCCTTCCTCCCCCAGCCGGGGCGGAGGAGAACCAGGAAGCCGCGCCCGGCTCCGGTGGGTGGAGGGCCTAGGCCGCGCCTCCCAGCCCCGCGGCCCTAGGCCTCGGCCCGCCCGAGGCGGAGCCCGGGAGGTCGGGGCGGGGTCCCGGGCCGGTCACCCACCTGGGTTGCCAGTCATTCCAGCTCCGCGAATAGTTGGTGCCGCCGCTGCTCAGCCGAGACCCCGGGGCTCTGCGGCTCATTACCTTCCCCGACACGACATGGCCAAGCGCCGCCGCCCAGAGAAGCGCGAGTCGCCGCCCGAACCGGCCGCTGCCGACACCCCGCTCCGGCCCGGGGCTGAGGAGGAAGCCGAGGAGGAGGAAGAGAAGGAGGAGGAGGAGGAGGAGGAGGAGGAGGCGGCGGCGGAGGGCGGGGTAAGAGGACGGCCGTTCCGGGTTCCGCCTGAGCCCGCAACGCAGAATGAGGAGGCGGGAGCGGCGCGGTGAGAGAGAGGCGGATGAAGGGGCGCCGACTTCTCTTCCAGGGCCATGCGCGGCCCACGACGCCGGGGCCCCGGAGGACGAGGACGACGAGGAGCAGGCGGTGGCGGCAGCTCCCCACGCTCACAAGGCCACTGCTTCCCCGCCTCCCGGCTCCGCCCGCCGCGCCGCCACTGTCGCACGGCATGCTGGGAGCGAGAGGCGGGGTCGGCCCCGCCGGGCCTGGGGAGAGAGGCGGGTCCTGTCGGCGGGGCGGGGCCGAGAGAGGCGGGGCCGATAGCAGGCCGCCCCGCCCCCCACGGCCCCAGGCTCTTGGACGGCGAAGAGGTCTGGGCGTAGTAGTGACGAATCCTAAGACAAGGGATCTCCACTACTGCGGCCACACACTTTTCTCCCAAACGCTTCCCGGAAAGCACCGGAGGGCTGGGCAGTCAGGTGTAAACAGGCGTCCAATCAAGGACCTGCAGTGTGGGTGGTGGGGGCTGGTGCCCTGGGGTGCGAGCGCACACAGGCGTGCCCTTGGTTTCACGTGCGCCAGTTTTCCCACTTTCTACGGGGGGGAGTGGAAAGTGAAAATAGTAAGATCGAGAGGTGGATATCCACCTTCCCAACCTCCACCTGAAATGTGCCCATCGAGTCCTAGCACCTTTTACCATTTCTTCCCAATGAAAAAAACTAAACGATGTAAGGGAAGGGAGTACCCACGACCACCAAACCCTGTCCTCTGCAATGTGAAATGTGCTTTGAAGTCCTCTCACCCTGAGGCTTGCCCGCCTTCTGCTGGTGAAAGAAGCTGGGGGCTAGGCGCGGTGGGTCACGCCTGTAATCCCAGCACTTTGGGAGGCCGAGGTGGGCGGATCATCTGAGGTGAGGAGTTCCAGACCAGCCTGGCCAACATGGAGAAACCCCGCCTCTACTAAAAATACAAAAATTAGCCGGGCATGGTGGAGGACGCCTGTAATCCCAGCTACTTGGGAGGCTGAGGCAGGGGAATCGCTTGAACCCAGTAGGCCGGGGTTGCAGTGAGCCGAGATCAGACCATTGCAGTCCAGCCTGGACAACAAGAGTGAAACTCTGTCTCAAAAAAATAAAAGAGAGAGAGAGAAAGCAGGGAGGGAAGAAAAAGGAAGGAAGGAAAGGAGGGAGGGAGGGAAGGAGGGAGGAAGGAAGGAAAGGAGGGAGGAAGGAAGGAAGGAAAGGAGGGAGGAAAGGAAAGGAAAGGAGAAAAGAAAGAGAAGGCCGGGCGCGGTAGATCACGCCTGTAATCCCAGCACTTTGGGAGGCCGAGGCGGGCAGATCTCGAGGTCAGGAGATCGAGACCATCCTGGCTAACACGGTGAAACCCCGTCTCTACTAAAAAATACAAAAAATTAGCTGGGCGTGGTGGCGGGCGCCTGTAGTCCCAGCTACTCCGGAGGCTGAGGCAGGAGAATAGCGTGAACCCGGGAGGCGGAGCTCCCAGTGAGCAGAGATCGCTCCACTGCACTCCAGCCTGGGCGACAGAGCAAGACTCCGTCTCCAAAAAAAAAAAAAAAAAAAAAAAGAGAATCAGCTGGGTAGAGGAGACGTACCTGACCATCTACCCCATGACATGTCCCATGCCCCAGGGAAAAAAATTCCCTAAACCATCTGATGCATAAAGTGAATGCATACACATTTTTTAAAAGGTGGGCCAGGATGCTCCTTAAACAAGTGTCTAAACCTTATCTGCATAAGGAGTCTTAACCTATCATTTTATGTTGCAAAGAAAACGTCTTTATATATCGCTTGTGCAATTAAAAATTGTAACCAAAAGTACTTGAAGATTATGAGGAGTTGACACCTCCACACACATGCATATCCCCTCCACCTTGGGCTCCTTGCTTATGGCCACCAATCCCTCACTAAGGGAGGATCCTGCCAGTTCTAAATGATGGGGACTACAAAAATTACCCGGCGTGGTAGCGCGTGCCTGTGGTCCCAGGAACTCAGGAGGGTGAGGCAGGAGGATGACTTGAGTCCAGCAGGTGGAGGCTGCAGTGACCTATGATCCCACCACTGCACTCCAGCCTGGGCTGCGGAGGGTAGGGAGGGAGGGAGGAGAAGAAAGAGAAAAGGCAGGGCACCATGGATGGCTGACTCCTGTAATCCCAGCACTTTGGGAGGCCGAGGTGGGTGGATCACTTGAGGTCAAGAGACCAGCCTGACAAACATGGTGAAACCCCGTTTCTACAAAAAAATACAAAAATTAGCCAGGCATGGTGGCGCACACCTGTAGTCCCAGCTATTTGGGGAAGCTGAGGCATGAGGATTGCTTGAACCCGGGAGCCAGAGGTTGCAGTGAGCCGAGATCGTGCCACTGAACTCCAGCCTGGGTGACAGAGCAAGACTGTCTCAAAAAAAAAAAAATCATTTAGGTGAAGTGATTCATGCCTGTAATTACAGTGATGGGAGGCTGAGACTGGAAGATCCTTGAGCCTGGGAGTTATAGGCCAGCCTGAGCAACATAGTGAGACCCCCATCTCTACAAAAAAAAATTAAATTTTTTTTTTTCAGACGGAGTTTCACTCTTGTGGCCCAGGCTGGAGTGCAATGGTGTGATCTCAGCTCACTGCAACCTCTGCCTTCCAGGTTCAAGTGAGTCTCCTGCCTCAGCCTCCCAAGTAGCTGAGATTACAGGCACATGCCACCATGCCTGGCTAATTTTGTATAAAAATTTAAAAAATTTTAAAATTAGACAAGTTAGAAATTGCTTGAGCAACTGGACACAATCTCTGGTACTACCTTTCTTTTTCTTTTTTATTTTTTTATTTTATTATTATTATTTCTTGAGAAGGAGTCTCGCTCTGTCGCCCAGGCTAGAGTGCAGTGGCGCAATCTTGGCTCACTGCAAGCTCTGCCTCCCGGGTTCAAGCCATTCTCCCGCCTCAGCCTCCCGAGTAGCTGGGATTACAGGCGCCCGCCACCAAGCCCGGCTAATTTTGTTTTTTGTATTTTTAGTGGAGACAGGGTTTCACCGTGTTAGCCAGGATGGTCTCAATCTCCTGACCTCGTGATCCACCCGCCTCGGCCTCCCAAAGTGATGGGATTACAGGCGTGAGCCACCGCGCCTGGCCCTCTTTTTCTTTATTGGTCAAAATATTATCCAACTAGGCATATGGATGTGGAGGCATGCCTGTGATCCCAATTACTTGGGAGGCTGAGGTGGGAGAATCGCTTGAGCCCACGAGTTTCAGGCTGTGGTGAGCCATAATGGTGCCGCTGCACTCCAGCCTGGGCAACAGGATGAGACCATTTCTTAAGGGGACGGAAAAAATCACTCTGGCTGTGGCAGATTTCCTTAGGATAGATTCCGAGAAGTGGAGTTATTGGGGAAAAGGCTGTTAATGATTTTAAGTCTTTGGATACAGACTGTTAAGTTGCTTTCCAGGAAGTTTCTGCCAATGATAGTCTGATACTTTCTGTGTCCTCACACCACCCTTTGTCAACACTGAGTGTTTTTTGAGGGTTAATTATTTCTATGGGAGAAGTTAAAAAAAAAAAAAAGACAACAAAGAAATTGCTTCAGGTGGGGCATGCTGGCTCACGCCTGTAATCCCAGCACTTTGGGAGGCTGAGATGAGAGAATCACTTAAGCCTAGGAGGTGGAGGTTGCAGTGAGCCTAGATCGTGCCACTACACTCCAGCCTGGGCAACAGAGTGAGACTCCATTTCAATAAAATTAATCAAATGAATCAAACGTGAGCAACTCTCATAACTTCCAACATTTTTTTCTTCTTCCTGTTGGTGGTTCTGCCTCTCTGGCTCCATTAGGATTTCCCTACTCCATTTCAGTCATGGGAACCGAGTTTCTGTTCCTGAAACACACCAAGCCTTTCTGGCCTCTGGATTTTTGTACTTGCTGTTCCCGCCATCTGGAATGCCTTCCCTGCATTTGTTCCCATCAGGGTTGGGACTAGCAAAGTGACAGGGGATGGAGTTGCTGAGGGTGCAAAATTTAAGGAGGCACCTACTCCCAGGGTCATGCAAAAGCCAACTTTGCATTTGCACAATCCTGTGAGTGAGTCCCTCCTTAAATTTGAGGCTGTACTGTAATCCCAGCTACTCAGGAAGCTGGGGCAGGAGAATTGCTTGAACCTGGGAGGCAGAGGTTGCAGTGGGCCGAGATCCTGCCTTTGCACTCCAGCCTGGGCAACAGGGCGAGAATCCGTCTAAAAAAATGAGGCTCTAGACACCACATTTGCCCTACTCTGGCCCCTGCCCTGATTTTCCTGGCCTGTCTCATCTCCAGACAGGTTTGCTTTGACCTCCCTGCCCATAAAAGTTGGCCAGTGCCCTTTCCAGGTACTCTGTCATATACCCTATTTCTTTCCTTGGTAGTACCCAGCACCATCTGCAAGTATTGGGTTTCTTTGCACATTTAGCATCTGTCCAACCCTTAGGATATCAGCTTTGCAAGAGCAAAGGTCACGTCTATCTCAGCCTACCTCCTCCATACTCAGCACACAGCACAGCACCTGACCATAGGAAGCACGCAAGAAATGGGAGGAATGAAATGGAAATTATCTAAAATAAGGATCAAGATTGATACAGAAGTATTCATCTCAGCTTTACTTATTAATAGCAAAACAAAAACAAAACACCTGGATATTATACTAATTCTCAACAATAGGAAACTGATTAGGATGCAGTACATTCAGAGCTGAAATTTTCTGCAGCCATTACAAATTACATTTGTGAAGATTTTTTTTTTTTTTTTTTTTTTTTTTTTTGAGACGGAGTTCTGCTCTTGTTGCCCAGGCTGGAGGGCAATGTCTCGATCTCGGCTCACTGCACCCTCCGCCTCCTGGGTTCAAGCAATTGGTCTGTCATTTTCAGACCCAACAGAAACAGAGGTGCTCCTGCCAGGCCCCCGGGGACTGCCTCCAGGAGTCATTTGTAATGACAGGGTGCGTTCTGCGCACAGTTTCAGAGTCTGTCCAAAGGGCCAATGCTGGGGCTGGGCAGAAACGATCCAAGGCCTGTGAGCTGTGCAGCTTTATAGGCAAATGAAGATCGTTTACCCAGAATTGCCTGCTGGAGACAGCATAGAGGAAGTGGCGGCAACTTCACCAGTTCCAGGAAGCCCAGGCAGCCTGGTCCCCCAGGGTGCACCTGGCACAGCAGTTCGCATGGGGCCAGAGAGCGGCAGCTGACCGCTGCAACTACAGCTGGCCTGACACCGGGCACAGGTACCAGCCCAGCCCAGTCCCGCCCAGCGCAGCCTGCGGCCCCTAGCCGAACCAGCACCTGGCAAACCTGACACCCAGCCTTGGAGCTTGGGCCCCCCTCTGCAGCTGGCTGGGGCTCCTGAGACAGCTTCTTTGTCGGAATCCACTCAGTACACACACGGTCCCAAACTTAGTGGCTGCCCAGTGAACATGGGGCTTAGTAGAACCAGTACCTTCCTCCCTGGCCCCTTCAAGTCTAAATATCCCCTGCTCTGAGTACAAGCCTCCACCTTCTCCACTGATAGACAGCCCCCACCATCTCCACCGACAGACAGCCCCCACCTTCTCCACCGACAGACAGCCCCCGCCATCTTCACCGACAGACAGCCCCCACCATCTCCACCGGCAGACAGCCCCCACCATCTCCACTGACAGACAGCCCCCACCTTCTCCACCGACAGACAGCCCCCACCATCTTCACCGACAGACAGCCCCCACCATCTCCACCAATAGACAGCGCCCACCTTCTCCACTGATAGACAGCCCCCACCATCTCCCGTGTCATCCCCTGGGGGGACTTGTAAAAGCAGTGGTCGGGGAGCGGGATGGAAACCCAGAGCTTCTGATCAGGCAGGTCGGGGGAGAGGGAGACAACACATCTGCACAGAACAAGGTCCCAGGGAGGCCGGCGCTGCTGGTCCAGGGAGCACCCCCCAGCACAGGCGCGTGCTTCCCTGATGGACACGTCACCACCCCTGGGCTCCAGAAAATGAATGTCTGACCCAGTGACCCCTGTCCTCACCCAAGGCCAACCTCACCCCAGAATGGGCTGGAATGCTGAGCCTGCCCATGCCAGCTCCAGATCCACCCACCTCCCCACCATTGCTGGCCACAGAGAGAGGTCAAAGTGGTCCAGAAACCCCAAGGAAAATGAAGCAGTTCCGGGGCAGGGAAGCAAAGGCAGTGTTTCCATTTTTTTTTTTTTTTTTTTTTTTTTTTTTTGAGACAAAGTCTCGCTCTTGTCGCCCAGGCTGGAGTGCAATGGTGCGATCTTGGCTCACTGCAACCTCCACCTCCTGAGTTCAAGCCATTCTCTCACCTCTACCTCCCGAGTAGCTGCAGCCTCTGCCTCCGGGGATCAAGTGATTCTCCTGCCCCCTGCCTCAGCCTCCTGCCTCAGTAGCTGGGATTACCGACACCTGCCACCACGCCCGCCTAATTTTTGTATTTTTAGTAGAGACAAGGGTTCACCATGTTGGCCGGGCTGGTCTCGAACTCCTGACCTCAGGCGATCCGCCAACCTTGGCCTCCCGAAGTGTTGGGATTACAGGCGTGAGCCACCGTGCCTGGCCAGGATGGTCTGCTTATAATGGCTCAATTTTGATGTCCAGTCTCTGCAGAGCACAAGGCCCCCGCTTTGGGCCAGACATACAGATGTCCCTGGGCAAGAACAGAGATGATCCCAAGGCCCTGGCCCCACCTGTCTGCTCAGTGTTGAATCAGGTTTCTGTGAAAACAAATTACTAACAGGCTGGTGTCACATTTTCAAATTCTGTCACCAGCCGTTGAACACATGTCTTTGTACTTTTTTCCATTTTTAACCGGGGCTGAGTTACGCCCAACCACACTGTCCTGGCTGGCACGGGGGAGGAGGTGTCAGCTGCTGTCCAGAATGGGGCTGACACATTCATTTTAAACAGGCCAGGAAGATGCAGATTTGGCAAGCTCTGAAATTTGCCGACACCCCAAGTCAAGGGTAAGCAGGAGAACCGGAAAAGGGCAGCTTCTCATGTAGTCAGGTTCTCCTGATGCAAGCGTCCTGGTGGATTTGGGTTTCCCAAGGGTCCTGACTCCAGGAGACCCCCAGGACCGACAGGAAGGGCCACCCCTCCCTCTGAAACTCTGAAGCCAGGCCACCCAGTGCTGAAATGCTGTGTGAACTCGGGCAAGTTCCTTTGCAGGGACTGAGCCTCCCTTTCATGTCTCCAACAGACTGGAACACTGCCTCCCGTTGCATGGGCGAAATACCTCGCGGACATGTCTTACGGCGCCCCATGAAAGCATCACCATTAATCTGACCAGTCACTGCAGCATGAGTATCTTCAGGGCACAGATGAAGCCATGGGCACCAGTGATAAGGAGTTGCCACTGCTGGCTAAGTGCGGAGCCTCACACATCTGTGGCCCAGAAACCCATACCCCACTCCAAACCCTCTATAGCTCCAACAGTTATGCTAACAAGAAAAAGGAGTGAAAACCCGCTCCAGTCACGGTATTGTGGAGGTGGAAGGACACTTGTGGCAGCCAATCCAACACCTCCATTTTATAGCTGGGGTAAACATAGTTCAGAGAGGTTGTCCCACTTGCTGAAAGTCACACAGCAGTTCCTGGGCGGCAAAGTGAGGACATCCAGGTCTCCTAAATCTCACCCTCGTGCTCTGCCCACTTAACTAGGCTTTTCAATCCTGGCTGTCAAAGAGAAGCACCAAGTCCACTTGGGCTCCTGGCCAGCATCCAGGCCAGTCCAACTCAACAGCAAGCGGAAGCAAATACCACACAATGAACTTGTTGAACAGACTCTGTGCTCAGGCTTAACCAGTGCACAGCCTGTACACCCGACAGGCGGATGCAGCTGTTCCAAACTAAGGCCAGGGCCTCTCCCCAATCCCGATGGGCTCTGCAGGTGCAGTGATGGAAGAATCCCTGGTGACGGGGAGCCCTTAGCTCTGAGCAGGACCTGAAGCCATCTCAGGGCTTGCACCGGTCCAGATGCTGCTGCACAAGTGCTCCAGGGGCTCCTGCCCTGCCCTCCTCACTTGCCCCCTCACCTGTCAGGGATGTTTGATTCCTGGCTGGCCCCTCCCCTACCTGACCCCTGCCAAAGACCTACGCCACCCCAGGCTCCCAGCTCTGAAGCAAACAACCAGAGAAGTCAAGCGCCTGGCTCCGGGCCACACAGCTTGAGGGACTCAG
The DNA here is from genome assembly GCF_000001405.40 of Homo sapiens. NCBI lineage: Eukaryota > Metazoa > Chordata > Mammalia > Primates > Hominidae > Homo > Homo sapiens. The sequence goes on from NC_000016.10 coordinate 29,603,368, forward strand.
AGCTCCAGGGACAGTGCCCGGGCCCTGCTCAGGCCTTCTGCAGAGGCTCTGGGCTCTTCCAGTTGACTCAGCTCACAGGGCCCCTACACAGTACCAGGTGAAGACACAGCCCCAAGAACCCTCAGGGTCTGAAGCCACACATGTGAGCCGTGGGCAGAATCCTGCATTGGCCTCCAGCAGCTCGAGAGCACAGGGACAAAGCTGGACTGGCCCCGGGGTCACCGTGGCCTTGGTTTTGTAGCAGCTGCAGTTTGAGCACGTACACCAAAAATAAAATTCTAAGCCCCGTAACTGACTGAAGGGACCACTCCTATTGGCCAAAGGGATATTCCAAAGTTAACCTGAAAAACGAGCTCAGGTCATGATGGGAAGAGGGGTCACACAGGCCTTGTTATACCCCCTCCCTCTGGAATTCAGGTACAGCTGACCAGCACTAACATTCAAACACAGATCTTGGCCTGGCTCAGTGACTCATGCCTGTAATCCCAGCACTTTGGGAGGCTGAGGTGGGCAGATCATGAGGTCAGGAGTTCGAGACCAGCCCGACCAACATGGAGAAACCCCATCTCTACTAAAAATACAAAATTAGCCAGGCATGGTGGCGGCAGGCACCTGCAATCCCAGCTACTTGGGAGGCTGAGGCAGGAGAATCTCTTGAACCCGGTTGCAGTGAGCCGAGATCATGCCACTGCACTCCAGCCTGGGTGACAAAAACAAAACAAAACAAAACACAATATTGGTCTCCACAACCTCCTGTCTTACCCAGATACTCCTTTCTATTGATTCCAGGTCTTTAGCTAATAACTCTTTCAACCAATTGTGAATCAGAAAATATTTTGCCAGGCACGGTGGCTCATGCCTGTAATCCCAGCACTTTGGGAAGCCAAGGTGGGTGGATCACCTGAGATCAGGAGTTCAAAACCAGCCTGACCAACATGGTGAAACCCCCGTCTCTACTAAAAACACAAAATTAGCTGGGCATGGTGGTGCATGCCTGTAGTCCCAGCTACTCAGGAAGCTAAGGCAGGAGAATCACTTGAACCCAGGAGGCGGAGGTTGCAATGAACTGAGATCATGCCACTGCACTCCAGCCTGAGTAACAAAAGCATCTCAAAAAAAAAAATATATATATATGTATATATATGTGTATATATATGTATATGTGTATATATATGTGTATATATGTGTATATATATGTGTGTATACATATATATATATATATAAAAAGAAAAAAGAAATCTTTGAACCCACTTGTGACCAGGAAGCCCATCCCTGCCTTGGAGTTGTCCCGCCTTTCTTGGCAGAACCAACAAATACCTTTCATGTACTGACTGATGTCTGCCTGTAACTTCTGTCCTTGTACAAGGTATGAACTCCAGCTGTGGCCCAGCCCCTGGGGCACATGTCCTCAGGGCCTCCAGGCCTTGGTCCTCACATTTGACTCCGGATAAACCTCTTCAAATATTTTACAGACTCTGGCTTTCTCGTTAACAAGCAGCTCACACATATAGTGTCTCAGCAGTGACAGATGCTGGCCCACCCCGAGGTCAGGATGACTCAGCAGGGATTGAGTTTGCGGGCGTCATGCTCCAAGGCCCGGAATAGGAGGTTGGTGCTCATTCCTCACATAGTGGGCAAATCCTAGGGCAGGGGAGGGGGGGCAATGCCAGAGAATGGTCCCCACCTGGGGCGGTCTGACGGCCAGAGATGCAGAGAAAGAGACGCCTCCCACGCTCCTGGAGGGCAGGTGCTGTGGCCACCCCGGAGGGTCCGCCTTCCAGAGGGAGAGTTCAGGATTTGGCCACAATCAGGGAAGGAGGCACTGGGGGGGGGCCCTCCTGTTGGAAAAGGGCAGCGGCAGGAAGGGGGTGCTGCCACAGGGCCTCTGGGGAGCGCGCGGGCACACAGTACCAATCTGCGTGCATACACATGCCCTGTCCCTGCAGATGGGCCACGCAAGGCCTGCCCATGGCCAGCCATCCAGGTGATGCTCCAGGGAGGGCCAGGCCTACTTGGGGGCAGAACCCTGTGGCTGTCCAGGATACCTGGATGTGAGTCTGGGAAGGATGGAGAAGGGTGGAGGAGTGCGAAGGGCCCCTAGGGGTTGCTGGGGAACACAGATGAGCCTCTGACCCACCTGTGTCCTTACCTGGGCCGACTGGGCCACCCAGTCTTGCTGACACCTCCCCAGACCCCTGGCACCCACCAGACTCCCCAGGCGTGGCTGTGTGCTCCGCTATGCCTGATGACAAACAGTGGCCTCAGTGTAGAGGTGGGCACTGTGGCCCCTGGCTCCTGGCTCGCTCCTGCCTCAGTTTCCCCAGCTCTAAATTGGGGATTATCACTGGCTTCAAAGGCTGGAGTGGAAAGTGGTGGCCAAGAGGTGCCAAGAGGTGGTGCAAGCATGTGCCCTACCTTGGACACCCCTCTACAGGGGGTGGCTCTCACCCTGGCCTGGGCCCTCGGGGGTCTGCGCAGCCCACTCTTCTGTGTGAAGGCGGCTGGTACACTTTCCTGGGCAAGATTCTGCACATTCTGCTGGATTATGAAAGAGGTCTGTGACCCAAGAAAAAAGGGTCAGAAGTGCCCGTTAGGCTCTCCTGTGTGGCTCAGGTCATGTGCTTCTGTGAACTCCCCCTACGGCCTTGCCCCGAATCCCGTGATGCAGCGTGACCTGCCCAGGCGCCGGCGGCACTTTCATGTCTGGCTGGGAAAGTCGGATTTCAGCACTAATCACTGGCTGCCGCCTGCAATGAGCCCACGGCTTGAGCTCTGGGGCCCACCCAGCTCCTTAAACATGCAGAACCTTTGCTAGCTGAGCCAGGGTCCCAGCTGTGCGGGGTTGGGGATGGAGGGGTGCAGGGATCCCAAAACCCAACCCGGGGCCAGGTTTTACACAGGCCTGGACTGAGAAGTGGGGCTACAGGCTACAGGTGCTTGATACCCTGGGGGGGCCCTGGAACAGGCCTGGACTGAGAAGCGGGGCTACAGGTTACAGGTGCTGGATACCCCAGGGGGGTGCTGGACACCCCAGGGGGGCAGATAGAGGCAGCCAGGCAGCCTGAAGACCCTGGGGCAAAACACACACAGGCCCCCTCTGCTCTCTGGTCACTGCTAACTGGCCAACTGGCCTTTGAGTCCACTGACCACAGCTAAGCCCACAGCCATCAAAACCCACCCCTTACACCCTTCACCCTTTAGGGAGGGGCTCAGAGACAGTTGTGGCGATTCCTACTTCCACCCACAGCCCCCCGACCCTGGGCCTGTGCCGAGTGTGGGTGGGTGACATCATCTCGCACCCAGAGCTCCAGACTAAAGGAAACCCTGGCTCCTGTCTCTGGCTCTTCCCTCCCTCTCTTTGTTCCCTTGCTCCTTCCTTCTTTTTGCCAAAGGAGAAGATAGTGAGGCTGAGGGCTGCTCAACGTGCACAGTGAGCAGGAGATACAAGCATGTGGAGGGACGGTCACAGCCCATGCAACTGGCACCTTCACACGCGGAGGCCTGCGATTCCCAGACACCTGGCGCTGGGGCAAATCCCATTCCACAGCCAGAAACAGGCTCGGCGGGGCCAGGTGGATTTCTCAAAGCCTTGGTTGCTTTTGGCCTGATGCTAGCTGGACAATGTCTCAGCTCACAGGTTCCTAAACGCACACCCGCCCACACCAATCTGCTGAGGAGTGACAGCCATGGGGAGGAGACCCACCTCACTCCAGGGACCCTGGCACCGTCTCCCATGAGGCCAGGTGTCCTCAGCCACCCGCAGCCAGAGTCCCGCGAGACCGACGGACGGCCTGCCCCTGCGTGACGGCACGCCTGGGACTGTCCCAGCAGGCTCCCATGCTTCACCCAACTGCGACAGGGAAACAGGAGGGGGCTACTTCTGCTTTCAAGGCATGGAGGAGCTGTCTGCAGGCCACTTCCCGAACACCTATGCGCTTGGGGAACTGACTGAGACTGAGCCGGGGTATCTTCTCCACGATGCGGTGAGCCCATCAGGCCCTTCTTCTGAGAGCACCTCCCTGGAGGTGGAAGCCCCTGAGGCCCACAGCATCTTCTGAACCTGTGAGCTCCCACTTATTTACTGAGAGCTCACCTGGGCCAGTGCCGGTCCACGGCTGTGGCCGGGACTTTGAGTAGATGCTACCCTACTTGCTATGCAGAGCCAGCTGGGGCCCAGGGAGGTCAGATAACTGCCCAAACCAAATCCAGGCCCAGCCAGAATCTCAACTCCAGCCTTTGCGCCTTCTGATAAAACCCAGCATCGCTTGAATTTCCAGTACACGCTGCCAAGTCTTCGTTAAGCAATAAATAACCCACACAACCCTACTGTCATGACAAGTTCCATATGGCCATCCAGAAAGAGACACATAGAGCTGGTTCCTCTCACCTTTATGACCAGTGAAAAGCGCACCAACACGAAGACACGCGTGAAAGGACCTCATCTCCTAACCAGACTGACAAGCAAGGGATTTTTTCCACTCACCGTCAGTGGGATGGTTCTAAGCACCGAGGCCAACCCATTTCACACGATTATTTCACAAAAAGAAACTTTCTGTGGGACGTGCCTGGGCTACTGAAAAGACAGCCAGCAAAACTGAGAACCTTGTTCTCAAATCCGTACCCTCTCCCAAAGCAGCCTCAGAGGCCCGAGGGCTGAGGATCCAGACCCGAAAGCCACTGTACCTTCTGTAGGATCAGGCTCAAGGACTAAGGGGGTAAAAGGTGCCCTTTCCCTTCCTAAGCAGAAAATTCTGGAACCCAACCTTACGTGTGATCATTTAAAAAAAAAAAAAAATCAGCTGGGTACACTGGCTCACACCTGTAATCCCAGCACTTTGGGAGGCCGAGGTGGGCGGATCACCTGAGGTCAGGAGTTCGAGACCAGTCTGGCCAACATGGAGAAACCCTGTCTCTACTAAAAAATGCAAAATTAACCAGGCATGGTGGTGCATGCCTGTAATCCCAGCTACTCGGGAGGCTGAGGCAGGAGAGTCGCTTGAACCCGGGAGGCAGAGTTTGCAGTGAGCCGAGATCATGCCATTGCACTCCAGCCTGGGCAAAAAGAGCGAAATTCCGTCTCAAAATAAATAAATAAATAAATAAATAAATAAATAAATAAATAAATAAAATCACTTTCTATGGCTTTTCACTGCTCCAGGAACAATGTCCACAGATAAAACGCCCAGCCTCTCCTTCACACCCTGGAGCGCCCATCCTGCCCACTGGTCCGGGCTCCAGGCTGCCCCCTGCACCTGTCAGAAGTCCCCCTACAAGGGCAGGGTCTCCCTTCCTGGGACATCCACTGCCCTTCTCCGAGCTGAAGTCAGAACGACCTGAGAATCAGCTTGGAGTTCTACCAGCCTCAGCCAAGCCCACCTCTGCGACAGCACTCCTTTCGAGGGGGCACCAGCTGCAGGGAGTCTGTCCCTTACAGACCCGTGACCCCGTGACAGATGAATAAAGTACAGACACACAGATATTCTGCTCTGCCAGTCCAGCTGAGGGTCCCAGCCGCTTATAGGCTCCCTGCTGAGTCCTGTAAACAGTTGCTACTTGGCCCTGATCAGCTAGTCAGACGCGCATTTATTCAGTATGATTAATTAACAAAAGCTTGAGTCAACACCATTAGAGTGTAACAGACATTGTGGACTTCCCGAGTAAAAAGCATTTAAGCACCCAGGGTCTTAAGATTATATGAGTAAACAAGCTAGCTAGGTAAACTACTCTGCCTTTCTTTTATTTCTATGTTTATTTGTTTAACTAAAGGTAAAGGGATCAGGCCGCCTTCAGCCAGAGCTAATTACCAAAGTTATGCCAACTTCTCGGCCTTCCAAGATTTGTGTCTATTTCTATAACTATCTCTAATATCTTTCCCACCAGAATGATTGAACCCCAACACACCTCCGTCTCTCAGCAGGGTCTGCCTGTTCAGAGAACACAACTTCTCCTTCTTGCCTTACACACAGGGGCAAGAATAGGTTCACCCTTGCAGAGAGCACATCCCTTTCTGTTACTGAAAATCACTTTCCAAAAAAAAAAAAAAAAAAAGCAACACATACACACATACTCACCACATACACAGGTGGGTCAGAGAAAAAAAACAAGTACAAATGGCTTAGGGACATGAGAAGTGTGGCCCTAACTTTCGCTGAAAGGGATCCTATTAACATTAACCCTCACCTCTGGGTCAGAGAGGGTTGGCACTCTACAGCCTGCCTTGAGGCTTTACCTACTGGGACCAAAAGGACTGCTGGAAAGCTATTTTAGGCCGGGTGCGGTGGCTCAAGCCTGTAATCCCAGCACTTTGGGAGGCAGAGGCGGGTGGATCACCTGAGGTCAGGAGTTCAAGACAAGCCTGGCCAACATGGTGAAGCCCTGTCTCTGCTAAAAATACAAAAAATTAGCTGGGCATGGTGGGCACCTGTAGTCCCAGCTACTCGGGAGGCTGAGGCAGGAGAGTCGCTTGAACCCGGGAGGTGGAGGTTGTAGTGAGCCGAGATCACGCCATTGTACTCCAGCCTGGGTAAGAGCAAAACTCCATCTCAAACATAAAATAAAATAAAAATAAATAAATAAAAATACTTTTTAAAGCCCTATTACCACAAAATAAATCCAGGAACGTGTGACTTGGTACAGCCTCTTTGGAAGGCACATTAGCTATTACATTAGAATCCACACCCCGCCGGGTGCGATGGCTCATGCCTGTAATCCTAGCAAATTGGGAGGCTGAGGCACATGCCCGTAATCCTGCACAGGCAGGAGAATTGCTTAAAACCAGGAAGCAGAGGTTGCAGTGAGCAACGAGCCTGGGCGACAGAGACAGACTCTGTCTCAAAACAAAAACAAAAACAAAAAACAAAAAACCACATAACCTTTTCCCATTTGCACAAAGCTGGGAAACCCCAAATGCCCTCCACAGGGGTCTACGGGGGGTCAGGGGGTGGGGGCGGTGAGCACACTTGTTCCTGCCGACACAGGGAAGTCTTCTTAGCAGCTAAAGAGGGCAGCCTCTGCGTACCGCCTGGGAACATGGCAAAACCATTTTAGGCTTAAAAAAAAGGTGGAGAACAAGTTGTACATTATGATCTTTTAAATAAATAGGCCAGCGATATATTTGTAACAGAAGCAGCTCTGGAAGCGTACACTGTCAGCCACAGAAACTCTGGGGCTGGGGGGTGGTAAAGGAGGAGAAATGTGTCACCCAGGCAGGAGCTTAGTGGCACCATCTTGGCTCCCGAGTTCAAGCAGTTCTCCTGCCTCAGCCTCCGAGTAGCTGGGACTACAGGTGTGCGCCGTCACGCCCAGCTGATTTTTGCTTTTTTTTTTGAGACAGAGTTTCGCCTTGTTGCCCAAGCTGGAGTGCAGTGGTGCGATCTCAGCTCACTGCAACCTCCACCTCCTGGGTTCTAGTGATTCTCCTGCCTCAGCCTCCCGAGTAGCTGGGATTACAGGTATCTGCCACCACACCTGGCTAATTTTTTGTATTTTTAGTAGAGATGGGGTTTCACCATGTTGGCCAGGCTGGTCTCGAACTCCTGACTTCAGGTGATCCGCCTGCCTCGGCCTCCCAAAGTGCTGGGATTACAGGCATGAGCCACAGTGCCTGGCTGGTTTGAATTTTTAAATGATGATGAATTCATGTATGACTGATGTGATTTTTATTAGAAAGAGAAAACTAGGCAGCGCCCCATCCTATGTCTCCTTCCTGGTGGCCAATGAAGCATTTCCCACAACTCACTCCTGGCACCAACAGGAAGTCAGACACTCAGCACCCAGGGGCTGCTTTTTTTTTTTTTTTTTTTTTCTTTGAGACAGGCTTGCTCTGTCACCCAGGCTGGAGTGCAGTGGCAGGATCTCAACTCACTGCAACCTCCACGTCCCGGAGCATGCCTCAGACTCATAAGTAGCTGGGATTACAGGCGTGAGCCACTATGCTCAGCTAATTTTTGTATTTTTAGTAGAGATGGGGTTTCACCATGTTGGTCAGGCTGGTCTCGGACTCCTGACCTCGGTAGATCTGCCCATCTTGGCCTCCCATAGTGCTGGGATTATAGGCGTGGGCCATCACACCCAGCCAACAGGGATCCATTTTTTAAAGGTAAGAGTGCAGGCTGCATAAGCTATTATCCATGTCGTTACATACCAGGCGGACATGTACCTAGGCGGGAGGGAGACTGAACCAGTGAAATTCTAATGACAAAAAAAAGAAATCAGAGTCATCCCTTACATTCACATGTCCAACGCCCAGCTGGAAGCCACAGGCTCTCCCCACTCCTGTCCTACTACGATTTTTCCCGGCTTTGACCTGCATGGTGGTGCGGCTGCTCCGCTCAGAGCCTCAGAGAAACCACACAGAGCCCTGCTGAGTCTTGCCCTCGGGGCATTCTCACATTTATGAAGAAATGCCTCCCCCTCCCCCTTCTCCCCAAAGTACGGTGTGGCAGAAAACAGCGCCAACAGGTCCTGCCAGTCAGAAGCCACTCCCCTGATTTCATGGCTCAAGACCCCAACTGTAAATTAGCCCTTCCCACCTTGAATATGTACACACACTACTGAGATCCAGGCCGATCCTTGCCATGGGATGAACCTGAGAATTGCCAAGACCCGCCTTCCCACGCCACCCAACCAAATCATGTGGTATCTGGTACAAGTGATTTTCCCCCTGAAATCCCACAAGAAAACTATTTTGAGGCCGGGCACGGCGGCTCACGCCTGTAATCCCAGCACTTTGGGAGGCCGAGCCGGGCGGATCACAAGGTCAGGAGATCGAGACCATCCTGGCTAACACGGTGAAACCCCATCTCTACTAAAAATATAAAAAAAATTAGCCGGGCGTAGTGGCGGGCGCCTGTAGCCCCAGCTACTCGGAAGGCTGAGGCAGGAGAATGGCGTGAACCCGGGAGGCGGGGCTTGCAGTGAGCCGAGATCGCGCCACTGCACTCCAGCCAGGGCGACAGAGCAAGACTCCATCTCAAAAAAAAAAAAAAAAGAAAAGAAAAGAAAACTATTTTGAAAAGCAGTTCTCTCTGGCCTGGTGAAGAACACACCAGCACCATGCCCACCAAAACAGGAGCCCCATGGCTGTTTCCCAGAGTAACCTGGGACCCGCACGTCCATTCACTGCAACACAGACTGAATCTGCAGCCAAGCTCCGCTCTCTCACTACTGGGCAACCCTCAGGGGGGATCCCTTAGCCTAAACCAGCACCAGTCACTACCCGCACACGATTTTATTACTACTGTTTTCTTATGAGTCAGCCCGTGTCACTGATTCCTGACGAGCTGGTGTGGAGAGCAGAAATGAATAATTTTCTTTTCAACTGCAATTTCCTTTTCAACAACCAGTCAGCAATCGGAGCTTTAACAATAAACCGGTTGCTCAGTTACTCCACGTGGGTGCCACGCAAGAGGCTGGGAGTATTGCTCAGCGGGGCCAACGGGAGGCTGGCACTTGCCTGAACCGCTTAAGTGGGGGAATGAAATGCCCACCGAAGGGCAGGGCAGGGACCCTGCTGTCCCGTCACTGAAGATATTCCCAGCCCGTGGGGAGAAGTGTAAACGAATGAATGAAAGAAACGCACGTGGTTTCTGGGACCAATGACCTTAGCCTAGAACTGCCGGGACGGTCCAGGAACGCAAAAATGTAGAGATGTGGGAGCCAGGGGCGTAGTGATGCAAGGATGCAGGGACCCAGGGACCACGACCTCCCAACCCCCGGCCCGCGCCCCGTACTCACGCACGCAGTGGCAGGCCATGAGCTTGGCTGCCTCCTCGGGCACCGGGCAGCTGGGGAAGAGCGGCTTGAGCAGGTAGGTGGCGAAGACCAGGGCCACGATGTACTGCGATGAAGGCCGGATGACGAGCAGCTCGATCCAGAGCTTGAGGAAGGCGGGCAGCGAGCCGTAGACGTCCAGCATGTAGGCGTAGTCGCCGCCCGATTTGGAGATGGTGGTGCCCAGCTCCGCGTAGCAGAGCGCGCCCACGATGGAGAAGACGCCGCACGCGGCCCACATCACCAGCGCCAGCCCCGGCGAGCCTGCCTCCTTAAGCACGCCCGTGGGCGTCACGAAGATGCCCGAGCCGATGATGGCGCCCACGATGATGGCCACGCCGTTGAGTAGCGTGATGTTCCGCTGCAGGGTCACGCCCTCGCCCTCGCCTGCCGGCGCCGCGCCGTCCGCGCGCTTGGAGGCCAGCATCTTCTCCCGCGCCTCTTCCTTCTCCTCGGCCACCGGGGCCGCTAGCGCCCGCCGCTTCGGGCCCGCACCCGCCATGCTCTGCTTACCGGCCGGGCCTGGGACACCCGAGAGCCGCAGCCGAGCGAGGATTGTGCGCGCCGCTCGCCGCCCGCAGCTGCGTCAAGAACCCCGCCCGCGCCGCCTTTTAGGCCCCGGCCCGCTGGCCCCGCCCACCGTCCGCGGCTCCTCCCCGCCCCGTGGCCCGGCCGCGGCTCTCAGCCCCGCCCCCTCGACCCAGCTCGGAGCACGTGCGTCCTCCGGCCTAGCCTGGCAGGCGATTCCCAGGCCCGCGTGGTCCTCGAAGGCCCCCGTCCTCCTGCGCCATGGAGACCCCGGCCTCGCGACCTACCCCCCCGGCGCCCGCGTCATCCCACCCCGTCCTCCCGGGTGCGCCTGGGCGGGGCCTGGCAGTCAGGGCGAGCCCCTTCACCCACTGGCCCGCAGCCTCTCGTCAAGCCTGGGAGCGGGCAGTGCACCAGGGCTGGCCTGAGGCCAAGGATGGGGTTTGGGGTACCCCCCGAAGGGAACCTAGGCTCCTGTCCCGGATGGGCCTAGGGGATGGAACCGCCCCCACAACCAGCTCCTGGGGCACGGGGGAGGGATGAGAGGATGACCTGAGGGGAAGCTCCTGCAGCCTCCTTCCAGCCTGGGGGCTGCATCAATGTGGCTGGTGAGCCGCGAACTGAGACGAGGGAAGAACCGAACCGAGGCCACCCAGTAATTCCCATTGTATCCCAAAAGAATCTTGCCAAAGATGGCGATCCGGTGCCCGTAGCTTTGAGAAGCAGTAATAACACAGGCTTTGGGAAGCCAGCAATCTGCCTGAGCTCAATTTAATCAACAGAACCGGGGGTTCACCGGGAGCCATAAGACCCCCACCCCCAAATCTAGCTGGGGAATTCAAAGGCAGGCTTCAGTGTGAAGGGGCTTTAAAGCTTGTTATTCCTGGGGAATGCGAGAGGCATCTTAGCTAAAAAGGGTTGAGAGGTAATTTCAGTTAGAGGCGAGAGCAGGATGCCAAGGCTCCTAGGCCTGGAAACGGGAAGGAATATAAATACTGCCCCGAGATTGACCAGACTGGTGAGCAGCCAAAGACCTCTTCAAAGGGTGTGTGTGGGTCAGGGAGGAAGCTCCTCGGTATCACCCCCACCCGGGGTTCCTTGGCGTGTGTCCTAACGAGTCCTTGGAAGCTCACAGCAGGCATGTGGGGAGGCCTTTGTTCTGGGTGAGCGTTCAGCCTCCCAGGGCAAACACGCAAACACCGGTTGCAGAGCTGGGTGTTCACAGCAAGACAGTCTGCTGGGCAGATGCCTCTGGAATCCACAGAATCCTGAACAATAGCCGTGGTGGAGGGGGGGTCAGAATCCCTGTCATGCTGGGACCTCTAGCTGCAGCCAGGAATGTCCAGGCCCCACCCCGGGGAGGAGGCGGCTGAGGAATGCCACGGCTTGTCATTCTGGACCTTGCTCGCCCCCCGGTATGGCGGGCATTCCTCTGCAGTGATAAAACCAAGCGAAATCTCAGCAGCCCAGGCAGCCACCGGCAGGGGAGTGCGGAGGTCACACAGATACTAACTTGTAATCTGCCGTCCACGCTGCTGGCTGTGGAAGGTGCAGAGAGCCCTCCATCCGCCCTATTCTTCCCGCTGTGCCTGCAGAGGGAAGGAGACAGTACCACCATGGCTGGGCAAACTCACCGAGTGCTCACTGAGTCCTCCCCTAGATAGCTTCTTGTGCAATAGGGTAGGTGCCAGTTAGGAGCAAGGTTAGAGATTGTAGGGCCAGATTTTTTGCTTAGGTTCAACTACGCAAAATAAAAATAGACTTTGCATGCATTTCAGGCACTGGGCTGACGACCGGCCACCAGGGAGGCTCCGCCCCACTTCTTAGCTTTGGCCCCAACGTTAGTCTTGTTGCTGCTCTCAGGCGTGCTCTGCGTGTGAAAGATGACTTGGAGGCTGGGCGCGGTGGCTCACGCCTGTAATGCCAGCCCTTTGGGAGACCAAGGTGGGAAAATCTCTTGAGCCCAGGAGTTCAAGACCAGCCTGGGCAACATAGGGAGACCCCGTCTCTACAAAAAATACAAAAACTAGCCCAGCGTGGTGGTGGTGCACCTGTAGTCCCAGCTGCTGGGGAGGCTGAGGTAGAAGGATCACCTGAGCTGGGGAAGGTTGAGGCTGCAGTGAGCTGAGATCACACCACTGCACTCCAGCCTGGGTGACAAAGCAAGACTCCATCTCAAAAACAAAACAAAACAAAAAATAACAAAAAAAAAGAGGGTGAAAGGCAGCCCCAGAGTGGGAGAAGAGATTTGTAAAATGGACAAAGGCCTTATAATTGGAATATATAAAGAACTCCTAAAAATCACTAAGAAAACCACAGACAGCCCAAGAGAAAAATGGGCAAATGGCTCAAGTAGGTGTCTGGTGAAAGAGGATATGCAGATGGCCAATGAATCTGCACAAAGTGCTCCACATCATTAATCATTAGGGAAGTGCAAATTAAATCCACAGGAGACACCTGGGCACACCCTCCAGAAAGCACACAATGACCTGCTGGCAAGGACAGGAACGACCACTTTGGAAAACTCTTTGGCAGCACAGCCAAACTGAGCCTTTCCACTCGAAAATGCCCTTTGCTCAGAACCCAGCAGCAGCTCCAAAGTCTCCACCCAGCCTATCGGGCCCCAGTACCCACCCTTGCCTCCCATGCCTCTCTCCTCACCCCTGCACTTGGCTGCCTCACCCTCGGGCTGCACCTTGAACACCAGAAGGGCGCTCCTGCCTCCAGCCTCTGCCTGGAATTCTCTGCCCTCGGGTAGCCATGTGGTTCACTCCTCCTTTGGTCTCTGCCCAAATGGCCCCTGTAGAAGAGACCTCCCCACCCAGCCATGTCCTCTCCCTGTGACTTACCACCCCAGACTTTCTGTGTTGATGCATCGTGGTCTACCTCCTTCCGTCAGAACGTGAGCTCCGAGGCAAAGGCTCTTCAGACCTGAAACAGTCTAGGCTCTGTCCCCAGAGTCTAGAATAGAGCCTGCCATGTAATTGGCACTCAATAAATGTTACATGAATTAATGGAAACCATCCTGGCACGAGTGGTAGCTCTCTTTCCACCAAAAGAATGAGCTTGCCAAGAGAGAGAGACAACATCACGAAAGAGAGACAGAAAAGCCACACTCAGACCCAACTTTGAGTTCTGGATCAAGTCTTTTTTTTTTTTTTTTTTTTTGAGACAAAGTTTCGCTCTTGTTTCCCAGGCTGGAATGCAATGGCGCGATCTCGGCTCACTACAACCTCTGCCTCGCGGGTTCAAGCAATTCTCCTGCCTCAGCCTCCCGAGTAGCCGGGATTACAGGCATGCACCACCAAGCTCGGCTAATTTTGTATTTTTAGTAGAGATGGGGTTTCTCCATGTTGGTCAGGCTAGTCTGGAACTTGGCCTCCCAAAGTGCTGGGTTTACAGGCGTGAGCCACAGCGCCTGGCTCCTATGTTATTTTTTAGGAGCTTTATTGTTTTACCTTTCCTATTTAGATCTATAGTCTGTCAGGAATTAATTTTTGTGTGTGCTGTGAGGTAGGGGTGTGAGGTATGGTGAGAAAAAAGATTCATGGTTCCCCATTTGGATATCCCGTTGGCTCGGTGGGGTGGCTCATGCCTGTAATCCCAGCACTTTGGGAGGTCAAAGCAGGAGAACTATTGGAGCTCAGGGGTTCAGGACCAACCTGGGCAACATAATGAGACCCTGTGGATCAACAGATGAATTGATCGATCAATCAATACGTAGATAGATAAGTATCCAAATGATCCAAAACTATTCACAGAAAAGCCCAACCATTCCCTACAGCATGACTCAGGGATCACAAATGTGTGGAACCTTCTAGACATGCTATTCTTTTTCATTGGTTGATTTGTCCTTCTCTGACAGGTACCACATTATCTTAATTAATATAGCTTTTTATTTTTATTTATTTATTTTAGATGGAGTCTCACTCTGTCGCCCAGGCTGGAGTGCAGTGGCGTGATCTCAGCTCACTGCAAGTTCTGCCTCCCGGATTCAAGCGATTCTCCTGCCTCAGTCTCCTGAGTAGCTGGGATTACAGGCATGAGCCACCGCACCTAGCTAATTTTTGTATTTTTAGCAGAGACAGGGTTTCGCCATGTTGGCCAGGCTGGTGTCGAACTTCTGACCTCAGGTGATCTTCCCACCTCGGCCTCCCAAAGTGCTGGGATTACAGGCATGAGCCACTGCGCCTGGCCTACTATAGCTTTTGAAATAGGTCTTGACATCAAATTGTGTGTGTTTTCTGGTTTTATCCTGCCAGATTACTTTTGGTTGTATTTTTGGTAGAGACGGGGTTTCACCATGTTGGCCAGGCTGGTCTCAAACTTCTGACCTCAAGTGATCCACCTGCCTCGGCCTCCCAAAGTGCTGGGATTACAGGCGTGAACCACTGTGCCTGGCCTCACAAGAATTCCTTTTTATTTTGAGACGGAGTTTTGCTCTTGTTGCCCAGGCTGGAGTGCAATAGTGCAATCTTGACTCACTGCAACCTCTGCCTCCCGGGTTCAAGCAATTCTCCTGCCTCAGCCTCCCAAGTAGCTGGGATTACAGACACGCACCCAGCTAATGTTTGTGTTTTTTATAGAGACAGGGTTTCACCGTGTTGGCCAGGATGGTCTCGATCTCCTGACCTCGTGATCCACCCACCTCGGCCTCCCAAAGTGCTGGGATTAAAGGCGTGAGGCAATGCGCCCGGCCAGGAGTTTTTACAAGGAGGAAGCTGAAGCTGGAAAGGCACGGAAAAGGATCCTCCCCTAGAGCCTCAGAAGGAAGCAGCCGTGCGGACACCTTGGTGTCAGGCTTCTGGCTCACTGAACCGTAAGAGAATCAGTCTCCATTGTTTTAAGCCACCAAGTTTGTGGTACTTTGTTACAGTGAAACTAAGCACCCTGCACTTGCGTTGGGTGCCATGGCACACCCCTCCATCCCAGCGTTATGTTCCCCACGGTACTTACACATCTTTCTTTCACTTGCAGCTGAAACGTACTTTGACTAAAACAATAACCTCATTCTCTCTTTTTAATTTCAGAAGTCACGTACAATCACATTGTGAAACTTGGGAAACAACGCTTCCTTCCTTCAAAGTCAGTTCTGCTATTCATGTGGACCTAATGTCTCTAGGATCTTGTGCCCTCATTAGTGGCCTGGAAGGACGCCCAGACCTTCCAGTTCATCAGGGGTTGAAGTGGACGATAGTTGTTCACCGTCATCTTCTTCTCTTCACCAAGTGCAGAAAACAGGAGAGTACGAAATGCAGAGAGCTGGAATAGAGGGCAGCCAGGGTGAGCTTGGTATGAGTGCAGGGTGAGCCAGCCCCCAGGTGTCCCTCAGGCCTTGTGTGGTCTCCTCCCATGCTGAATCAGGATGGCCCGAAATGACCAGTAAAGATGGTGGAAGTGATGGTGTGTGCAGGGCCAGCTTATAAAAGGCATTGCCGCTTCCGCCTTGGTCTTTAGGATCACTTGCTCTGGGGGGAAGCTGGTCACCATATTGGGAGGGTACTCAAGCAGCCCCGAGGAGAGGCCCACAGGGAGAGGAGCTGAGGCTCCCAGCCAACTGCCAGCGCCAACTTGCCATCCACTTGAGAGGGCCAACCTTGGAATGAATCCTCTAGCCCTAGTTGAGCTTTCAGATCGCTACAGTCCCAGCTGACACTGGGCTACAATTCATGAAAGATGGTAAGCCAGAGCCACCCAAATTCACAACCCAAGGAAACTATGGGAGATAATAAATGATTGGTTTTTGTTGTCATTGTTGTTGTTGTTTGAGACAGTGTTTCCCTCTTGTTTCCCAGGCTGGAGTGTCATTGGCAAGATCTCAGCTCGCTGCAACCTCCGCCTCCCAGGTTCAAGCAATTCTCCTGCCTCGGCCTCCCGAGTAGTTGGGATCACAGGCATGAGCCACCATGCCCGGCTAATTTTTTTTTTTTTTTTTGAGATGGAATTTTGCTCCTGTTGCCCAGACTGGAGTGCAATGGTGTGATCTTTGCTCACCGCAACCTCCGCCTCCTGGGTTCAAGGGATTCTCCTGCCTCAGCCTCCTGAGTAGCTGGGCTTACAGGCATGCGCCACCACGCCCAGCTAATTTTGTATTTTTAGTAGAGATGGGGTTTCTCCATGTTGGTCAGGCTGCTCTCAAACTCCTGACCTCAGGTTATCCACCTGCCTCGGCCTCCCAAAGTACTGGGTTTATAGGCGTTAGCCACTGTGCTCAGCCTAATTTTGTATTTTTAGTAGAGACAGGGTTTCACCATGTTGGTCAGGCTGGTCTTGAACTCCTGACCTCAGGCGATCCACTCGCCTCGGCCCCCAAAGTGCTGGGATTACAGGCATGAGCTACTGCACCCGGCCCAAATGATTGTTTTCTAAAGCCACTATGTTTTGCAGCTATTTGTTACACAGCAATAGATAACTAACACCTATAATGTAAATGCTAAAGTAACATTTGAATTTACTTTTCACTCAAGGAACTAAAAGACTACTTTTTATGGCTGGATGCGGTGCCTCATGCCTGTAATCCCAGCACTTTGGGAGGCCAAGGTGGGTGAATCACCTGAGGTCAGGAGTTTGAGACCAGCCTGGCCAACATGGAGAAACCCTGTCTCTACTAAAAATACAAAATTAGCCAGGTGTGGTTGTGCATGCCTGTAATCCCAGCACTTTGGGAGGCCAGGTGTGGTGGCTCATGCCTGTAATCCCAGCACTTTGGGAGGCCAAGGTGGGTGAATCACCTGAAGTCAGGAGTTTGAGACCAGCCTGGCCAACATGGAGAAACCCCATCCCTACTAAAAATACAAAATTAGCCAGATGTGGTGGCTCATGCTTGTAATCCAGCTCCTCGGGAGGATGAGGCAGGAGAAGCGCTTTAACCTGGGAGGTGGAGCTTGTGGTGAGCGAGATCACGCCATTGCACTCCAGCCTGGGCAACAAGAGGGAAACTCTGTCTCAAAAAAAATAAATAAATAAAAAATAAAAAAAGACTTTTTATGTATTATCTCACTTGTTCACAGAATATACTTACGAACTCTGTGAGGCAACTCACACATTTAATTAAATTCAGAAGTGAGATTATGTCTACATGCTGACAGCATACTGGGCCAGTTAGCCCTGCGTGATGATCCAGCGCCCCCTAGAATTGTGCGCGCATGGTGCACCTGGCCTCCTGGGCCATGACCACAGTGTGCTCATCCACATTTGTGGTCTGCACATTTGTTGACTGTCTCAGAAAGGCAGCCTTTCTCCTCCCCTGGAAAACTCCCCGCCTTCCAGGACATGTGCCTCCCTGGCTCCCCTGCTCAGGATAAGGGGCTCCTGCCCTGCATTTTTATATGACACCGGCCACCCTGGCTTAATACTATTGGCTTCGTTTCTACTTTCCTGCCAGACAGCAGTATTCTGAGACGAATGCCCTGTTCCTGTGCCGCCCCTCCACACCTGCCCCCCTCCCACCCTCTCTTGGTGGCACAGACCCAGAATGGGCACTTGTCACATATATGCTTGTTGAGTAGCATAAGGGCCTTGCTGACAAGGGGCCACCTTCAACAAAAGCCTTCCCCATGTCCAACAGCTCTGGTTTGGAGGTAGGCAGATATTCTGCATCCCACATCTCCACGTGCAAATGACATCATGCCATGGTTTGTATATAAGGGAATATTTTCACAGGCCCAGGAGACTGAAAGACCCTCTAAGAGCTCACCTGGAGCCCTCAGAAAGAGATGAGCCAGAGATGCTAAGTCCTGCTGCGACTGCTGAGAAATGTCTGCCGGGCGGGGGCGGGGCATAGGCAGCATGCCTGTGGCTCTGAACTGCCTTGGACAGACAGAATTGCTATAGATTCTTAAGATTTCCAGAAAAAAATGATAGTATAACTTTTATTTATTTTTTATTTTATTTTTTTGAGACAGTCTCACTCTGTCGCCCAGGTTGGAGTGCAGTGGTGCCATCTCAGCTCACTGCAACCTCCGCCTTCCAGGTTCAAGTGATTCTCCTACCTCAGCCTCCCAAGTAGCTGGCACTACAGGCACACGCCACCATGCCCGGCTAATTTTTGTATTTTTATTTATTTATTTATTTGAGATGGAGTTTTGCTCTTGTTGTCCAGGCTGGAGTGCAGTGGTGCGATCTCGGCTCACTGCAGCCTCCACCTCCCGGCTTCAAGTTATTCTCTTGCCCCAGCTTCCCAAGTAGCTGATATTACAGGCGTGCACCACCACGCCTGGCTAATTTTGTAGATTTAGTAGAGACGGGGTTTCACCATGTTGGTCAGGCTGGTCTCGAACTCCTGGCCTCAAGTGATCTGCCTGTCTCAGCCTTCTAAAGTGCTAAAATTATAGGCATGAGCCATGACGCCCAGCCCAATAGTATAACTTTTAAAAATGTATACAAGGATTATTAACTAATTTTCGAAAAAAAAAAGCAATGAAACTATTTAGATAAGAAAAAGGAGGCCGGGCTCGGTGGCTCATGCCTGGAATCCCAGCACTTTGGGAGGCCAAGGTGGGCAGATCACCTGAGTTCAAGACCAGCTTGGCCAACATGGTGAAATCCCGTCTCTACTAAAAATACAAAAATTAGCCAGGCGTGGTGATGGGTGCCTGTAATCCCAGCTACTCGAGAGGCTGAGGCAGGAGAATTGCTTGAACCCAGGAGGTGGAGGTAGTAGTGAGCTGAGATCGAGCCACTGCACTGCAGCCTGGGCGACAGAGCGAGACTCTGTCTCAAAAAAAAAAAAAAGAAAGAAAAGAAAAAGGAAGAAAACAAAAACCATGCAGACCCATGACGCTGGGACAACTCCCATGGATGCCTTGTGTGTCTGTGTGTGATAGATTAGGGCATTGCTCAGAACATGCTCGCTGTGATCACTGGAACCGCTGTCCAATCTCAACAAGCTCCTACTTCAATTGGAACTTTCTTCTTGTGTAAGAACACCCCAAATGCATGAAAGAATATATATAACTCCTCAAGGCTCTTATGCAGCATCTTAGTGACGCTGCCAAGCAAGAGAGACGCCTTCCATGAAGCGCCATCATGCCAGTTACGGGCACGGCTCACTTGGCTTGGGGCCACTTCAACGGGCTCCTTCTGGATGATCCAGGTGACCGACTCGGTCAGCGGCGGGGTGGTGAGCGAGCCCACATAGGTCCAGTAATCCCAGCAGGTGGGCAGCAGAGCGGAGGGGTCGAAGGGGCGCATGGCCGCCCGCGCGTCCTGAGAGACCGAGAAGCCAAGGCCGTGTCAGTCCTCAGGCGGGACTAGGAGCTTCCATCTTGTCTCAGCACGGGAGGCCTTCATGGTGCTTGGAAGGAAGTGCTTTCCCCGAGATAAGGCCATGAGGCCACTGCTGTCACACTTGGAAGCAGTGATAAGAAAATGTGACCCTTCTATACAGAGCAAGGATTCCTGCCAACTTACATTGGTGGGAATTACATTACATTACACCAGCTTATGTTGGTGCTTACATTTTTCCTTTTGAAGTCATTTCTTGGGGCGCAGTAGCTCACCCCTGTAATCTCAGCACTTTGGGAGGCCGAGGCGGGTGGATCACTTGAGGTCAGGAGTTCGAGACCAGCCTGGTCAACATGATGAAACCCTGTCTCTACTAAAAATACAAAAATTATCCAGATGTGGTGGTGGGCGCCTGTAGTCCCAGCTACTCAGGAGGCTGAGGCAAGAGAATTTCTTGAGCCCAGGAGGCAGAGGTTGCAGTGAGCTGAGATCACGCCACTGCACTCCAGCCTGGGCAACAGAGTGAGACTCTGTCTCAAATAATAATAATAATAATAATAATTAATAAATAATAAAAACGCCATTTCTTTTAGCATACCTTGGCTGCAAAAAATATTACTTTTTATTGTGATAAAATATACATAACATAAAATTTACCATCTTAACCTTTTTTTTTTTTTTTGAGATGCAGTTTTGCTCTTGTTGCCCAGGCTGGGGTGCAATGGTGCGATCTTGGCTCACTGCAACCCTTCGCCTCCCAGGCTCAAGTGATTCTCCTGCCTCAACCTCCTGAGTAGCTGGGATTACAGGCACCCGCCACCACACCTGCTGATTTTGTATTTTTAGTAGAGACGGGGTTTCTTCATGTTGGTCAGGCTGGTTTTGAACTCCCAATCTCAGGTGATTCACCTGCCTCAGCCTCCCACAGTGCTGGGATGAGAGGCATGAGCCACCATGCCCAGCCCATCTTAACAATTTTTAAGTGTAAAGTTTCATGGCGTTAAATGCAGTCACATTGTGGTGCAACCATCTCCACCATCCGTCTCCAGAACTTTTCCATCATCCCAAACTCAAATTCTGTCCTGACCCCACTAAACACTATGTCCAGCTTCCTCCCCCAGGCCTGGCACCCACCATTCTGCTTCCATCTCTCTGAATCTGAGGACTCTGGGGACCTGATGTGGGTGGGATCCTGTGGTTTTTGTCTTTTGTGTCTGGCTTATTTCACTGGGCATAATGTCCTTCAGGTTTATCCACATTGGAGCATGTGTCAGGAGTCCCTGCATTGTTGCTTTTTTTTTTTTTTTTTTTTTCTGAGACGGAGTCTCGCTGTGTCACCCAGGCTGGAGTGCAGTGGTGTGATCTCGGCTCACTGCAAGCTCCGCCTCCTGGAGTTCAAGACCAGCTTGAACTCCTGGGTTCATGCCATTCTCCTGCCTCAGCCTCCCCAGTAGCTGGGACTATAGGCACCCGCCACCACGCTCGGCCAATTTTTTGTATTTTTAGTAGAGACGGGGTTTCACCATGTTAGACAGGATGGTCTCAATCTCCTGACCTCGTGATCCGCCCACCTCGGCCTCCCAAAATGTTAGGATTACAGGCATGAGCCACCGTGCCTGGCTTGCCTGGAGACATTTCTACTGCTACCTTACCGATCAGGGTATCCAGTATCTCCGTGATTACCTTCATCTGTCCCTGGAAACTGTGCCTGCCACCCTACGCTGCAGCCGTCCAGGGACTGGCAGGCCTCGGCCTAAAGGTCTGGAGGGTGGGCGACCTGCAAGACTCACAAGAGGGGAAGCCAACAGACATACCTATAGACGGAGTGCTGTGCCCCTGGTGCCGACAAGAAAGCCAAGGCTCGGGCTGGGTCAGCAACCGAATTCCAGTTTAGAGGCAGATTTGGTCGTGGACATGGCCAGCCACCTCAGTAAAATTAGAGAGGATTATTTTGCATTGAATACACTCACAGCCAAAAAACAAAAAAAAAGAGTCAGGGTCTTACTTTGTCAACTAGGCAGGAGTGCAATGATGCCATCATAGCTCACTGCAGTCTCTAATTCCTGGGCTCAAGCGATCCCCCCGCGTCAGTCTCCCAAGTAGCTAGGACACCATACCAGGGTTTAAAATTAATTGTTTGTAGCCAAGGGGTCTTGCCATCTTGCCCAAGCTGTTCTCCAACTCCTGGGCTCCAGTGATCCTCCTGCCTTGGCCTCTCAAAATATTGGGATTACAGGCATAAGCCACTGTGCCCAGCCAGCTCTTTTGGATATATACCCAGAAGTGTGTGATTGCTGAATCATAGGGTAGTTCTATTTATAACTTTTTATTTTTTTTATTTTTTTGAGGCAGAGTCTCACTCTGTCTTCCAGGCTGGAGTGCCGTGGCATGATCTCGGCTCATGGTGGTTGGGCCTGGCCGCAACACAGCCTTCATCAGCATCCCATGCCAACCAAGCACAACTCTGCACCTGTCCCTGGCCAGCACTGTGGGACAAGAGTCCAGTCCAAAGTGACAGAGTCCCTGTCTGCAAGGAAGATGGCCTCCCTGCTCAGCCACATCACATCACCTTGACTTTGCTGGGCCCTGGCCTTCCAAGGTGGAAGCCGGCAACCTAGATGCCTTGGGCTTGTCTCCTAACATCAAGCAGTGAGGGTCAGGGTCAAGAGAGGTGGCTGAGCTACCAGAAGGAAGCCCAGGAGTGTCCACGCCGGCAGACACATGCATCAGTTCTGTGCACACGTGTTCACGTTTATAATTATCCAGTTAATTAAAAAAAAAAAACAGCATTATAGGCTGGGCGAAGTGGCTCATGCCTGTAATCGCAGCACTTTGGGAGGCCAAGGCAGGCAGATCACCTGAAGTCAGGAGTTCAAGACCAGCCTGACCAACATGGCGAACCCCCGTCTCTACTAAAAATACAAAAATTAGCCAGGCATGGTGGCAGGTGCTTGTCATCCCAGCTACTCGGGAGACTGAGACACAAGAATTGCTTTAGCACAGGAGGCAGAGGTTGCAGTGAGCCAAGATTGCACCATTGCACTCCAGTCTGGGCAACAGAAAGAGACTCGGTCTCAAACAACAACAACAGCAACAAAACCCACAGCATTATTGTGATAGAATTCACATACCATGCAACTCTCCCATCTAAAGTGTACAACCTGGTTGGGCGCGATGGATCATGCCTGTAATCCCAGCACTTTGGGAGGCCGATGTGGGAGGACTGCTTGAGGCCAGGAGTTTGAGACCAGCCTAAGCAACATAACAAGAATCTGACTCTACAAAAAATACAAAAACTAGCCAGGTGCAGTGGTACATGCCTGTGGTCCCAGGTAGTTGGGAGGCTGAGGTGGGAGGATGGCTTGAGCCCCGGAGGTTGAGGCTGCAGTGAGCTGTGATCATACCACTGCACTCTAGCCTGGGTGACAGAGTGAGATCCTTTCTTAAAATAAGTAAATAGGCCGGGCACAGTGGCTCATGCCTGTAATCCCAGCACTTTGGGAGGCCAAGGCGGGTGGATCACCTGAGGTCGGGAGTTCGAGACCAGCCTGACCAACATGGCGAAACCGCGTCTCTACTAAAAATACAAAATTAGCCAGGCGTGGTGGTGCATGCCTGTAATCCCAGCTACTCGGGAGGCTGAGGCAGGAGAATCGCTTGAACCTGGGAGGCAGAGGTTGCAGTGAGCTGAGATCATGCCATTGCACTCCAGCCTGGGCAACAAGAGTGAAACTCCATCTCAAAAAAAAAAAAAAAAACAGAAAAAGTAAATAAAAAATTGAAGTGTACAATTCTATGGTTTTGGGTATATTCACAGTTGTGCAGCCATCCCAAGTCAATTTTAGAACATTTTCAGCACCTCAAGGAGGAAGCTTGGTACTTTTTAGCTCTTCTCCCCACCCCCGCCGTGCTGCTTCTGTCTCTGTGGGTTTCATAGGAACTGAGTCATGTAACATGTGGAACATTTGTGTCTTGCGTCTGTCACTTAGTATGGTGCTTTTGAGGCTCACCCACACCGCAGCGTGAGTTAGAGCTGTGTCCTTTCTGATTGCCAAGTAATATCTCATTGCATGGTCTAGCTGGGTTGACATCCCATTGCACACTCTAGCTGGGCTGTGAAGGAGCAGGCTGCTTGTGCACATGGGTAACGGATGTACAGTGAGACGTCAGTCTGTGCACATGGGTAACAGGTGGGTGCACCGTGAGGTGTTAGTCTATGCACATGGGTAACAGGCGGGTGTGCAGTGAGATGTCAGTCTGGTGCACATGGGTAACAGGCAGGTGTGCAGTGAGGCGTCAGTCTGGTGCACATGGGTAACAAGTGGGTGTGCAGTGAGGCGTCAGTCTGTACACGTGGGTAACAGGTGGGTGTGCAGTGAGGCGTCAGTCTGGTGCACGTGGGTAACAGGCGGGTGTGCAGTGAGATGTCGGTCTATGCACATGGGTAACAGGTCGGTGTGCAGTGAGACGTCGGTCTGTGCACATGGGTAACAGGCGGGTGTGCAGTGAGACGTCCGTCTATGCACATGGGTAACAGGCAGGTGTGCAGTGAGATGTCCTCTCCTCCTGCCGGCCACACGTCCCCGCTCCCAGGGCACAGATGTGCCAGTCACTTTCTGAGCAACTACTTCAAATCTTCAGAACAACCCTTCAAGAAGTATTTCTAGTTTACTGATGAAGATAGACAGACAGATATAAACAACTTGCCCAAAGCCATGTTGCCAGTCAGGGCCACTGAGGCCTGGCCCTTTCCAAGGTGCGGGCTCTTCTCTCCCTCCCCAGGACTGCAGGAATCAGTCGGGGGAGTGGCAGGCCCCAGCCATTCCACTGCGTGCAGGTTTCCTGCCAATTAAGCTTTCCAGCCTTGGGCTGAGAAGAGGATGCCTGTGTGTTGCCTCATCGTCCCCAGGAGTTCCTGTCCTGTCTCTAAGATGCATGAGAGCTGGAGCAGCCATGTGGTTACAGAAAGCTGCTCCCCCTCAGGGCCCCCAAAGGAAGTCAGGGCCCTTCCTTTATGCGTGTGGTGAGCCCCAGGCAGCTAGAATGGGACACCGGTGAGCACACCAATGAGGCTGAAGACCATCACATCCATTATCTGAGCACGGATGGCCCAGCTACCTGTGGAAAGCACCACAAGCCTTTGCTGGCGGAAGTGGGTTGGTGACTTGTTCCACTTTTCTCTTATTTATTTATTTATTTTGAGACGGAGTTTCGCTCTTGTTGCCCAGGCTGGAGTGCAATGGCACGATCTCGGCTCACCACAACCTCCACCTCCCGGGTTCAAGCGATTCTCCTGCCTTAGCCTCCCTAGCAGCTGGGATTACACGCATGCACCATCACGCCTGGCTAATTTTGTATTTTTAATAGAGATGGGGTTTCTCTATGTTGGTCAGGCTCATCTCAAACTCCTGACCTCAGGTGATCCACCCGCCTCAGCCTCCCACAGTGCTGGGATTATAGGCGTGAGCCACCGCTCTGTTCCTGGTTTTGTCTTCTTTCTCTTAAACAGGACCCCGCATTTTATGAGCGTCAAGCCTCACCCAGCCTAACTCCGCCCTTGGTTTGTCCTCTTAGAGTCTCAGTTTCCCCAGGTGTACGACAGGCAGTGTGGTGGCTGTAATGGGCTTCCATCAGTGCCTGCCACATGGGCGTGGGGCTCGGTAGGTGCTGCCGCTGCTGCTGCCAAAGCTAGAAGAGCCCCCACAGGGCATAGAGCCATTCCCTGGATCCCCTGGACCTGGTGGGCTGTTTCCAACTCCACAAGGCAGCCAATTCCCCGGTAGCCCTGACTCTTGCGAAGGCAGGGAGGAGGGGGGACCCCAGCAGCCTGAGGAGCTTGCAGCTTGTCCAGGCATGGAGGGTGGGGACCCTCTGTGGGCAGTTTTTGCCAAAACTTCTGGCTATGGTGAGAGGGTCAAAGGCGAAGCCTCGAGGTCTCCATTCTGGGAGTGTCTGCCCAGGGTCACCGGGGCCACACTGGGGCTGGGCCTGCGTGCTGGGAGCTGAGTGCATAGTGACAGGTCGGCACTGGTAGGGGCCTGTGCAGATGGGACGGCGCTGGGGGTGGGGGTGGGGGTCCGGGCTTCCAGGCGGCGCCTAATGTGGTTTTGGTTATAGACACTGCCTGTGTTTCCCTCTAAGCTGCTGAAAAGCTCAGAAATGTGCAGCAGGGCCTGGAGCTCAGCCTGGGTTCTGACTGCATGTGGGAGGTGGGCGCTGGGACGACTGGGAGTTCAGGCTGCATGGACCCACTTCCTGGGTTTAAAAACGGGCTCTTCACCTGCCACCTGTGTGCCCGGGCAAGGCCTTCTCTGCCTCTCTGAGCTTTGGTTTCCCTGTGTGTGCAAGACAGATGAATCACAGGCCCTGCCCCGTGGAGTGATTGGAAGATTCAGTGTGATAATTTATATGGAGGGCTGTCGCTTCTTTGAACCCTTCCCACCGAGGTGTGGGGCGATGTCCCCTTGCCCTGAGCCTGGGCAGGTGCTCCTGGCGGGAGTGGTGAACAGGATGCCGCAGGAGCAGTGCTTTGTGACTCTGGAAGCCAGGGCAGAAAAGACATCGTGTCCGTCTGGCTCTTTCTGGAAATGCACCCTTGGAGCCCTGAGCACTGCATAGAAGCCAGCTGGGTCCCCAGGGAATGACCGTGGCAGGCATTCCTGGAGGGTCTCTGCCGAGTCAGTCCCACAGCAGGGCCCGGACCAGCCTGGAACTAGGAGAGATGATGGGGACTACGTGACTCTGGTCTTTCCTGCCCTAGTTCAGGACAGCTTGTTCCTTAACTGGAGGAAACCAGGAAAACAGCCCAGAAGCTGCAGGTGAGCCCATCCCTGGGTGAGGACTGCTGAGTCCGCGGGGGTGAGAGGCAGAGCTGGGATTTGAAGCCAAGGCCATCTGCCCTTGAGCCTGAGGCCACCACGGCCCCGTCCTGCCCTGCACTGCCCACCAATCAGGAGTTAGATTCAACCACACTTCTAGCATTTTCCATCAGAAGGCCATCATTCTAAAGTTTCATGGACTCCCAAAAGGTAATAGCTCTCTCTGGGAATCAGCTGACTGAAAGCACCCGCAGCAACAAAAAGCGACTTTAACCTTAGTGATTGGGCTGGTGGATTTTCGTTTCGTGACAGGCAGCAGCAGCCTGTGCATTCCACAGCAGACGTGTGTGTGTGAGTGTTGGCCACAGCTGGGCCTTAAACTCAACTGCACATTTCACCAAGAACCAGACATGCTCCTTATTCCATTACATGGTGAGAATGCTGCTCTAGTGTGGATTTTTTTTTTTTTTTGGAGACGGATTCTCGAGCTGTCACCCAGACTGGAGTGCAGTGGCATGATCTCGGCTCACTGCAACCTCCATCTCCTGGGTTCAAGCGATTCTCCTGCCTCAGCCTCCTGAGTAGCTGGGATTACAGGAGTGTGCCACCACACCCAGCTAATTTTTGTATTTTTAGTAGAGATGGGGTTTTGCCATGTTGGCCAGGCTGGTCTTGAACTCCTGACCTCAGGTGATCTACCCACCTCGGCCTCCCTAAGTGCTGGGATTACAGGTGTGAGCCACCGCGCCCGGGCTACTGTGGATGTTTAACATCTCCATTTCACAGGTGAGGAAGCTGAGGCTCAGAGGTGCGCAGCTCAGGAGTGGTGGATCAGGGCTCTGGACCCAGGAGTCCAACTGTGGGGCTCTCTGATACACTGTGCTATGGGAGAAGCTCCCAGAAGTCCTAGGCTAGGAGCCTCTAGGCGAGAGGGTTGTTCAAGTCTCTTCCCATTCCCTGACCCATGAAGCATAGACTCTTGCCCCGAAGGCTGGGTCTTTTACCTCCTAAGGTCTTTTTTTTTTTTTTTTTTTTTGAAATGAGTCTCGCTGTGTCACTCAGCCTGGAGTGCAGTGGCACAATCTCAGCTCACTGCAACCTCCATCTCCCAGATTCAAGCAATTCTCCTGCCTCAGCCTCCCGAGTAGCTGGGATTACAGGCACCCGCCACCATGCCTGGCTAATTTTTGTAGTTTTAGTAGAGATAGGCTTTCACCATGTTGGCCAGGCTGGTCTTGAACTCCTGACCTAAGGTGGTCTGCCTGCTTTGGCCTCCCAAAGTGTTAGGATTACAGGCTTGAGCCACCGCACTCAGCCTCTTAAGGTCTTTTAATTTCTCAAAGGTCTAACTCGGCCAGGCGCGGTGGTTCACGCCTGTAATCCCAGCAATTTGGGAGGCCAAGGTAGGCGGATCACTTGAGGTCAGGAGTTTGAGATCAGCCTGGCCAACATGGTGAAACCCTGTCTCTACTAAAAATACAAAAATTAGCCAGGCATGGTGGTGGGCGCCGGTACTTCCAGCTACTCAGGAGGTTGAGGCAGGAGAATCAGTTGAACCTGGAAGGCGGAGGTTGCAGTGAGCCGAGGTCGCGCCATTGCACTCCAGCCTGGGCAACATAGCAAGATTCTATCTCAAAAAAAAAAAAAAAAAAAAAAAGAGTCTAGCTCTTTATTTTCAGCTGAGGGGATGAGCCCAGAGATCAGCATCAGGACCAGAGCTCAGTCCGCGGTGCACTTCCTCCCCTGTCCCGGGCATCATTCCTCCCCTGTGGTTTGCCTAGAAAATTTTGACTTACCCCATGGGGAAGAAATGCTCCAGAACCTTCCCCAGGAGGAAAACAGCCCTTGGGTAAAGGGTCCTTCACAGCCAGCTCTTTTCTTTCCCACCAAGAGGTGGGACCACCTGGTGTGGGAGGTGGAGGCTGGCTGGGAAAACAACCCCTCCCCAGGTTTCCTCTGGCTGTGGAGCCGCGCGGAGGAAGAGGATGGGGCGTCAGAGCTCTCAGAACCGTGGCCTTGTGAAGTTTCTGAGCAGGCAAATGGGGCGGCGGGGGGTGATCTGGTCCCAGCCCCAGGAGGCCGCCCCGAAGCCAGCATCAAGGCGAAGGCCACGTACAGATCAAACGGCTCCTTGAACCGCGAGGAAGGGCTCGCCCCAGCTCCATCTGGACCAGCCCGCACCATTGTTAACACAGGTTGAAGCCTCATCCGTCCGCACATCTGAGGCTTGCGTTGACTCCTTCTGCCCTGGAATTCTTTTGTTTGCTGCTGAATAAATAAACTACATTTCTTTGGAATTTCTCCTTCTCCCTCAAAGCCTTTTCTCAGCTGATCTTGGAGAAAGGCGACACTCTTGTCCCCGCCATCTTTTCGAGCTGTGCTGGATGCAGGGAAGCGTATGGAGAGCTGGGCGCTGGATGCAGGGAAGCGTGTGGAGAGCTGGGCCGGAGAGCCGCGGTTTGGGCAGGTTTCTCTCTGCCCTTGGGCTTGGGGTCGGACAGGGACGTTCAAGGAGATGCTGGGTGGTACATGAGTCAACATTCTTAAATGTTATTAGTTAGGGATTTGAGGTTTTTGTTTCAATCTGTTTTCAAACAAACTTTATCATTAGTGAATATCATCACCCAGGACAAGGCTAAAAATTTTTCGAGCTAATCAATTTAAAGAAAAATATTAAGTAGGCTGGGCGCGGTGATTCACGCCTGTAATCCCAGCACCTTGGGAGGCCAAGGCGGGCGGATCACCTGAAGTCCGCAGTTTGAGACCAGCCTGGCCAACATGGTGAAACCCCGTCTCTACTAAAAATACAAAATTAGCTGGGTGTGGTGGCGCACACCTATCGTCCCAACTGCATGGGAGGCTGAGGCAAGAGAATTGCTTGAACCCGGGAGGCGGAGGTTGCAGTGAGCCGAGATCACGCCACTGCATTCCAGCCTGAGTGACAGAGGGAGACTCCTCGAAAAAATAAAAAAGAAAAGAAAAATATTCAGTAGAAAGTTGTCCCATTGGCAGGCAGATATGTCAAAGTCTTCAGGATCTTGCCTGCACGACTGAATTTTGGGAACTTCCATTGAGCCCAACACCCTTATTTTATGGAGGAGGAAACAGGGTCCCAGAGCAGTGGTGACGCATTCGAAGTCAGGAAGAGCTAGCTGTGGACACACGAGCATCAACCCTGCGGAATCCTGTTTCCAGAACTGGAATCACAGCGCCTCGGCGGGGCTCTTTCCACTATGAGATTTCTTTTTCCTTGCAAATGAATCGCTGCACTAAACAATTTTGCTTGTCAAATTATGCTGATTTCTTTTCTTTTTTTTTTTTTTTTTTTGAGATAGGATTTCACTCTTGTCACCCAGGCTGGAGTGCAACAGCGCGATCTCAGCTCACTGCAACCTCCACCTCTGGGTTCAAACGATTCTCCTGCCTCAGCCTCCCGAGTAGCTGGGATTGCAGGCATGTGCCATGACACCCTGCTAATTTTGTATTTTTAGTGGAGGCGGGATTTCTCCATGTTGGTCAGGCTGGTCTCGAACTCCCGACCTCAGGTGATCCACTGCCTCAGCCTCCCAAAGTACTGGGATCACAGGCGTGAGCCTCCGCGCCCGGCCTGCTGATTTCAAATATGCAGCTTACCTTATGTTTTACTTCCAGCAAGACGTCCACCAGCCTCTGCAGCATCTGATGATGGGCCCCGAGCTGCGTGGCAGACACACAAGGGGTTAGCTGAAAAGGCAGTGGGTGGCGGGGGGAAGCTCACTCCACTATAAATACACCACGTTTTAAAAGCAATCCTAGGCCAGGCACGGTGGCTCACGCCTGTGATCCCAGCACTTTGGGAGGCCGAGGTGGGCAGATATCTAAGGTCAGGAGTTTGAAACCAGCCTGGCCAATATGGTGAAACCCTGTCTCTACTAAAAATACAAAAATTAGCTGGGTGTGGTGACACACTCCTATAGTCCCAGCTACTGGGAAGGCTGAGGCAGGAGAATCACTTGAACCCAGGAGGTGGAGGTTGCAATGAGCCGAGACCGTGCCACTGCACTCCAGCCTGTGTGACACAGCGAGTCCTGTCTCAAAAAAAAAAAAAAGCAATCCTAATGATGGATCACCACTTTCTTCATTAGATCTACACCCCAGCAAGCGATTACCTTTAAAAACACGCCTATCACAGAAACCATTCTCTCCCACGACAGCTTCCTTGTAATTTTGGTATTTCACAGAATTCCAGTGAACTAAATGCAGCTGAAACACAATGGAAAGAGAACTTAAATTGATCAGCAAGAAATAAGACAGTCACTTCCCCTTCTGAATGGCTGACCTATGTGTCCACTTAATCATAATGAAATGGCCAGGCGCAGTGGCTCACACCTGTAATCCCAGCACCTTGGGAGGCTGAGGCGGGTGGATCATGAGGTCAGGAGATCAAGACCATCCTGGCTAACATGGTGAAACCCCGTCTCTACTAAAAATGCAAAAAAAAAAAATTAGCCGAGCATGGTGGCGGGCGCCTGTAGTCCCAGCTACTCAGGAGGCTGAGGCAGGAGAATTGCCTGAACCCAGGAGGTAAAGCTTGCAGTGAGCTGAGATTGTGCCTCTGCACTCCAGCCTGGGTGACAGAGCGCGACTCCGTCTCAAAAAAAAAAAAAAAAAAAAAAAAAGAACTAAGTTGTTGCAGCCAGATGTGTAAGATCCCAGCACTAGCAGCACCTCTGAGCTCCCAGGCACTTGATGAAGCCATGGGAAGGAAGAGCCTCAGTCTTCCTGGTGGTGGGAAAAAGGAGAGGATCATGTTAACCTCATCCAATAGAAATGGGTGGTTTCATTATTTTCTACTTCCTAGTTATCCTTGGACAAGGATTACCAGAAAAAACTCACGCCTCGGCTGGGCGTGGTGGCTCACGCCTGTAATCCCAGCACTCTGGGAGGCCGAGGCGAGTGGATCACGAGGACAGGAGTTCAAGACCAGCCTGGCCAAGACGGTGAAACCCCGTCTCTACTAAAACTACAAAAATTAGCTGGGCGCGGTGGCAGGTGCCTGTAATCCCAGCTACTCAGGAGGCTGAGGCAGGAGAATCACTTGAACCTGGGCAGCAGAGGTTGCAGTGAGCCAAGATTGCGAGATCGTGCGATCGCGCCACTGCACTCCAGCCTGGGGAACAGAGTGATACTCAGTCTCAAAAATAAATAAATAAATAAAATATCTGTTCATCAAAAATAAAGTTGCAGATAGAGATACTAAAATAAAAGGCATGTTGTTAAATGAAAGGAAGCACACAGAAGCCATTGTTGCGCTCATTCTTGGAACTATTTATAAATATCTGTATGATGATGACAATAGATATCACTCCCTATTTATAAAATGTCCGGAGGTCACCTCTGGGTGTGCGATTACAAGCAATTTTCATTTTTTGGTTTGGGTGCACTCTAGTTCCACATTAACTGCAGCATTACTTTCATAACAACAACAAGTTCAAAAAACAGAAAGAGTCCTCAACTTGAAAAAGCATCAAGAAGTCAGGTGAGTGGGTGAGCAGAGGTGTGATAAAGTGAATATGGCAAAAATGATCATCACAGGACTGAGACGTCAAACTCATAGATTCTTCTTGTTCATTTCTTTTCATTTTTTCGTATGTTGCAAAAATTTCATAATAAAATATTTGGGGAAATCTATAAGGCATCACTTATCACCCAAAAAAACTACAAAAACCAATTCCCAGCATTGATCTGCACTCATTTTCTCTACTGACTCCCACTTTGGAATGTTGAAAATAAGACTGCTTTAAGAAGATGATCTTGGCCGGGTGCAGTGGCTCACGCCTGTTATCCTAGCATTTTGGGAAGCTGAGGTGGGTGGATCACTTGAGGTCAGGAGTTTGAGACCAGCCTGGCCAACATGGCGAAACCACATCTCTACTAAAAATACAAAAATTAGCAGGGCCTGGTGGCACGCACCTGTAATCCCAGCTACTCGGAAGGCTGAGGCAGGAGAATCGCTTGAGCCTGGGAGATGGAGGTTGTGGTGAGCCAAGATTGCACCAATGCACTCCAGTCTGGGTGACAGAGTGAACCCTGTTTCAAAAAAACAAAAAACAAACAAACAAAAGAAGATGATCTCTATTGCAAAGATGTTCAGCTTCTCAGCGGAGGGCCTTGTGGATTTGCTAGTCCCTACAGCTGCAAGCACACAGCTGAGTGAAGCGTGGCAAAGAGCTCAAGCTCTGACTTTGAATCCCAGCTGTCTGGCTTTGGCAAGTTCCGTAACCATTCAGAACCTCAGTCTCTTCTTCCGTTAAATGAGAGAACTTACAGTGTCTTCTTCGTAGGAGGGGGGTGTGACCAAACGGGTGGGGCGGCCGACGGTTCTGGTTTGAGCACTGACAGTCCCAGGCCCCAGGAAATCCTTCACATCTGAGCGGCAGGCATGGCTTGTTCACCCCCCACCATAGAGCCGGAGACATGGAAAGCGTCCAGATATGTGCTGTTAGGCCACGTCTACAAACCTCTGCGGGGTACACGTGGCCGTCCACTGTGTGCTCTGAGCCCCCCTCGTTCACTGCTCCCCAGTGGAAGTGAAATTGCTTCAGTCTGTAGTGGTTTTCCAAGGGCCCGCCACTAATTCCTGGAAATAAAGGCAGCGAGACGTGTGTGTCATTTTGTCTGTTTGTTGAGCTGTGGTGTTACCTGAGGCATTGTCTACATTAGGGTTATATGAGTTCACTCGCAAGGGGTTGCTGTATGGTTGAAGTGACAAGCCAAAGGTGGGCTCCGTGAAAGGTGGGCTCTGTCTGTCCCATTCACTCTGCCCCCCGCCAGCCCAGCGCCTGCCCAGAGGTTCACAGTAAATGTGGAATGAAGGCAGGGTCCCAGTGCTGCCACTGGGTGGTGGTGAGGGCCTCATCTCCCTGCAGGCAGAAATCGGTAAAGAAAGTTTCTGAGATGCCTGCCTGTCCTATAAGATTTCCAGACTTTAATTTAAAAAAAAAAGATGTCTTCCAAATATTTTTTAAAAGCAGCTTAAATCCTATCACCAAATAACATTATAAAATAACACAATGAGCAAAGTTTTTGTTTTGTTTTGTTTTGTTTTGTTTTGTTTTAAGACAGAATCTTACTCTATTGCCCAGGCTGGAGTACAATGGCATGATCTCAGCTCACTGCAACCTCCACCTCTGGGTTCTAGTGATTCTCCTGCCCCAGCCTCCTGAGTAGCTGGGATTACAGGCATGTGCCACCAGGCCAAGCCAATTTTTGTATTTTAAGTAGAGACGGGGTTTCACCATGTTGGCCAGGCTGGTCTCAAACTCCTGATCTCAGGTGATCCACTCGCCTCTGCCTCCCAAAGTGCTGGGA
This sequence comes from Homo sapiens, assembly GCF_000001405.40. Lineage (NCBI taxonomy): Eukaryota > Metazoa > Chordata > Mammalia > Primates > Hominidae > Homo > Homo sapiens. The sequence goes on from NC_000016.10 coordinate 29,637,060, forward strand.
TGACAGGTGTGAGCCACCGCTCCTGGGTGAGCAAGGTTTTTAAATAAGCAGACCCTGAGCTATAGCATCAGTCCTGATCTCTGGCAGTCCCTGCTTAATCTAGGCCCACCACAGGGCCAGCTTTTATTGGAACACTCCTTCCGTCCTAAGTCACCCTAAACACTCACCTTGGAGTCAGCGCTCTCCACCTGCAGGCCTTGGGGTGCCCCTCTCCATGGCACAGTGCCAGGTGCAGCCTCCCAGGAGCTTCCTTCTCCTGACACGTGGGGCTCAGCCATAAGCATCGCTCACTGAGGCCTCTGGCTCTGCCTCACAGAGTCATGGCTGCCATCCCCAGGTCCAGGTAGTGCTGGGAGTCTGCCTTTTAACGAGCTCCCCAGGGGTTCTGATGTGGGTGGCTTCTCCTGTGTCTAAGCACTTTGTCACTAACAGATTTCCATCAACAGCTGCTACAAATGTGGTACCTATTCCACACGTTTTCATTGAAAGGAGCACAGTGTGCTCCTGGGATGGCTGGGCAAGGCTGGAAGGCGCCAGCAGAACTGGAGCACTGATCACGAATTCGCGGTGGCCCGAGTGCCTCCCGTAGCTGTGGAGGAGCCTCGTGTCACCCGCCTTGCTCATGTCACCTCCCACTGTGGCAAAAGCCAGGAAAACACTGAGCGCATGACAAATGCCTTGGGGAGCTTGACAGTGCTGACTCCTGGTGGTTTCCTGACACCAAAAGTACTTGGGCTGGGCGTGGTGGCTCACACCTGTAGTCCTAGCACTTTGGGAGGCCGAGATGGGCGGATCACTTGAGGTCAGGAGTTAGAGACCAGCCTGGCCAAGGTGGTGAAACCCATCTCTACTAAAAATACAAAAATTAGCTGGGTGTGGTGGCGGGCGCCTGTAATCCCAGCTACTCAGGAGGCTGAGGCAGGAGAATTGCTTGAACCTGGGAGGTGGAGGTTGCAGTGAGCTGAGAACGTGCCACTGCACTCCAGCCTGGGCGACAGAGTGAGACTCAGTCTCAAAAAAAAAAAAAAAAAAAAAAGTACTCATAGTTGGAGGCACCAAGGTGTAAACTGGAAAATGGAAAATGGATTTGGCTTTGGTCCAGTCAGGGGCTAGGCAAGTGCTGGACCAAGCCACAGAGCTGCTCACTGCCCCTCTTCACTCAAAATCTCAGTGTTGGTCTGGAGCAACCTCGGAGTCATATCTAGTTTTAAAATTCTACCATTATGAGCAAGTCTTCTAGTCTCCTTAAATATACACAGATGAATTACATCTCAATTTTTAAAAATACACAGAAAGAGTGCTTCACACAATAAGCACATTAAATCACTTTGTTAGGCCAGGCACAGTGGCTCACGCCTGTAATCCTAACACTTTGGGAGGCCAAGGCAGGTGTATCACTTGAGGTCAGGTGTTCGAAACCAGCCTGGCCAACATGCTAAAACCTCGTCTTTACTAAAAATACAAAAAATTAGCCAGGTGTGTTGGTGGGCGCCTATAATCCCAGCTACTCGGGAGGCTGAGGCAGGAGAATTGCTTGAACCCGGGAGGCAGAACTTGCAGAGAGCCGAGATCATACCACCGCACTCCAGCCTGGGCGACAGAGCAAGACTCCGTCTTGAGAGAAAAAAAGAAAGAGGCCAGGCGCCGTGGCTCACGCTTGTAATCCCAGAACTTTGGGAGGCTGAGGCGGGTGGATCACAAGGTCAGGACATCAAGACCAGCCTGGCCAACATGGTAAAACCCCATCTCTACTAAAAATACAAAAAATTAGCCAGATGTGGTGGCACGTGCCTGTAATCCTAGCTACTCAGGAGGCTGAGGCAGGAGAATTGCTTGAACCTAGGAGGTGGAGGTTGCAGTGAGCCAAGATTGCATCACTACTCTCCAGCCTGGGCAACAGAGTGAGACCCCGTCTCAAAAATAAATAAATAAGGCCGGGCGCAGTGGCTGACACCTGTAATCCCAGCACTTTGGGAGGCCGAGGTGGGCGGATCACCTGAGGTCAGGAGTTCGAGATCAGCCTGGCCAACATGATGAAACCCCGTCTCTACTAAAAATAAAAAATTAGCTGGGTGTGGTGGCATGCACTTGTAGTCCCAGCTACTTGGGAGGCTGAGGCAGGAGAATTGCTTGAACATAGGAAGCGAAGGTTGCACTGAGCCAAGATCGTGCCACTGCACTCCACCCTGGGCAACAGAGTGAGACTCTGTCTCAAAAAATAATAATAATAAATAATAAATAAATAAAATAAAATAAAGTCTACTCTTACTCTTAAAAAAAAAAAAAGAAAAAAGGCCAGGCATGGAGGCTCACGCCTGTAATCCCAGCACTTTGGGAGGCCAGGGCGGGCATATCACGAGGTCAGGAGATCGAGACCATCCTGGCCAACATGGTGAAACCCTGTCTCACCGGGTGCGGTGGCTCACGCCTGTAATCCCAGCACTTTGGGAGGCCGAGGCGGGTGGATCATGAGGTCAGGAGTTCGAGACCAGCCTGGCCAAGATGGTGAAACCCCGTCTCTACTAAAAATACAAAAATTAGCCGGGCGTGGTGGCACACACCTGTAGTCCCAGCTACTTGGGAGGCTGAGGCAGGAGAATCGCTTGAACCTGGGAGGCAGAGGTTGCGGTGAGCCGAGATTGTGCCATTGCACTCCAGTCTGGGTGACAAGAGTGAAACTCCATCTGGAAAAAAAAAAAAAAAAGAAACCCTGTCTCTACTAAAAATACAAAAATTAGCTGGGCATGGTGGCATGTGCCTGTAATCCCAGCTACTCAGGAGGCTGAGGCAGGAGAATCGCTTGAACCAGGGGAGTTGGAGGCTGTGGTGAGCCGAGATCGCGCCACTGCACTCCAGCCTGGCGAAAGAGCGAGACTCCATCTCAAAAAAAAAAAAAAAAAAAAAAAGAGGCCAAGCGCAGTGGCTCAGGCCTGTAATCCCAGCACTTTGGGAGGCCAAGGCGGGTGGATCACGAGGTCAGGAGATTGAGACCATCCTGGCCAACATGGTGAAACCCCGTCTCTACTAAAAATGCCAAAATTAGCTGGGCATGGTGGTACGTGCCTGTAATCCCAGCTACTCGGGAGGCTGAGGCAGGAAAATCGCTTGAACCAGGGAGTCAGAGGTTGCAGTGGGCCAAGATTGCTTCATTGCACTCCATCCTGGCAACAGAGCGAGACTCTGTCTCAAAAAAAAAGGAAATCTTCCTGCCTCAGCTCCTGAGTAGCTGGGATTACAGATGTAAGCTACCACATCTGGCTCCAATTTAAGTATCCACATGTGGCTAGTTGTTATCTATTGGAACACGCAGTTCTGGAGGCTTTAATATAGGGACTCCTTATGGAGAAATGGATATGGTTAAAGGAGGCTACAAGGAATGCTGAAGCCCTAAGAGACTAGCAACTATTGGAGCCTGTTACTGCTTCTAGGACTGATGGGGTAACAGGCAGAAACTGTGTTACCGAAACTCATTAAAACCTGGGGATGTAGAAGGGGCCACCTGACAGGTGCTGCAGATGTGGGTGGGGAGATGAAGCCACTGCCAGAGATGTGAGGCACAGCAGGAAGGGAGCAGAATAGAAATGTCCTGACTGTCCTCCCCCTTGGAGCTCCAGCCAGTCCTCCCTTTAGCTAAACTCAAGTGAAATCCAGGCCGGGTGCGGTGGCTCACCCCTGTAATCCCAGCACTTTGGGAGGTCCAGGCGGGAGTTCGAGACCAGCCTGGCCAACATGGCAAAACCCTGTCTCTATTTAAAAATACAAAAAAATTAGTTGGGCGTGGTGGAGGGCACCTGTAATCCCAGCTATTTGAGAGGCTGAGACAGAAGAATTGCTTGAACCGGGGAGGCGGAGGTTGCAGCGAGCCAAGATCCTGCCACTGCACTCCAGCCTGGGCAACAGATCGTGACTCCATCTCAAAACAAAACAAAACAAAACAAAAAACAGAGGGTGGGGGAGCCTCCAGGGCAGAGGGTAGGGCTGAGAATAGGTCTGGGAGTGAGGGTAGATGATGACCAGCCCAGAGCCACAAACCCCAAAACATCACCTCTGAACCCCAGGGCTCTGAGGAACCCTGTCTGAAACCACTTCCTAGGTGGGACACATCCAACTGAACGGAAACAGAACTGAACAGATACGAGGGTGGGGGGACCCCTGGAGGTCCCTTCTGAGGGATCTTTGCTTAGTTCTGTTCTGTTCCTTTCTTTTTTCTTTTCTTCTTTCCTTTTCCTTTCCTTTTCTTTCTTTCTCTTTCTCTCTCTCTTCCTTTCCTCTTTCCTTTTTTTTTTTTTTTTTTAACCGAGTCTCGCTCTGTCACCCAGGCTGGAGAGTACAGTGGCATGATCTCGGCTCACTGCAACCTCCGCCTACCGGGTTCAAATGATTCTCCTGCCTCAGCCTCCCAAGTAGCTGGGATTACGGGTGCCTGCCACCAAGTCCAGCTAATTTTTGTATTTTTAGTAGAGACAGGATTTTGCCAAGTTGGCAAGGCTGGTCTCGAACTCCTGACCTCAGGTGATCTGCTCACCTTGGCCTCCCAAAGTGCTGGGATTATAGGCATGAGCCACCTCGCCTGGCCTTTACTGAGTTCTTAAAGGCTGAGACAGGAAAAGAAAAATAGTAAACTCTGTGCGTAATTTCACTATTTTCTTGTTTAACTTTATGACTGTCCTGGAGAGGGCAGCATCATTACCTTTAATTTAGAGCTGGGACAGGGACAGTCTGTGACACTTATCTTGATATTGAGGAATGGAGTCAGTCCTCCAATGGAGGGAGGCCGATTGAGGTGTGATACTGAGTGCCCCATCAGTTGTTCAAGGGCTGGGGCAGATCTAATATTGTGTCTGTACTGGCTGATACTTAGGTGGCCAGGGCCCCAGCTTTGGAAACCTGTGATGGCTGCTACCACCTCTGGCTTTGCTAGGCGCACACATCTGCCCAGACTCAATGTATTGCAAACCCATGCAACCTCCAGGCCCACACTGAGAATCAAGAATTGTGGACTCTTGATTCTCCAAATCTTCTCAAAAGCCCAGCTGCTGGCTGGGTACAGTGGCTCACATCTGTAATCCCAGCACTTTGGGAGGACGAGGCGGGCGGATCACTTGAGGTTAGGAGTTCAAGATCAGCATGGCCAATGTGGTGAAACCCCATGTCTACTAAAAATACAAAAATTACCTGGGCATGGTGGCAGGCACCTGTAGTTCCAGCTACTTGGGAGGCTGAGGCAGGAGAATCGCTTGAACCCGGGAGACGGAGGTTGCAGTGAGCCGAGATCGTACCACTGCACTCCAGCCTTGGTGACAGGGCGAGACTCTCTCTCAAGGCTTGAGGGCTGAGTGAACACTCCTTAACTATTTCCAGTTATAGCCACGGGTCGACTTAGATCAACAGAAGTCTGTATGGATTACTCTAATAGAGTGCAAAAAGATCTGAACTAGGACCTCATTGTGAATTCGGATCCTACCCCTTACCAGCTGTGTGACCGTGGGCAAGACACAGAATCTCTGAGCTGTCACTGCCCTCTCTGTAAGTGAAGTGGCACCCACTTCTTATGTCTGTGTTGGTCCTCTTCTCCTAATTGACACTCACTCGTTTTTCGTTGTTTTTTTTTTGAGACGGAGTGTCGCTCTGTCGCCCAGACTGGAGTGCAGTGGCACGATCTTGGCTCACTGCAAGCTCCGCCTCCTGGGTTCATGCAATTCTCCTGCCTCAGCCTCCTGAGTAGCTGGGACTACAGGCGCTCGCCACCACGCCTGGCTAATTTTTCGTATTTTTAGTAGAGACGGGGTTTCACCGTGTTAGCCAGGATGGTCTCGATCTCCCGACCTCGTGATCTGCCCGCCTCAGCCTCCCAAAGTGCTGGGATTACAGGCGTGAGCCATGGCGCCTGGCCACTCTTTTTTTTTTTTTTTTTTTTAACTTTGAGATAGAATCTTGTTCTGTCACCCAGGTTGAAGTGCAGTGGCATAATCCTATCTCACTCCAAACTCAAACTCCTGGGTTACAGCAATCCTCCCACTTCAGCCTCCCAAGTAGCTGGGACCACAGGCACATGCCCCCCTGCCTGGCTAATTTTTAAAATTTTAAGTAGAGATAGGGTCTCACCGTGTTGCCTAGGCTGGTCTCAAACTCCTGGGCTCAAGTGATCCTCCCACCTTGGCCTCCAAAAGTGTTAGGGTTACAGGCATGAGCCATGGTGCCTGGTGACACTCACTCTTGAGTTGAGCTCACACAGACCCCTGGCTTTAAATATCATCCAAATGTTGATGTCCCCCAAGTTTTCATCTTCACTGCAGACCTCTTCTGTGAGCTTCAGAACTGCTCACTTGAAACTTCCCCTTGGGTGTCTGACAGGCAACACAAACTTAACATGTCCCAACATGAACTTTTTTTTTTTGAGACAGAATCTTGCTCTGTTGCCCAGGCTGGAGTGCAGTGGCCTGATCTTGGCTCACTGCAAACTCCGCCTCCCAGGTTCAAGTGATTCTCCTGCCTCAGCCTCCCGAGTAGCTGAGATTACAGGCACGTGCCACCACACCCGGCAAATTTTTTGTATTTTTAGTACAGACAGGGTTTCACCCTGTTGGCCAAGCTGGTTTCAAACTCCTGAGCTCAAGCGATCTGCCTGCCTCTGCCTCCCAAAGTGGTAGGATTACAAGTGTGAGCCACCGTGCCCGGGCCCAAAATGAACTCTTTATCTTCTCCCCCATACCTGCTCCTCCTGCAGCCTTCCCATATCAGAATACAACAATTCTATTCTTACAGTTGGTGTGGCCGAAAACCTTGGTGTTGTCCTCAATCCTCTCTCACACATCCCCAAATCCAATCTGTCAAGAAACCCTGGTGATCACTTGAGCCCAGGAGTTTGAGACCAACCTGGGCAGCATAGCAAGACCCTGTCTCTACAAAAAATACAAAAATCAGCGGCAGGGCGCAGTGGCTTACGCCTGTAATCCCAGCACTTTGGGAGGCTGAGGCAGGCAGATCACAAGGTCAAGAGATCAAGACAATCCTGGCCAACATGGTGAAACCCCGTCTCTACTAAAAATACAAAAATTAGCTGGGCATGGTGGCACGTGCCTGTAGTCTCAGCTACTTGGGAGGCTGAAGCAGGAGAATTGCTTGAACCAGGGAGGCAGAGGTTGCAGTGAGCCAAGATCGTGCCACTACCCTCCAGCCTGGTGACAGAGCAAGACTCTGTATCAAAAAAAAAAAAAAAAAAAAAAAAAAAAGCTGGGCATGATGGCACACACCTGTGGTCCCAGCCACTCAGGAGGCTAAGGTGGGAGGGTCGCTTCAGCCCAGAAGTTGGAGGCCGCAGTGAGCCATAATTGCACCAGTGTACTCCAGTCTGGGCCACAGAATAAAACTCTGTCTCTAGAAAACAGAACAAAACAAAGTTGAAGCTCTCTAAACTCTCCACACTGACTCAGAGTGAAAGTGCTAATAATGACCTAAAGCCGTGCCCTATGGCCCCCTTTCCTCTTGACTTCGCTTTTCATGCACTCTGCTCCAGCCATACTGGCCTCCTTGGGCTTCCCAGAACACGCGAAGCAGGACCCAGGTTAGGGCCTTTGAACTGGCTTTGTTTGTCCGTGGGATTCCCCATGAACATCTCATGGCTGCTCCCTCTCTTCCCTCAAGTCTCCCCTCAGATGTCCCCTTCTCAGAGACATCAGCCTGTAGAAAGGAGCACTTCCTTCCCCCACTTTCCTGCGTGATGTTTCTCCATGATGCCTGCTTCCTACATATGTAGAGTCTGTCTCACTCCGGAGAAGGCTACCTCCAAGAGGACAGGTGACTGGCCCTTGATTTCATTAATTGTCACAATCCTATGCCGGACACATGGTTGGTGTTCAACAAATATTTGCGGAATTAAAGAACAAATTAATAATGTTGTGAGATAAATACTCTGTGCCCATTTTTCTTTACTTTTTAATATATTTTTTAAATCTAGAGAGACAGGGTCTCCCTATGGTCCCCAGGATGGCCTCAAAACTCCTCCTGCCTTGGCCTCCTTGGCTGGGATTACTGGACTACTACTGTGCCACCATGCCTGGCTCTTCTTTTCCTTTTACTATGCCCATTTTAAAGGTGAGGAAAACTGAGACTCAGAAATGTTCCCAAGGGCACACAGTGAGTGGTGGCTGCCTTCAGGTTGGTCTGACTCCAGTGCCCAAGCCTTTCTCAGGAGTGGTGTGTTGCCCATCAGCCATTATATCCATGACATCAACTGGCATAAGATATGTTCTTATATGAAAATTAATTTTAGAAGTGAGTGTCACGAAATATTGACCTTCTCTAAGGAACTAGTTCTTATAGTCAAAAAGGAGGAACTTATGTAAATTTTCCCTTTCAGGGCCAGCCCCAGGAAGTTCAGAGCCTAATGTGGTGTTCATTCTATTAATTTTTTCTTACCCTGGGACTTTTTTCTTTCTTTCATTTATGTTAACCTAATCACCAGCTGCTTCCTGTTCCTTAGGAAATAGCTAAGTCGTACATGACACTTTTGGGGTTCCAGTGTGCCCGGCATGGGTTTTCTTTCATTGGGCAGGCACTAGGTGGGCTTTTCAGCCTGAAGACGCATGTTTCTCATCAGAGTGAGAATGATCTCTGATCATTCTCCTTCTTCCATTTCTTGGGTTCTCTCTTCCTGGCACTCCTATTGGTTAGCTTTTGGGCCTCTTGGATTGCCTGGCTGTGTCTCTGTGGCAAAGACTACTCATTATCCAAAATCCAATGAGCCCTTCTTCCCCAAGAACATGGTGGAACTGCATGTCCCAGCCTCCCTTGCAGTAGGCATGGTCATGTGACTAAGTTTCCACCAATAGAATGTGAGGAGGTGATGTATGTGACTTCTGGTCTTTGGCCTTAGGAAGTAGGCCAGCTTCATACTCTCCATTCCTGCTGGCTGGAGATCCCCACAACAGATTCAAACGTGCAGGTGACAAACGGTGCCCTACCGATGGCAGAAAAGTGATGAGGAAGGGCCCTTGGTCCCTGAGCAATGAGAGAAGCAGAGCTGCCTCCCTAACTACCACCATTTCACTTGAACATGTCTCTTCTTTTGTTTATTTATTTATTTGTTTTTTGCAGACACGTCTCTTCTTTTTTTTTTTTGAGATAGAGTCTCACTCTGTCCCAGGCTGGAGTGCTGTGGCACAATCTCGGCTCACTGCAACCTCTGCCTTCTGGGTTCAAGTGATTCTCCTGCTTCAGCCTCCCAAGTAGCTGGGATTACAGGCATGCGCCACCATGCCTGGCTAATTTTTGTATTTTTAGTAGAGACGGGGTTGGCCAGGATGGTCTCACACTACTGACCTCATGATCCACCCACCTTGGCCTCCCAAAGTGCTGGGATTACAGGTGTGAGCAACTGCGCCCGGCCGACACGTCTCTTCTTTAAGCCGCCACTTATTGGATCTCTATGTTAGAGCGGCAGTCTCATATATTTTCTCTCATATTTTCTTCTCCACCCCTACACCTTCTGGGAGTTCTATTTTCTGGGATAATTAATTAATTAATCAATTTTTGAGATGGGGTCTCACTCTGTCCCAGGCTGGAGTGCAGTGGAGCGATCTTGGCTCACTGCAACCTCTGCCTCCTGGGTTCAAGCTATTCTCCTGCCTCAGCTTCCTGTCTCAAACTCCTGACCTCGTGATCCACCTGCCTTGGCCTCCCAAAGTGCTGGGATTACAGGCGTGAGCCACCGCGCCCAGCTTTATTTATTTTTTAAATTTTTTATTCTTGAGACAGAGTCTCACTCTGTCACCCAGGGTGGAGTGCAGTGGCATAATCTTGGCTCATGGCAACCTCCGCCTCCCGGGTTCAAGCGATTTTCCTGCCTCAGCCTCCCAAGTAGCTGGGATTACAGACGCCTGCCACCACACCTGGCTAATTTTTGTATTTTTAGTAGATGGGGTTTTGCTACGTTGGCCAGGCTGATCTCGAACTCCTGACCTCAGGTGATCCGCCTGCCTTGGTCTCCCAAAGTGCTGGGATTACAGGCATGATCCACCACACCTGGCAGTTTTCTGGGATAATTTATTAACTTTTTATTACAACACTTCCTGTTTGTGTTTGTACAGATGAGGCCTTGCTATATTACCCAGGCTGGTCTTGAACTTCTGGCCTCAAGCCATTCTCCTTGGCCTCCCAAACTGCAGGAATTACAGGAGTGAGCTACTGTGCCCAGCTTCTTTATTCTAATGCTTTTAGTAATTCAGTATCATAGCTTTAATTTCTAAGAATTCAGTCTTTGCTCTATTTATTTATTTATTTGAGATGGAGTCTCACTCTGTCGCCCAGGCTGGAGTGCAGTGGTGTGATCTTGGCTCACTGCAACCTCCTCCTCCTGGGTTCAAGCGATCCTCCTGCCTCAGCTCCCAGAATAGCTGGGACTACAGGTGCCTGCCACCACACCCGGCTAAATTTTTTTTTGTATTTTTAGTAGAGACAGGGTTTCACCTTGTTGGTCAGGCTGGTCTCGAACTCCTGTCCTTAGGTGATCCACCTGCCTCAGCCTCCCAAAGTGCTGGGATTACAGGCGTGAGCCACTGTGCCTGGCCTCTTTCTTTTTTATAACACCCTGTTTTTATTGTAACATAGTGTAGCAATTTTTTTTTTCTTTGAGATGGAGCCTTGCTCTGTCGCCCAGCTGGAGTGCAGTAGTGGATCTCGGTTTAACTGCAACGTCCGCCTCCCGGGCTCAAATGATTCTCCTGCCTCAGCCTCCCGAGTAGCTGGGATTATAGGCACCTGCCACTGTGCCCAGCTAATTTTTGTATTTTTAGTAGAGACAGCGATTCACCATGTTGGCCAGGCTGGTTCGAACCCCTGACCCCAGGTGATCAGCCCACCTCGGCCTCCAAAATGCTGGGATTACAGGTGTGAGCCACTGCACCTGGCCAGCAATATCTTTTTTTTTTTTTTTTTTTTTTTTTTGGGGAAAGAGTCTTGCTCTGTCGCCCAGGCTGGAGTGCAGTGGCGCGATCTCGGCTCACTGCAAGCTCCGCCTCCTGGGTTCATGCCATTCTCCTGCCTCAGCCTCCCGAGTAGCTGGGACTACAGGCGCCCGCCATCACGCCTGGCTAATTTTTTTGTATTTTTAGTAGAGACGGGGTTTCACCATGTTAGCCAGAATGGACTCGATCTTCTGATCTCATGATCCACCTGCCTCTGCCTCCCAAAGTGCTGGGATTACAGGCGTGAGCCACCGTGCCTGGCCCATCTTTTTTTTTTTTTTTAATATGGGGTCTTGCTCTGTCACCCAGGCCAGAGTGCAGTGGCATGAGCACAGCTCACTGCAGCCTCAAATACCCAGGCTCAAGTGATCCTCCCACCTCAGCCTCCAGAGCAGCTGAAATTACAGGCACGTGCTACCACGCCCTGCCCAGCTAATTTTTTTTTGGAAGCAGCACCTTCATTTATTAGGGACTTCGGTGGGGATGGGGAAAGGCGGCCCCCGGGTCAGAGGCGCCGGAAGAAGAGCTTGGAGCCGTGGTCTAACGTGCACTCGCTGGGGCCCAGCTGGCTCCCGCCCAGCTCTTTTTTTTTTTTTTTTTTTTTTTTTTTGAGATGGAGTCTCACTCTGTCGCCCAGACTGGAGTGCAGTGGCGCAATCTTGGCTCACTGCAACCTCTGCCTCCCGGGTTTAAGCGATTCTCCTGCCTCAGCCTCGAGTAGCTGGGATTACAGGCACCCGCCACCACACCTGGATAATTTTTGTGTTTTTAGTAGAGATGAGGTTTCACCATGTTGGCCAGGCTGGTCTCGAACTCCTGACCTCAGGTGATCCACCTGCCTCGGCCTCCCAAAGTGCTGGGATTACAGGCATGAGCTACTGTGCCCAGCCCCGCCCAGCTAATTTTTTAATTTTTTGTAGAGACAGGATCTCACTATGTTGCCAGGGCTGGTTTCAAACTCCTGGTCTCAAGCGATCCTCCCGCTTTGGCCTCCCAAAGTGCTGGGATTACAGGGGTGAGCCTCGTGCCTGGCCTGAAGCAGCATTTTCTCAAATGTCTTTAAAAATACCAGATTTTTTTTTTTCTTTTTCTTTTTTTCTTTTCTTTTCTTTTCTTTTCTTTTCTTTTTTTTTTTAAGACGGAATCTCGCTCTGTCGCCCAGGCGGGAGTGCAATGGCGCGATCTCACTGCAAGCTCACTGCAAGCTCCGCCTCTCGGGTTCATGCCATTCTCCTGCCTCAGCCTCCTGGTAGCTGGGACTACAGGCGCCCGCCACCACGCCCGGCTAATTTTTTTTGTATTTTTAGTAGAGATGGGGTTTCACCATGTTAGCCAGAATGGACTCCATCTCCTAACCTCATGATCCACCTGCCTCTGCCTCCCAAAGTGCTGGGATTACAGGCGTGAGCGATCGCACCCAGCCTCTTTTTCTTTACGTAAATTCTGTTTCCTCCAGGATTACTTTTCTTTTCTTTTTCTTTTTTTTTTAAATTTTTTTGAATGTACTTAGGATGCATTTGGCTACAAATAACTAAACATCCGACTTACAGGAAGCTCACAGAAGGGGGTGGCTGGGATTCAGGGCCCCTTGATCAGGCATTTGCGATGCCTTGGGATCCCATGCTCTTCCTCCCATTCCTCCTCTGCAATCCTGCAATGTTTCCATCCTGGGGCCAGTTCCTCTCAGAGTTACAGGATGTATCCTTAATCATGGCTTGTGGGAGGCAGAAGTTACTGCCCCCGGGTTCTCTTTTAATTAAAAGGAAGAAGCCTTTCTTAGAAGCCTCCCTTCCTTTTATCTTAGTGGCTAGAACTGGGGCATGTACCCTTTCCTAATGCAATCGTGGGCAGAAGGGGAGTGGTTACTTTAGACTGGTCAGACTTTGCTGGAGCTGAAGAAGGAAGGGGTCAGTGCCCAGGATGTGTATGCTGGTGGGCACCTGAACAAACTGGGGTACTTTTAGGAAAGAAGGAGGCAGAATGGATGATGGGGTTGGTTTATCTTGGTGCTTTCCTTTCATGTTGCAGGGTTTCTTTGAATGTTGTTGATATTTCTTCCAGGCGTGACGGCTCATGCCTGTAATCCCAGCAGTTTGGGAGGCCGAGGTGGGTGGAATCTCTTGCGCTCAGGAGTTCCAGACCAGCCTGGGCAATATAGGGAGACCTCTGTCTCTACAAAAATTAGCCAGGCGTAGCGGTGTGCACCTCCCAGTTTTGCTGGGAGGATTACTTGAGCCCAGGAAGTTGAGTTGAGGCTGTAGTGAGCTGTGGTCTCACCACTGTATTCCAGCCTGGGTGACAGAGTAAAACCCTGTCTCAAAAAAAAAAAAAAAAAAAAGGTTGATATTTCTTTCAAGTCCCATCATACTTCAGAGTGAGCCAATAAGAGGCTGACTGGGGCTTTTGGTACCAGAGTAGAGCTTTCCAACTTGAGGGTTGGACTTTCATATCAAGTGTGAGAATAAACTAAAGACCTATTTAGGTGCAAGATTACTTTGGGCACGGTGGCTCACGCCTGTAATCCCAGCACTTTGGGAGGCTGAGGGGTGACGATCACCTGAGGTCAGTAGTTCGAGACCAGCCTGGCCAACATGGCGAGACCCCGTCTCTACTAAAAATACAAAAATTAGCCAGGCATGGTGGCGCCTGCCTGTAATCCCACCTACTAGGGAGGCTGAGGCAGGAGGATCGCTTGAACCTGGGAGGCAGAGTTTGCAGTGAGCCGATATTGCCCCACTGCACCCCAGCCTAGGTGACAGAGTGAGACAAAAAAAAAAAGCAAAGTTCACCTTTTTATTAGGGAGCTTTCTTTGGATGTGACTTGAAAATGTGCTCCTGCAAAATTAAGAGGGTAAATCACAAAAGAGAAGGGTGCAGACTACAGGAAATAGGAGATCCCACCCAAGAGAGAAATAACCACTGGTCCCAAGATGTAGCAGTGTAGCAACAGGGAGTGGGAGGGGAGAAGGAAGGTCACACTGGAGCAAGGAATTAGTGAAGCAATTAGAAACTCTAGGTAAAATTAAAAGAGATGTATTGTAGTAAATTTACTATGATACATTATCGTAGTAAATATCGCTAAAATTTTATATATATATATAAATATATATATTTATATAATATAACTGAACAATAGTTATATAATGCTTTTTTTTTTTTTCTGAGGTGGCATCTTGCTCTGTTGCCCAGGCTGGAGTACAATGGCACGATCTCAGCTCACTGCAACCTCCGCCTCCTGGGTTCAAGCGATCCTCCTGCCTCAGCCCCCCTAGTAGCTGGGATTACAGGCACGCGCCACCATGCCCAGCTAATTTTTTTATTTTTAGTAGAGATGGGGTTTCACCATGTTGGCCAGGCTGGTCTCGAACTCCTGACCTCAGGTGATCCACCCGCCTCGGCCTCCCAAAGTGCTGTTATTACAGACGTGAGCCACCGTGCTAGGCATTTTTTTTTTTTTTTTTTTAGAGACATGGTCTCCCTTTGTCACCCAGGCTGCAGTGCAGTGGTATCATCATAGCTCACTGCAGTCTTGAACTTCTGGGCTCAAGTGATTGTCCCGTCTCAGCCTCCTGAGTAGCTGTAAGTACAGGCATGTGCTACCATGCCTGGCTACTTTTTTTCTTTTTTTCTGTACAGATGGCACCTTGCTATGTTGCCCCAGCTGGTCTTGAACTCCTGACCTCAAGTGATCCTCCTGCCTTGGCCTCTCAAAGTGCTGGGATTACAGACATGAGGCACCACATCCAGCCCCATAATCTTAAAAACAAAGAAAATTAATAGTTTTCCATTTTAGACTCAAACTCTGGACCAGACAGCACTGATCTTGACTATCTGAGGTGATAGAAATAGCCTTTATCTGTGTTATTTGATTTGATAGCTACTAGCCACATGTGGTTTCTGAACACACTTGAAATGTAACTAGCTAGTTGCAACTGAGGGAACTAGGTTTTAAATCTCATTAAATTTTAATTAAGTTAAAGTAGTCTCCTGTGGCCAGTGGCTTCTACATTAGGCAATGCAGCTCTAAGCAAGATGAAAGAGAGAATGCCAATATTATCTACATTTAACAACATAAAAGTAAATGTACAGGTAACAGAAATGAGCAGAAGAGAGATAAAGGAAAGCCACTATCTTCATGTCACAAAGTGATAAGAATTTAGGCCAGAAGCTGTGGCTCATGCCTGTAATCTCAGTACTTTTGGAGGCCGAGGCAAGGAGGATCGCTTGAGCCCAGGAATTCAAGACCAGCCTGGGCAACATAATGAGATCCCTGTCTCTACAAAAAAAATTAAAAATTAGCTGGGCATGATGGTGCACACCTGTAGTCCCAGCTACTCAGGAGGCTGAGGTAGGATTGCTTGGGCCCAGGAGTTCGAGGGTGCTCATCTCTTTAAAAATAAGTAAATAGGTCAGGTGAGGTGGCTCATGCCTATAATCCCAGCACTTTGAGAGGCTAAGGTGGACGGATTGCTTGAGCCCAGGAAATTGATCTCAGCCTGGGCAACAGCGAAACAATGTCTCTACAATAAATATAAAAAGTAACCAGGTGCATGCCGGGCGCGGTGGCTCACGCCTATAATCCCAGCACTTTGGGAGGCCAAGGCAGGGTGGATCACAAGGTCAGGAGATCGAGACCATCCTGGCGAACACGGTGAAACCCTGTCTCTACTAAAAATACAAAAAATTAGCCGGGCATGGTGGCGGGTGCTTGTAGTCCCAGCTACTCGGGAGGCTGAGGCAGGAGAATGGCGTGAACCTGGGAGGCGGAGCTTGCAGTGAGCCGAGATCGCGCCACTGCACTCCAGCCTGGGTGACAGAGCGAGACTCCGTCTCAAAAAAAAAAAAGTAACCAGGTGCGGTGGCACACACCTGTAGTTCCAGCTACTTGGAGGCTGAGGTGGGAGGATCACTGGAGCCCAAGGTTGCAGTAAGCTGAGATCAGGCCACTGCACTCTAGCCTGGGCGAAAGAGTGAGACCCTGTCTCAAAACAAAACAACAACAATAATAAAACTCATACATAACTACGTAAATAAAGTTACAAAAGCAACTTTAGTTCGTTACAAAGGACCTGAAGAGAGGGATTTAACTGACCTGCAAGGTGGAATGGGGCTGGAGCAGGGCCAGTGGGTCAGACACCTATGATTATGCCAGGCAAAATGGATACATGAAGAAATAAAGTTATAGCATCTCCATGTAGTAATAGAAAAAAAAAAGGAATAACGAAATTAGCACACTTTTTGGGAATGTGGACCCACCAGTAGAATTGAGACTAGAAAAAGTTAAAAGCATTAGAAGTGTTCTCTTTCTGAGATCATGACTTGTTGGGGAAAGGGAAGACTTATTGTTCATGACAAACACTTCTGTGCTTATAACATGCATTAGCTTAGGAAACAGCACTTTTCTTTTTCTCTTTTTTTTTTTTTTTTTTTTTTTTTGAGACAAGGTCTTGCTCTGTCGCCCAGGCTGGAATGCATGTTGCGATCTCGGCTCACTGCAACCTCTGCCTCCTGGGCTCAAGCGATCCTTCCACCTTGGCCTCCCAAGGCGCTGGGCGCTGGGATTACAGGCATGGGCCACCGTGCCCGGCCTGGTGCTTTTCAGTGAATAAATAAGTATGTAAACTTCTCTTTTCTGACTAGACGGAAATTCCCCAGAGGACAAGGGTGGCGTGACTTGTCAGTCCTTTTCATTGACAGCGCTGTGGATGGGAAGAAAGGGCCCCTGGTCCCAAGCAAGCCCCAGTCCTGTGGCCCTGGAGGATCAGAAGGGTAATTAAGTGTCAAAGGAAAACATAGCCAGACATGAGTTACTGTGGTGAAAACAGATTTTATTCAGTAACTACTCGTGGTAGGAGAAAGAGCTGAGCTCCATTCTGATTTGTGCAGAGGTGATTTAGGCATTTAATTAGTTAATTAGTTTTTGTGGGACAGGGTCTCGATCTGTTGCCCAGGCTTGTGATTGTGCCTGTTGCTCAGATTGTGCAGTGGCACAATCATGGCTCACTGCAGCCTCGAACTCCCAGGCTCAAGTGATCCTCCTACCTCAGCCTCCTGAGTTAGCTGGGACCCACAGGCGTATGCCACTGCACCTGGCTTTTTTTTTTTTTTTTTTTTTTTTTTGAAACAGAGTCTCGCTCTGTTGCCCAGGCTGGAATGCAGTGGCATGATCTTGGCTCACTGCAACCACCACCTCCTGGGTTCAAGCAATTCTCCTGCCTCGGTCTCCTAAGTAGCTGGGATTACAGGCGCGTGCCACAATACCCAGCTAGTTTTAGTTTGTTTTTTATTTATTTATTTTTTTTAGTAGAAACGACGTTTCACCATGTTGGCCAGGCTGGTCTCGAACTCCTGACCTCAGGTGATCCACCCACCTCGGCCTCCCAAAATGCTGGGATTACAGGAGTGAGCCACCGCACCAGTGTCTCTCTCTTATAACACCAGCTAGTCCTTATCAGGCTTTGACTGTGGGCCCCTCACCTGTCTAACTTATCCTTCCCAGGAACTTTGAAGAATACTATTATTATTCCTATTTTGCAAATGAAGAAACTGAGGCAGATTAAATGCCTGACCCAAGGCCATCCAGACGGCAGGCGATGCAGGCAGGAGTCAAGCTCAGGTACCCCTCCCCTTCTGTGGCTTCCCTGCCTCCAGGCTTCTGCCAGCCCCTGTCTACCTTGGTGTAGGAGCGGCCCCTCAAAGACCTGCAGGGAGCCGGGCACGGTGGCGCACGCCTATAATCTCAGCACTTTGGGAGGCTGAGGTGGGCGTATCATGAAACCCTGTCTCTACTAAAAATACAGAAATTAGCCGGGTGTAGTGGTGGGCACCTATGATCCCAGCTACTCAGAAGGCTGAGGCAGGAGGAACGCTTGAGAACCCCAGAGGCGGAGGTTGCAGTGAGCCAAGATCGAGCCACTGCACTCCAGCCTGGACGACAGAGCGAGACTCCATCTCAAAAAAAAAAAAAACCTGTAGAGGGAAGGAGGAACTGGGGCCTGGGGAGGGCAGAGCTATTATCTCAGGAGAAGCAGGCAAACCTCTGGTGACCTCTGATGACCTCAGGGCAGGATGGGCAGGCCTTCACAACAGCTCCAGGCACACCCAGCCTCCCGTCCCTGGCCTCATCACTCCCCTCTCTGCCCTCCACCCTTTGGCCTCCTTGCCTTTGTCCACAGTTCTGCAGCCTGATACCCTCTTCCTTGTCTCAACCAGAGAAGTCTTCAGTCAATAAACGTCATCCAATGCCTACTGTGTGTCAAGCACTTCCTGGGTGCTGGGGCACTGTGCAAGCACACACGCACAGCTGTGAGGCCATGGGGCTGGCATTCCAGTGTGGGGAGAGCGACGGAAGCAAAATAAGAAAGTCCATTACATGGCGCATTTGAAGGCGCGAAGTGCTATGGGGAGAAAGCAAGGAGGGGGGTTACAGTCCAGAGGGAGGGGGGTGCGATTTTTTTTTTTTTTCCAGACGGAGTCTTGCTCTGTCACCCAGGCTGGAGTGCAGTGGCGTGATCTTGCAAACTCCGCCGCCTGGGTTCACGCCATTCTTCTGCCTCAGCCTCCTGAGTAGCTGGGACTGCAGGCACCCGCCACCATGTCCGGCTAATTTTTTGTATTTTTAGTATAGACAGGGTTTCACCGTGTTAGCCAGGATGGTCTTGATCTCCTGACCTTGTGATCCACCTGCCTCAGCCTCCCAAAGTGCTGGGATTACAGGCATGAGCCACCGCGCCCACCCGGGGGTGAGATTTTAAATACAATGGCCAGCTGGGCTCCGTGGCACACACCTGTAATTCCAGCACTTTGGGAGACCGAGGTGGGAGGCTCACTTGAGTCTAGGAGTTTGAAACAAGCCTGGGCAACAAAGCAAGATCCCATCTGTATGAAAAATTTAAAAATTAGGCCGGGCATGGTGGCTCATACCTGTAATCCCAGCACTTTGGGAGGCCGAGGAGGGCAGATCACTTGAGCTCAGGAGTCCGAGACCAGCCTGGCCAACATGGTGAAACACTGTCTCTACTAAAAATACAAAAAAATTGCTGGGCGTGGTGGCTCACGCTTGTAATCCCAGCACTTTGGGAGGCCGAGGCAGGTGGATCACCTGAGGTCAGGAGTTCAAGACCAGTCTGGCCAACATGGTGAAACCCTGTCTCTACTAAAAATAGAAAATTAGATGGGCTTGGTGGTGGGCACCTGTATTCCCAGCTACTCAGGAGGCTGAGGCAGGAGAATAGCTTAAATCCAGGAGGCGGAGGTTGCCGTGAGCCGAGATCGAACCATTGTGCTCCAGCCTGGGCAACGAGAGTGTGAAACTCCATCTCAAAAATAAAAATAAAAATACAAAAAATTAGCCGGGCATGGTGGCGCGCACCTGTAATCCCAGCTACTCGGGAGACTGAGGCGGGAGAATTGCTGGAACTCGGGAGGCGGAGTTGCAGTGAACCAAGATTGTGCCACTGCACTCCAGCCTGGGAGACAGAGCGAGACTCCATCTCAAAAAATAAAAAATTAAAATTAAAAGTTAGACTGGTGTGGTGGCATGTGCCTGTAGTCCCAGCTACTTGGGAGGCCAAGGCGGGAGGATCTCTTGAGCCCAGGAGGTCGAGGCTGCAGTGAGCCATGATTGTGCCAATGCACTCAAGCCTGGGTGACAGAGTGAGACCCTGTGTCTAAAACAAACAAATAAGTAAGTAAATAGGTTGGCCAGGCAAAGCCATCCTGAGAAGGTGACATTTGAGCAAAGACTGAGAAAGCAGCCAAGCAACATCTGGGTGGGGAGCCCTGGGGCAGCCACCACAGATGGCGCAAAGGCCCTGGGCTTGCTTTCTCCAGGGACACATCAGAGGTCCGGGTGGCAAGGGCGTGGATGGCAGGGCCATGGGTGGAAGGGCAGAAGCAACGTGGATAAGAGAGGTAGGCAGGGGTCAGATCGGATGTGGCCAACTTGGCTTCTACCCTGAGTGGGGTGGGAGTGGTCTCAGGGCTCCAAGCAGAGGAGGGGTGGGGTCAGATGTTTCATCTGGGTCCCTCTGGCTGCTGTGTGGAAAACAGCCCGGAGGAGGATGAGATCTCACACAGGGAGACCAGAGCTGAGATGACTGCACCAGTCCAGGCCAGAGAAGACAGAGGCTCAGGCCAGTAGGCAGCAGTGACGGGGCGAAGAGGGATCAGATTCTGGATCTTTCTCTCTCTCTCTCTCTCTTTTTTTTTTTTTTTTTTTTTTTTTTTTTTACAGACAAGGTATCACTGTGTTACCCAGGGTGGAGTACAGTGGCGAAATCATAGCTCACTGCAGCCTTGAACTCCTGAACTCAAGCGATCCCTTCTCCTGAGTCTCCCAAAGTCCTGGGATTACAGGAGTGAGCCACTGTGCCCAGGGCAGGTTATACATTTTTTTTGGGAACACCACAGAAGCCAAGCACAGTGGCTCATGCCTGTAATCCCAGGACTTCTGGAGGCGAAGATGAGAGGATTGCTTGAGCCCAGGAGTTCAAGACCAGTCTGGGCAACACAGCAAGAACCCATCTCTAAAAAAAAAGGAATACTGCTGGGCACGGTGGCTCATGCCTGTAATTCCAGCACTTTGGGAGGCTGAGGTGGGTGGATCACCTGAGATTAGGAGTACGAGACCAGCCTGGCTAACATGGCGAAACCCCATCCCTAATAAAAATACAAAAATTAGCTGGGCATGGTGGCAGGGACCTGTAATCCCAGCTATTCAGGAGGCTGAGGCAGGAGAATTGCTTGAACCCAGGAGGCGGAGGTTGCAGTGAGCCGAGATCACATCACTGCACTCCAGCCAGGGTGACCATGCCCAGCCAACTATGTAAATATCCTATACACACACACTCTTCTGATTTCACCAATGGTTTTAACACTCACTCTTACCTGAATCCATTATTATTATATTGGTTATGTTTATCATTTTTTAAATTCTACATTCCTTTTACAATTGTTAGCTTTCCTACAGTAAAATAACTTTCCAGTGGCCGGGCACAGTGGCTCATGCCTGTAATCCCAGCACTTTGGGAGGCCGAGGCAGGTGAATCACGAGGTCAGGAGTTCGAGATCAGCCTGGCCAACATGGTGAAACCACATCTCTACTAATAATGCAAAAATTAGCCAAACGTGGTGGTGCGCACCTGTAATCCTAGCTACCTGGGAGGCTGAGGGAGGAGAGTTGCTTGAAACTAAGAGGCGGAGGTTGCAGTGAGCCGAGATTGCATCACTGCACTCCAGCCTGAGCGACAGAGCAAGACTACATCTCAGAAAAAATAAAACAAAAACAAAAAAAACTTCCATACTGTCCTACCTCCCTTCCCTGCTCCCTCCCTCCTTCTCTTTGTCTCTAATATTTTCAGAATCAGTATGAACTCATTTTCTTTTCTTTTTTTTTTTTTTCCAAGACAAATTCTCACTCTTTTGCCGAGGCTGGAGTGCAGTGGCATGATCTCAGCTCATTGCAACCTCTGCCTCCCAGGTTCAAGCGATTCTCCTGCCTCAGCCTCCCGAGTAGCTGGGACTACCGGCGCCCATCACCACACCTGGCTAATTTTTTGGTAATTTTTAGTAGAAACGGAGTTTCACCATGTTGGTCAGGCTGGTCTCGAACTCCTGACCTCAGGTGATCCTCCCGTCTCGGCCTCCCAAAGTGCTGGGATTACAGGCATGAGCCACTGCGCCCAGCCTCTTTTTTTCTTTTAATTAAAACAATTAAATAGAGATGGGGTTCTCTGTCTGTTGCCCAGGTTGGTCTTCAACTCCTGGGCTCAAGCAATCCTCCTGTCTCGGGCTCCCGAAGTGCTGGGATTACAGGAGTGAGTCACCACGCCCAGCCTAAGTATTGCTCTTCTGTGATGATTTGCAGGCAACAATCACCTCTTGTTCATATTTTCATTATCTTTCCCTCCACCCCGAGCCTATAGTCTGTCTTGGTCAGACCCCATTTCTTGAGTGCACCAGGCTGGAGTTTGGACCCATCCACATCCTCGCAGCTCTCCTGAGTTGGGGCCCAACATCTGGCTTGGGGAACAGACAGCTTTGCCGACAGCAGTAACAATTTGGTTGAAATGATAACTTTGTCAAAAATGAATTTTGCCTTAGTGTTTTTTTAAAGGTTGAGAATCTTGTACATTCTTACAACATTTCTATTTTCTACAGTTAAAAAACTGTAGGCTGGGTGCAGTGACTCACTCCTGTAATCCCAGCACTTTGGGAGGCCAAGGTGGGTGGATTGCTTGAGTCCAAGGGTTCGAGACCAGCTAGGCAACATAGCAAAATATTAGCTAGGTGTGGTAGCTACTCGGGAGGTTGAGGCAGGAGAATTGCTTGAACCCAGGAGGCAGAGGTTGCAGTGAGCCAAGATCATGCCACTGCACTCCAGCCTGGGCAAGAGAGCTAGATTGTCTCAAAAAAAAAAAAAAGTAAGTTCCAATTACTTTGCAGCCAATTATTCTTGCTCTTCTATTTGCAATAGCAGAAGATTGAAATAGCCTCCTAGATGTCTGACAGTGGAATGGGTTCTTTTCTTTTTCTTTTTTGGTAGAGATGAGGGTCTCACTATGTGGCCAGGCAAGCCTTGAACTCCTGGCCTCAAGTGATCCTCCCGCCTCTGGAGGCAGGAGGTAGGGTACAGTCCCAGACTCAAAGCACTGGGATTACAGGAGTGAACCACTGCGTGAGCCTGGTTTCTTTTCTTTCCCCTCCCTCCCTTCCTTCCTTCCTTCCTTCCATCCGTCCTTCCTTCCTTCCCTCCTTCTCTCCTCTTTCACTCTACCTCTTTCTTTTCTTCTTTTTTCTGGCTTGTTAAAACAGAAATACATAATAATTATAGTGAAATAAACTAGGGTATTTACTGCAGCAGTTAGTAATAATGAAATGTTGGAAAACAATCTAATGTTCATCCGTAGGGAATATTTAAAATATAGTGTATTTCTGCCGGGCGCGGTGGCTCACGCCTGTAATCCCAGCACTTTGGGAGGCCGAGGCAGGTGGATCATGAGGTCAGGAGATCGAGACCACGGTGAAACCCTGTCTCTACTAAAAATACAAAAAAGTTAGCCGGGCTTCGTGGCGGGCGCCTGTAGTCCCAGCTACTCGGGAGGCTGAGGCAGGAGAATGGCTTGAACCCGGGAGGCGGAGCTTGCAGTGAGCAGAAATCGCGCCACTGCACTCCAGCCTGGGCGACACTGTGAGACTCCATCTCAAAAAAATAAATTAATTAAAAATAAATAAATAAATAAAATATAGTGTATTTCTGGCCGGGCGCGGTGGCTCACTCATGTAATCCCGGCACTTTGGGATGCTGAGGCTGGCAGATCACAAGATCAGGAGATCAAGACCATCCTGGCTAACGCGGTGAAACCCTGTCTCTATTAAAAATACAGAAATTAGCTGGGCATAGTGGCATGTGCCTGTAGTCCCAGCTACTTGTGAGGCTGAGACAGGAGAATCGCTTGAACCTGGGAGGTGGAGGTTGCAGTGAGCTGAGATCGAGACACTACGCTCCAGCCTGGGTGACAGAGCAAGACTCCGTCTCAAAAAAAAAAAAAATTATAGTGTATGCCATGGAATATTATGCAACTGTTATATATGTGTGTGTGTTCCCAAAGCATTGTTCAGTAACAAAGGAAAAGTGCAAAACACTAAAATGGATGAATACATGCTTGTGTAAACACAGACACTGTCAGGAATGTTTGTCTGGAGGTGATGGGTATGGAGCCTTTTTGTCTGATATATTGGGTGTATCAAGAATGCCAGGTCCTGAGCAGTTTTTTTTTTTTTTTTTTGAGTTGGAGTCTCACTCTGTTGCCCAGGCTGGAGTGCAGTGGCACAATCTCTGCTCACTGCAACCTCCACCTCCTGGGTTGAAGCGATTCTCGTGCCTCAGCCTCCCGAGTAGCTGGGATTGTAGGCGCCCGCCACCATGCCCAGCTAATTTTTTGTGTTTTTAGTAGAGACGGGGTTTCACCATGTTGGCCAAGCTGGTCTCGAACTCCTGACCTCAGGTGATCTGCCTGCCTCGGCCTTCCAAAGTGCTGGGCTTACAGGCATGGGCCACCGTGCCCAGCCGTTTATATGTATTAACTCTTAATCATCAAAACAAACTATGTGGTATTACCATAATTATCGCCATTTATACAAAGCAACAGAGGGATAAGGAGATTAAGGCACTTGCCCAAGTGCAAGAGGTAGGACAGGAACCCAGAGTCCCGTGCTGGTAGCTGCTTTTCTGTGCACTTAACATTATCTCATTTAATTCTTGCAGTCACTTCATGAAGAAGGTGGCGGTCCTAGGGCATTGGAGAAGTTATGTGCTTGTTCAAGGTCATGCAGCTGGAAGATGGTGGTGGTAGGACAGGAAGTCTGTAGGGCCTGATTCTGCAGCCCTCTAGTCTATACTCCTTTGCTCCTGTGTCCCTCATCCCCCCTGCAGAATGGGCACCCCGTTACCTTTCTGAGCCACTGTGCGCAGAAAAGAGAGCATGTTGGCCAGGCTGGTCTCGAACTCCTGACCTCAAGTGATCAGCCTGCCTTAGCCTCCCAAAGTCCTGGGATTACAGGCGTGAACCACCACGCTCAGCCTCTGAATACTTTGTACTCAAGCCATTTTTCAGTGCTGTGTTTGCAGTGAGCACACCCGAGGGATGAAGACACGTCTCCCTGTGGGAACCTGGGCTTACCAGGGCCCCTAGAGGAGGGGAATCTCTCAAGCTCAGAGCTCTATGGCTGCGGTGCAGGCCCACTGTGTGCATGGTGTCAGTCTGGGCCCTTCCATGTTGCCCCCGTGGGACTTGGGGTAAGGGGAACTGATGCAAACATCACGCTGCTGTTGCTTGGTGTGAGCAATTAATTCCTGTGGCTCTCACCCAGGAGTCTCATGTCTTTGGGTCAGACAAACTCATCAGCTTGTAGAAATGGCACAGTCCCACGGGCCTGTTAGAATCTTCTATTGTGCACATGTTGCTCTTAAAATATACAAATCAGTTTTGATTTTAAAAAATTATTTATTTTTTTAGTGATAGGAGTTTTGCTACGTTGCCCAGGCTGGTTTCAAACTCTTGGGCTCAGGAGGTCCTCCCACTTTGGCCTGGACTGCCAGCATAATGTATCACCACACCCGGGACTGATTTTCGTTTTTCAAGAACAAAAACCAAAAACATACACAAACCGAGAGTCAAAGCTTGCTAATTAGAGGAAAGTCAGGAAATGGGAACCATTCAAAGAAGAAAATACCCCCACCTCCTACTCTCACCTATCCAAAGACAATTAGGTGAATCCCTTAGTAGATATCTTTCCAGACGGTTTTCCATATAGATTCCCATATCTGGCCAGGCGCGGTGGCTCACACCTGTAATCCTAGCGCTTGGGGAGGCTGAGGCGGATGGACCACCTGAGGTCAGGAGTTCGAGACCAGCCTGACCAACATGGAGAAACCTCGTCTCTACGAAAAATACAAAATTAGCCGGGCACAGTGGTGCAAGCCTGTAATCCCAGCTACTCAGGAGGCCGAGGCAGGAGAATTGCTTGAACCTAGGAGGCAGACATTGTGCTGAGCCGAGCCAAGATCATGCCATTGCACTAAACTCCGCCTTAAAAAAAAAAAAAAAGATTCCCACATCTTTACTAGTTTGCAGAAATAAGATCCTAGCATATGCAGTGTGTAGGAACCACCTTGGTTTAGCCACGTCTCTGTGACTGGGGGCCACTGTGGTGACCCCCAGCTCCCCGGACAGAGTCAAGAGCTCACCAGCCTGCAAAGGTTTTCACGGCCCCCAGCCAGACTCGGGGGCTTCCTCTTGCCCTGCTACTTCCTGGGAGCTCTGAGGGCAGGAAATGGCGCCACTCAGCTCCTGGCCTAACAGCTTGGGGACCACAAATGCAAAGGAAACCACCCTCCCCTCCCACCTCCTCCTCTGCACCCTTGAGTTCTCAGGCTCACATTCCCACCACCCACCTCTGAGCCCAGCCCTCCCTAGCATCACCACTTCCATCCCATTCCTCAGCCAAGAGCCAGGAATCCTGATTCCAGATCCCACGCTTCCCTGCCTCCCTCAGGTGAGCCCCAGACCCCCAGGCACCCCGCTGGCCCCTGAAGGAGCAGGTGATGGTGCTGTCTTCGCCCAGCAGCTGTGGGAGCAGGCGGGTGGGGCAGGATGGAGGGGTGGGTGGGGTGGGTGGAGCCAGGGCCCACTTCCTTTCCCCTTGGGGCCCTGTCCTTCCCAGTCTTGCCCCAGCCTCGGGAGGTGGTGGAGTGACCTGGCCCCAGTGCTGCGTCCTTATCAGCCGAGCCGGTAAGAGGGTGAGACTTGGTGGGGTAGGGGCCTCAGTGGGCCTGGGAATGTGCCTGTGGCTTGAAAAGACTCTGACAGGTTATGATGGGAAGAGATTGGGAGCCATTGGGCTGCACAGGGTCAGGGAAGGCCAGGAGGGGCTGGTCACTGCTGGAATCTAAGCTGCTGAGGCTGGAGGGAGCCTCAGGATGGGGCTGATGGGGGAGCTGCCAGCATCTGTTCCTCTGTCATTTCTGATAACAGTAAAAGCCAGCATGGAAAAAACCGTTAAACCGCAGGTTGGGCCTGGCCGTTGGCAGGGAAGTGGGCAGAGGGGAGGCCCGGCCAGGTCCTCCGGCAACTCCCGCGTGTTCTGCTTCTCCGGCTGCCCACCTGCAGGTCCCAGCTCTTGCTCCTGCCTGTTTGCCTGGAAATGGCCACGCTTCTCCTTCTCCTTGGGGTGCTGGTGGTAAGCCCAGACGCTCTGGGGAGCACAACAGCAGTGCAGACACCCACCTCCGGAGAGCCTTTGGTCTCTACTAGCGAGCCCCTGAGCTCAAAGATGTACACCACTTCAATAACAAGTGACCCTAAGGCCGACAGCACTGGGGACCAGACCTCAGCCCTACCTCCCTCAACTTCCATCAATGAGGGATCCCCTCTTTGGACTTCCATTGGTGCCAGCACTGGTTCCCCTTTACCTGAGCCAACAACCTACCAGGAAGTTTCCATCAAGATGTCATCAGTGCCCCAGGAAACCCCTCATGCAACCAGTCATCCTGCTGTTCCCATAACAGCAAACTCTCTAGGATCCCACACCGTGACAGGTGGAACCATAACAACGAACTCTCCAGAAACCTCCAGTAGGACCAGTGGAGCCCCTGTTACCACGGCAGCTAGCTCTCTGGAGACCTCCAGAGGCACCTCTGGACCCCCTCTTACCATGGCAACTGTCTCTCTGGAGACTTCCAAAGGCACCTCTGGACCCCCTGTTACCATGGCAACTGACTCTCTGGAGACCTCCACTGGGACCACTGGACCCCCTGTTACCATGACAACTGGCTCTCTGGAGCCCTCCAGCGGGGCCAGTGGACCCCAGGTCTCTAGCGTAAAACTATCTACAATGATGTCTCCAACGACCTCCACCAACGCAAGCACTGTGCCCTTCCGGAACCCAGATGAGAACTCACGAGGCATGCTGCCAGTGGCTGTGCTTGTGGCCCTGCTGGCGGTCATAGTCCTCGTGGCTCTGCTCCTGCTGTGGCGCCGGCGGCAGAAGCGGCGGACTGGGGCCCTCGTGCTGAGCAGAGGCGGCAAGCGTAACGGGGTGGTGGACGCCTGGGCTGGGCCAGCCCAGGTCCCTGAGGAGGGGGCCGTGACAGTGACCGTGGGAGGGTCCGGGGGCGACAAGGGCTCTGGGTTCCCCGATGGGGAGGGGTCTAGCCGTCGGCCCACGCTCACCACTTTCTTTGGCAGACGGAAGTCTCGCCAGGGCTCCCTGGCGATGGAGGAGCTGAAGTCTGGGTCAGGCCCCAGCCTCAAAGGGGAGGAGGAGCCACTGGTGGCCAGTGAGGATGGGGCTGTGGACGCCCCAGCTCCTGATGAGCCCGAAGGGGGAGACGGGGCTGCCCCTTAAGTGTCGGTGAATAGTGAGGCTGGAGGCCGGAATCTCAGCCAGCCTCCAGCACCTTCCCTCTCACCATCCCACTGCCCCCTCGCTCCCATGTTTCCACCCGGCACCCTGATCCTCACCCGAATCTCCTTTTTTTTTTTCTTTTGAGACAGAGTTTCGCTTTGTCGCCCAGGCTGGAGTGCAATGCACGATCTCAGTTCACTGCAACCTCTGCCTCCTAAGTTCAGGCGATTCTCCTGCCTCAGCTTCCCGAGTAACTGAGATTACAGGCACCCACCACCATGCCCAGCTGCTTTTTTGTATTTTTGGTAGAGATGGGGTTTCACCATGTTGGCTAGGCTGGTCTCAAACTCCTGACCTCAGGTGATCTACCTGCCTCAGCCTCCCAAAGTGCTGAGATTACAGACATGAGCCTCCGCGCCTTGCCTCCTCACCCACCTCTTCACTCTGAATCCTCATGAGGCTTCTCAGCCCTGGATTTCCTGCTGCCATCCTCACCCAGCACCCACAACTAGCGCCTGGGCAGGGCAGGGCTGGCACCTCTCAACGTCTGTGGACTGAATGAATAAACCCTCCTCATCCACCCCTATTTATCTCCATCACCATTTCCCCCTCTTTCTTGTTCCTGGAAACGGCTGCTGAGTCTCCATCGGCCAAACTTATCTGCCCTGTGATTTCTTTGACAATTCTCCTTTTCCCCCAGAACCCACCCTGGGTTGACCAGAGTCTGGGAAGAAGGACAAGAGAACCCGGCAAACTCCCTCCTAGGATTAACTTTGTAAAGCACCCTTGCCCTGTAGCTGCAAGGGCTGTGGAACCTGGGCAGCCCGCAACCACCTTTAGCTCTGGGCCCCCCAGGCCAGCCTGGAGCATGGCTGGGTGGGGCCACCAGCCCATGCTCTCAGGCGGGCCTGTGATCTTTCCCAGGGCACATGGACTGTAGGCTGGCCCTGGCCCACACCACCACACTCTCCCCAGCCATGGACAGAGGCAGCCAGAGGCCTCACGGTTTCTCCTCCGAGTTTCTGGCTGGGTGTAGTTCTCAGAAACCCCAGTGCCTGCGTGTGTCCACTCGTGGGTGTGGTTTGTGTGCAAGAGCTGAGGATTTGGCGATGCTTGGGAGGGGTAGTTGTGGGTACAGACGGTGTGGGGGTGGGAAGTGGTGCAGAGACTGAAGAGGGTCAACCTGGGCATGGGGGACACAGGGACTGCTGAGAACGTGCGTGTCATCTTTGCTCTGATGGGGTGGACATAGCAGAAAATCTAACTCTGTCTGTAGCCCCATACAGAATGCCAGGGTGAGCACAGTGGCTGGTGCCTTTAATCCCAGCACTTTGGAAAGTTGAGGCAGGAGGATCGCTTGAGCCCAGGAGTTCGAGTCTGAAGTGAGCTGTGATTGCACCACTGCACTTCAGCCTGGGCAACAGAGTGAGCCCCTGTCTCAAAAAAGAAAAGAAAAAGAAAGCCAGGCTTCATGGAAAGATCGTATGTGTGACCCAAATATGAGTTCTTCAGCTCAGCCATGGTAATCCCTTCCTTGAAGTCTCCATTTCTGCAGTACACATGCATGTGCGCTCTCTCTCTCTCTCTCTCTCTCACACACACACACACACACACACACACACGCGCGCGCGCGCGCGCTCTCCTGCGAACAGAGGCAGGGGGAGAGGGGTTTGCCCTGGTCTCGGGGACTGGTCTGGCTGGCGCTTCCCCACTGCACGTTTCCAGGTTTAGTTTGTCTGTGTCTCCTCTTCCATCCCAGGGGCTGAGCCCCTTCCATCCTCCAAGAGGAACCAGTGAGAGTGAGTGAAGGAGGGGCCTGGAGCCAGGGACTTCCCCTGTGGGGCCTGGGTGGAGAGGGGAGAACTCAATGGTGCTGCCTTTGAGACCAGCCCAGGCTACAGCCCAGGAGCACACATGGGCCAGGGCAGTTGGTATTTCCCGAGGACAAAGAGGAAATTTTCAAAGAGGAAGTTGTTGAGTTAGAGCTTGCGGTGGCTGAGAGCAGACAGGTTGACCTGCAAAAAAAGACAGGGGAGGCATGTGAGTGTGACAGCCCTGCTCTGTGGCCTGGGCAGGAGATGGGGGAAAGGGTCAGGTGGGGGATGGGCTCGTGCAGTGGGAGAGGAGACGGAGGGAGGGAGCGGGAAGGGGCTTGCTTAGTGGGTGGGAAGAGCTGAGCTCGGATGGAACCAGCTTCTACCAGCCAGGCTGGGCACCCACTGGGCTGCATCTGGTGGCCTTTTCTGATTGCTATTTGGACTCACTGCAGCTGCAGAATGACAGAGGCCATGTCCAAAATCCCTTAGAGACACTGTTGTCTTAGAGTTGTTAAAATAAGAGCCCCCATATCAGGTTTAGAAAATACTGTCACCGAACGAACGTCGCTGTCCTCAGCTCCACCTCCCTTTCCTTTGACAGATATGGTTGTTTTCTAAGCCAGGACTGGTTTTAGTCAGGTCCTGGGCGAATCCTGAAAAAAAGAGGTAGTACGGGTAAGGAAGGCACCCAACAGGGCTTTCACAATCCAGAAAATATCAAAATATAAGTGTTAAAAGAGAGGCACAGGCCGGGTGCGGTGGCTCACGCCTGTAATCTCAGCACTTTGGGAGGCCAAGGTGGGCAGATCATGAGGTCAGGAGTTTGAGACCAGCCTGGCCAATATGATGAAACCCCGTTTCTACTAAAAATACAAAAGTTAGCCAGGCATGGTGGTGTGCTCCTGTAATCCCAGCTACTTAGGAGGCTGAGGCCAGAGAATTGCTTGAACCCTGGAGTCAGAGGTTGCAGTGAGCCGGGATCATGCCACTGTACTCCAGGCTGGGTGACAAAGTGAGACTGTCTCAAAAAATAAAAATAAATAAAATAAATAAAAGAGAGGCACAAACAGTGTTATGAATGCACCAAGGAAAATGGTGCATTCATAACTCTCAGGTGAAGCCTACCAAGCCATGCGTGTGTGCACATATGTGTGTACGTGTGCATGTGCGTGCGTGCATGTGCGTGCGTGCATGTGCCTGTGTGTGTATGTGTGCACATGTGTGTGCGCATGTGTGTGTGTGCGCGCATGTGTGTGTGCATGCATGTTCTCCCATGCATGTGTACTGTGGCAAGGGAGACTTTGAGGAAGAGATTCCAGTGGCTGAGCAGAAGGGCTCGCATTGCCCTGGCGAAAGGTTGGAAGGCTTCACCTGAGAGTGTGTCGTGGCCTTTGTCATATCCACTGCTTGATTCCTTTCTTTAAAAATTATTTTTATTGTTTTCTACATATGAGAACCACCACACCTGGCTAATTTTTGTATTTTTTGTAGAGATGGGGTTTCACCATGTTGTCCCGGCTGGTCTCAAACTCCCGGGCACAAGAGATCCACCTGCCTCAGCCTCCCAAAATGCTGGGACTATAGGCATGAGCCACTGCACCCAGCCACTGCTTCATTCCTGGTGGCTGCTGTGCCTGGCATGTTGCAGATCCTCCATGAATATGCATTTGAATGAATGAATGAATGAATGAATGAATGAATGGAGATGACGCCTCAGAGATTCTTTCTTTTGAGATGAGGTCTCATTCTGTCACCCAGACTAGAGGGCAGTGGTGCAATCACAGCTCACCACAGCCTCAACCTCCTGGGCCTCCCAAGTAGCTGCGATCACAGGTGTGCACCAACATGCCCAGCTAATTTTTTTTTTTAATTTTTAATTTGTACAGACAGGGTCTTGCTGTGTTGCCCAGGCTGGTCTCAAACTCCTGGGCTCAAGTGGTCCTCCCACCTAAGCTTCCCCAAATACTGGGATTATAGGTGTGAGCCACTGTGCCCAGGCTTGCCTCAGATATTTGAAGGCTGGGAAGGATTTTGCAAAGCTGGGAAAAGGAAAAGGCATTCCCAGCAGAGGGGATAGCAGGTGGAAATACATAATTAAAAAAAAAAAACGTGGAGCAGATCCAGCGCAGTGGCTCATGCCTGTAATCCCAGCACTTTGGGAGGCAGAGCAGGGAGGATTGCTTGAGTCTAGGAGTTCAAGACCAGCCTGGGTAACATAGAAAGACCCTGTCTCTACAAAAACACAAAAAATTAGCCAGGCGTGGTGGTGCATGCCTGTAGTACCAGCTACTTGAGAAGCTGAGGCAGGAGGACTGCTTGAAGCCAGGAGTTTGAGACCAGCCTGGGCAACATAGTGAGACCCCGTGTCTACAAAAAGTAAACATTTATATATATATTTTTTAAAGTGGAGCAGTTCAATATAGAGTCTTTTTTGAACAAACGTGAAATAGATGTCTTTTTTTTTTTTTTGAGATGGAGTTTTCACTCTTGTTACCCAGGCTGGAGTGCAATGGCGTGATCTTGGCTCACCAGAACCTCCGCCTCCTGGGTTCAAACAATTCTCCTGCCTCAGCCTCCCAGGTAGCTGGGATTACAGGCATGCACCACCAAACCCGGATAATTTTGTATTTTTAGTAGAGATGGGGTTTCACCATGTTGGTCAAGCTGGTCTTGAACTCCCGACCTCTGCTGATCCGTATGCCTCGGCCTCCCAAAGTGCTGGGATTACATGCGTGAGCCACCGTGCCCGACAATAGATGTCTTTTAATTTTCTGGAGGAAAAAGCAAAGCAAAAGAAGCAGTGGATATTTTAAGACTAAAAAGGAAAACAAAAAAAGGAGATAGAGCAGGCCAGACGTGGTGGCTCAACGTCTGTAATCCCAGCACTTTGGGAGGCCGAGGCAGGTGGATCACCTGAGGTCAGGAGTTCAAGACCAGCCTGACCAACATGGTGAAACCCTGTTTCAAAATACAAAAAATTAGCTGGGCGTGGTGGCGGGCACCTGTAATCCCAGCTACTTGGGAGGCTGAGGCAGGAGAATCCCTTGAACCCAGGAGGTGGAGGTTGCAGTGAGCCGAGATCACGCCATTGCACTCCAGCCTGGGCGACAAGTAAAAAACTCCATCTCAAAAAAAAAAAAGGAGATAGAGCAAGGAACAGTAAGAAAATAGTTGGGTGCAGTGGCTATGCGGTGGCACTATAGGAGGCTGAGGCGGGCAGATCACCTGAGGTCAGGAGTTGGAGACCAGCCTGGGCAACATAGACCCCTATCTCTACAAAAAATTTGAAATATGAAAAATTAGCCAGGTGTAGTGGTGTGCGCCTGTGGTACCAGCTACTCAAGAGGCGAAGGCAGGGAAGATTGCTTGAGCCCAGGAGTTTGAGGCTATAGTGAGCTGTGATCATGCCACTGCACTCCAGCCTGGGCAATAGTGTGAGACTCTGTCTCAAAAGAAAGAACATGGCCAGGCGTGGTGGCTCACACCTGTAATCCCAGCACTTTGGGAGGCCGAGGCAGTCAGATCATGAGGCCAGTTTGAAACCAGCCTGGCCAACATGGTGAAACCCTGTCTCTACTAAAAATACAAAAATTAGCCAGGCGTGGTGGCATGCCCCCGTAATCCCAGCTACTTGGGGGTCTGAGGCAGAAGAATTGCTTGAAACCGGGAGGCAGAGGTTGCAGTGAGCCGAGATCGTGTCATTGCACTCTAGTCTGGGCGACAGAGCAAGACTCCGTCTTGGAAAAAAATTTAAAAAAAGAAAATATAAAATATGGTATAAGATTAAA
The DNA here is from genome assembly GCF_000001405.40 of Homo sapiens. Taxonomy (NCBI): domain Eukaryota; kingdom Metazoa; phylum Chordata; class Mammalia; order Primates; family Hominidae; genus Homo; species Homo sapiens. The sequence continues at coordinate 29,670,537 of NC_000016.10, forward strand.
TATATTAGTTATGAAAATAATTGTAAATGGCTTATTGAACTTATAGTCAGTAAAAATCATGTTTTTGAAAATTATGTAATGACTTTGGAAAATACCAGCAATATAATGTTAAGTGGGGAAAAAAGCAAGTTACTCCTCTGTAATACATATGATTTTAGTTTTGTAATAAAAATTCCCAACCATATATGCACTTATAGGGAAACAAAGGACCCATCGCAAATGTTTTCCATGCTGATCTCCAAAGTGGTGAGTTTATGTGTGATTTTTATTTTGTTTATGCTCTTCTGTATTTTCCGAATTTCATACAATAAATATCTGTTACTTTTACAATATGAAAAAATAGTGGTCAAAAAGGTGTTCAAGGGGGTGGCCTGGGGGTGTCTGGTTTGAGGAGAGTGGTAGGGGATGAGGCTGCAAGTGGAGGTTGGAGCCATGCTATGAAAAGTTCAAGAGTTTGAATTGAGTTCTGAGGTTTGTTTTTGTTTTTGTTTTTGTTTTTTGAGACGGAGTCTCACCCTGTCACCCAGGCTGGAGTGCAGTGGCACGGGTTCATGCCATTCTCCTGCCTCAGCCTCCTGAGTAGCTGGAACCACACGCGCCCGCCACCACACCAGGCTAATTTTTTTGTATTTTTAGGAGAGACAGGGTTTCACCATGTTAGCCAGGATGGTCTCGATCTCCTGACCTCGTGATCCACCTGCCTCGGCCTCCCAAAGTGCTGGGATTACAGGCGTGAGCCACAGTGCTCTGCGTGAGCCATAGTGCTCTGCTGAGAGTTTGAATTGCATTCTGGAAGTAGTGGTGAAATCAACACACCTAAGTCTGCTCTTCTCCTCTCTTCTAGTCCCCAGAGTGGTGAGTAGCATCGTTCTGGTGGCCCAGGCAAAACGCCTTAGGACCACCGTGCAGCCCCACTCTTTCCCCATTCCTGCTCTCCAGGTGCCAAGTCCCTGGCTCTTCTTCCACCGACCCTTGCATCCCTTCCTTCTCTTCAGTCCTCATCGCACCTCACCGGGATCCTATTGACACTTCCCCTTTGATTTCCTTCCGCTCTCTGCTAGTGATGGTCCCAGGGACCCTTCTAAAAGGTCACTGTGGGCTGGGCACAGTGGCTCACGCCTGTAATCCCAACACTTTGAGAGGCTGAGGTGGGCCAATCATCTGAGGTCAGGAGTTCGAGACCAGCCTGGCCAACATGGTGAAACCCCATCTCTACTGAAAGTACAAAAATTAGCCGGGCGTGGTGGTGTGCACCTGTAGTCCCAGCTACTCGGGAGGCTGAGGCGGGGGAATTGTTGGTCCCCGGGAGATGGAGGTTGCAGTGAGCCAAGATCGCGCCGTTGCACTCCAGCCTGGGTGACAGAATGAGACTCCGTCTCAAAAAAAAAAAAAAAAGAAAAAAGAAAAATAGCTGGGCATCGTGGCACACACCTGTAGTTCCAGCTACTCAGGAGGATGAGGTAGGAAGATCACTTGAGCCCAAGAGGTCCAGACTGCAGCGAGTCATGATCACACCACTGCACTCCAGCCTGCGTGGCACCCTGTCTCAAAATATAATAATAATAAAATTTAAAAATAAAATAAAACGCTGCTCTGTCTAGGTGATATTCCTCTATCCCCAAGGCTGTCAGGGTGGAACCCTCCTTCCTTAGCGTGGCATATAAGCCCCTCGGGACCTGGCCCTATCTCTCCTCTGACCACCCCTGCCCGGTCAGCCCTTGTTACAGACAGTCTGTGCTATCCAGCCCCATCAAATTCCTGTTGCTCCCTAAATATGCCACACACTTTATTTGGAGGAGAGGGGTGAAGAAGGGTAGTTTAACATGTTCAAAATATTTATTTTTTCCAGACAGTAAAATAACATTTTTTCCTGTTTTGCAAAAGTTAATTATCAGCACATTGAAGATTTTCCTTTTTTTTCTTTTCTTTTTTTTTTTTTTTTTGAGTCAAAGTCTTGCTCTGTTCCCCAGGCTAGAGTGCAGTAGCGCGATCTCGGCTCCACCTCCCGGGTTCAAGTGATTATCCTGTTTCAGCCTCCCGAGTAGCTGGGACTACAAGCACATGCCACCATGCCCAGCTAATTTTTGTATTTTTGGTAGAGACGGGGTTTCACAATGTTGGCCAGGCTGGTCTTGAACTCCTGACCTCAGGTGATTCACCCGCCTCACCCTCCCAAAGTGTTGGGATTACAGGCATGAGCCACTGCGCCCGGCCAGCAGTCTTAAATAACAGAATTCACACACACACACACACACACACACACACACACACACACGCACTGTATTATATTTCATCTTATACTTTAAAATGTTTCCTTTTTTTTCCTCAAAAGTACACATTAAGATCATGTTTACAAATAAAGCCTTGTCATCCAAAGTGAAAAATCCAGATGGCAAGATTTGGATGGGGAAGGTCTTGAGAAATCTGCGAATGGAGTTCACTTTTGCAGACAGGAAATGGGCCCTAATATATGGTTCTAAGGACATTCCATTTCTGAAAATGTACATTTCCACCCGCTTTTCCTCTCCTTCCTTCCTCCCTCCCTCCCTCCCTCTCTCTCTCTCTCTCTCTCTTTCTTTCTTTCTGACAAGGTCTTCCTCTGTCGCTGACGCTGGAGTGCAATGGTGCGATCTCGGCCCATTGCAACCTCCGCCTCCTGGGCTCAAGTGATCCTCCCCCCTCAGCCTCCCAAGTAGCTGGGACCACAGGCACACGCCACGGCACCCAGCTAATTTTTGTATTTTTTGTACAGATGGGTTCTCACCATGTTGCCTAGGCTGATCTTGAACTGCTGGGCTCAAGTGATCCTCCCGCCTCAGCCTCTCAAAAGTGCTGGGATTACAGGCGTGAGCCACCGCACCTGGCCTGCATCCCCATTTCTGACCCTTGACCATGTTCAAGTGGGAAGGGGAAGCCGGGGAAGGGAGGACGGGCTACCTGAGGGCTGCGGGTAGAGGTGACTCCTGTGAGCTGTGAGCCCTCAGCCCTTGGGCAGAGGGAACAGAACAGAAACAGACCCCATCTCTGAGCCACCAAGCTCAGACTCGTGTGGCAGGAGACAGATCACACAACACTATCAACAAAACAACACAGGTCGCAGTGGCTCACACCTGTAATCCCAGCACTTTGGGAAGCTGAGGTGAGAGGATTGCTTAACCGCAGGAGTTCGAGACCAGTCTGGCCAACATAGCGAGACCCCATCTCTCAAAAAAAGAAAAAAATTAGCTGGGCCTGGTGATGCACACCTGTAGTCCCAGCTACTTGGGAGGCTGAGGTGGGAGGACAGCTTGAACCAGAGAGGTCGAGGCTGCAGTGAGCTATGATTGTGCCACTGCCACTGCACTCTAGTCTGAGCAATAGAGTGAGACCCTGTCTTCCAAAAAAAAAAAAAAAAGAGAGAGAGAGAGAGAAGAATATAATCAAAAGTTTCTAAATTCCCAAAGTAGTAACAAAAGCAGACCCAAACAAAAGTAGAGAGAAAATCTTCGAAACTTAAAAGGCTATTTAGGCTAAGGAGCCCACCCAGTGGTGACCACCTAGTTCTGGGAGGTTTGGGGCAGGGCCATTAGACAATGGAAACTCAGGTTATTTTGGAGACAATCAACTTGCTCCCAAAAATGAGCTGCAAGCAGGTGCCTGTGTGCTCAGCCCAGTCTGGAGCTCAGAGCCTGCCTGCCCCACTGCACCATCACCAGCCCAGCTGAACCAGGGTCCCAGGCAAGCCGTACAGGCTCTGCGTTGGCCTTGGAGAGAACCGCCGACTCCCCCGAGTTGCCTGAGCTCGGCCTGAAGCCAGCCCTCCCCACGCTGGCTCACAATAAATGCCTTGACTTCCCGCCAACTCTTCCTCAACCATTAAGATTCAGCTCAACTGTCACGGGCTCTGTGCAGCTGCCCTCGCTGCCCCACCCCACGCAGACTTTGTGTTCCTTCTCCACTCCTGCAGCACCCCTTGCGACAGCATGAATAACCCGGCTGTAGTGATGTGAGGGTGACACTCATCACCAGTGTGTGAGCCCCTCCAAGGCCACATGTCCTCTTTGTGTTTCCAGAGCCCAGGGCCCAGCATGCGGTAGCTACCTAGTATATGTTTACTGAATGGAGGGATGAATAAATTCATGCACAAAGAATAGTTTTATTTATTTATTTATTTTTGAGACAGAGTCTTGCTTCTGACACCCAGGCTGTAGCGCAGTGGTGCGATCTTGGCTCATTGCAACCTCTGCCTCCCAGGTTCAAGCAATTCTCCTGTCTCAGCCTCCCAAGTAGCTGGGATTACAGGCATGCGCGCCACCACGCCCGGCTAATTTTCTATTTTTAGTAGAGACGAGGTTTCAACATGTTGGCCAGGCTGGTCTCGAACTCGCGACCTCAGGTGATCTGCCTGCCTTGGTCTTCCAAAGTGCTGGGATTACAGGTATGAGCCACCGCGCCTGGCCTTATTTGTTTATTTTCATAAACAAATTTCTGTTGCCCAGGCTGGTCTCAAACTCCTGGCCTCAAGTGATCCTCCTGCCTCAGCCTCCCAAACTGTTGGGATTACAGGCACAAGCCACAGTGCCTGGCCCAGTTCTGTCCTTTGAGTTGACCTGGTCATCCAGGAGGATGTTCTGAGGAAGTGTGAAATGATAATATTATTCTAGCCCACGCTGGATACAGTGGCAGTCTGGAAGGTGAAAGAGGTTGGGTTTGAAATAGATTTATTGGCCAAGTGCAGTGGCTCACACCTGTAATCCCAGCACTTTGGGAGGCCGAGGCAGGAGAATTGCTTCAGCCTTTAAACATGGCGAAACCCTGTCCCTATTAAAAATAAAAAAGTTCGATGGGCGTGGTGGCATTCACCTGTAGTCCCAGCTACTCAGGAGGGTGAGGCAGGAGAATCACTTCAGCCCTATAGGTTGAGGCTGCTTTGTGCTGTGATCATGCCAATGCACGCTAGCCTGGGTGACACAGTGAGACCCTGTTTCAAAAACAAAAACAAAAACAGAATAGAGGCCTGGAGCTTGAGAGGGAACTCAGGATAGAAGATATAGATTTAAGAGTCGGCTGGATGCAGTGGCTCAAGGCTGTAATCCCAGCACTTTGGGAGGCTAGGGTGGGTGTATCACTTGAGGTCAGGAGTTCGAGACCAGCCTGAACAACATGGCGAAACCCCATCTCTACCAAAAATAACAAAAACTAGCTGGGCATGGTGGCATGCGCCTGTAATCCCAGCTACTTGGGAGGCTAAGGCAGGAGAATCACTTGAACCCGGGAGGTGGAGGTTGCAGTTAGCCGAGATTGTACCACTGGATTCCAGCCTGGGTGACAGAGTGAGACTCCCTCTCAAAAAATAAAAATAAAAATAAATAAATAAATAAATAAATAAATAGTGATACAGATAGATAGATACATAAATTATATCATTCACTGGGTAGATTGAGAAGAGAGCTGTAGAGAGAATCTGAGTGTAATAGTCAGGGCAGGCTAACTGCTGTAAGAAACAGTGCCCCCACATCTCAGCGGTATAACTCAAAAGAAGTTTTTTCCTTCTTATGACAGTCAATTCCTGACATCTGGAGCATGACCTTTCACAACATTATTCCGGGACCCAGTCTCCTTCCATCTAGTGGCTCTGTCATCCTCCTAGGGCCTTGGAGTGGTCTGCTTTTGACCAGCTAATGGGAGGGGAGAGGCAGAATAGGATCCTGTGAAGACTTCTAGGGTCAGGTCTGGAAATATCTTTTGCTCACACTCCATTGGCCAGAACAAGACTGCCTCAGTGCAGAGGAAGCTGGGAAATGTAGTTTAGTAGGGTACCCAGAAGGAAAAGGGAAACAGTCTCTGCCACACTGAAGCAACACCAAAATCTGAGGGTTGGATGTAGGAAGAAGCACCTGCAAAAGATAGAAAAGAGCCTTTAAGAGGATCACCTGAAGCCAGGAGTTTGAGACCAGCCTGGGCAGCATAGCAAGATCCTATCTGTACAAAAAATAAAAATAAAAAATTAGCCTAGGGTGGAGGCATGCACATACAGTCCCAGCAACTCAGGAGGCTTGGGGCCAGGAGTTTGAGGCTGCAGTGAGCTTTGATTGGGCCACTGCACTCCACTTAAGCCTGAGTGACAGAGCAAAACCCTGTATCCAAAAAAAAAAAAATTAACCAGGAGAAAAATGACATTTGGAGATCCTGTCTCTAAAGAAAAAAAAAGCTCACTGCATAGCTCACTGCAGCCTCAGAAACAGGCCCAGGACTGAATCAAGGCCAGCAAGGTGCTGGGGTGATAAGCGAGCCCGACTCCAGCCTGGCCAACACGGTGAAACCCCTTCTCTACTAAAAATACACAAATTAGCTGGGCATGGTGGCAGACGCCTGTGGTTCCAGCTACTCAGGAGGCTGAGGTAGGAGGATCACTTGAGCCTGGGGCGTGGAGGTTGTAGTGGGCCAAGATTGTGCCACTGCACTCCAGCCTGGGTGACAGAGCAAGACCCTGTCTCAAAAAAAAAAAAAAAAAAAAAAGTGAGCTGGAGGATGAGGCCTCCCTAAATTTTGTGCCTTGGGTGTCTCGATCCGTCACGCCAGCCCCAGTCCCGGCAGTCAGGTGCGGCAGAGAAAGCAAAGGGAGAAGGCTGGGAAGATGCAAGTGAATTTAGCGACTAGCAGTCCCTGTGAGCAACTGTAGCAAGAAGGGTTTCCAATGAAGAAAGGAAGGCCCTGGGCCAGGCGCGGTGGCTCATGCCTGTAATCCCAGCTCTTTGGGAGGCAGAGGCGGGTGGATCACCTGAGGTCGGGAGCTCAAGACTAGCCTGACCAACATAGAGAAACCCCGTCTCTACTGAAAAAAAATACAAAATTAGCCGGGTGTGGTGGCGCATGCCTGTAATCCCAGCTATTCGGGAGGCTGAGGCAGGAGAATCGCTTGACCCCGGGAAGCGGAGGTTGCAGTGAGTCGAGATCACGCCATTGCGCTCCAGCCTCGGCAACAAGAGCGAAACTCCATCAAAAAAAAAAAAAAAAGGAAGAAAGAAAGGCCCTGGCAGTTCTTGGACAGGAACTTGCCTGAAGTCCCAGTCCCGGTGACTGGTGGTTTCCCCACTTTCTGGTTCAGAAGCTGGGCTCTAAGCTGTCTGTGCCCTTAAAGTTCCTTGGAAAGAGGGAAGGGAAGGGAAGTGGATATTAGGTGAGTTCCTACTCTGTTTCATTTGCAGAGTTTTCTCATTGATTCTCAGTTGGACCCATGAGGTAGATGTTATGCCATTACATTTTTTTTTTCTTTAGAGACAGGGTCTCTCTCTGTCACTCAGGCTGGACTGCAGTGGCACGATCACGGCTCACTGCAGCTTTGAACTCCTGGGCTCAAGTGATCCTCCCATCTCAGCCTACAGGTGTGCACCACTGTACTTAGCTAATTTCTTTTTCTTTTTTCTTTTTTTGGGAGAGATGGGATCTCTGTATGTCTCTATGATGCCCACACTGGTCTCAAACTCCTGGCCTCAAGCGATTCTCCTGCCTTGGCCTCCCAAAGCACAGGGATTACAGGCATGAGTCGCTGTGCCCAGCCTGTTATGCCGGGTTTTTTTGTTTTGTTTTGTTTTTTGAGACAGAGTCTCGCTCTGTCGCCCAGGAGTACAGTGGCATGATCTTGGCTCACTGCAAGCTCCACCTCCCGGGTTCACACCATTCTCCTGCCTCAGCCTCCCGAGTAGCTGGGACTACAGGCGCCCACCACCACACCCGGCTAATTTTTTGGTTTTTTAGTAGAGACGGGGTTTCACCATGTTAGCTGGGATGGTCTCGATCTCCTGACCTCGTGATCTGCCTGCCTCAGCCTCCCAAAGTGCTGGGATTACAGTCGTGAACCACTGCATCCGGCCTGTTATGCCGTTTTTTAAATTAATTAATAAATTTATTTATTTATCTTGAGACAGAGTCTCACTCTGTCACCCAGGCTGGAGTGCAGTGGCATGATCTCGACTCACTGCAACCTCCACCTCCGGGGTTCAAGTGAGTCTCATGCCTCAGCCTCCTGAGCAGCTGGGATTACAGGCGGCCGCCACCATGCCCGGCTAATTTTTGTATTTTTAGTAGAGATGGGGTTTCGCCATGTTGGCCAGGCTGGTCTCAAACTCCTGACCTCAGGTGATCAACCTGCCTCTGCCTCCCAAAGTGCTGGGATTACAGGCGTGAGCTCCTGTGCCCGGCCCTGTTATGCCATTTTAAAGCTAAGGAAACTGAGGCACAGAAAAAGGTAAAAAGGTACTTGAGATCAAAAAGGATGGAGTTAGGATTTGAACCCAGGTCCAGGGCCCATGATTTTCCCAGCACACCATCCAAAATGCCTGCCTGCCCTCACCAGGGAGCACATGCTTACATTCACAGCCTTGGACCCTGGGTTAGGGCCAGGAGGGCTGGGTGTTGGGTGAGAACAGGGCCTCGGGCTCCTTCACTGGCTGGGGCAGGGCTTCTGAGTTCCCCATCAGAGCCCCTCCTCTGACTTTCAGGGCCTGCTGAGGAATCTGCAGGCCTGGCAGAGGACAGGAGGGAGGCTTGGGGAGCCTGGGAAGGGCCGGCTGACAGCTTGATGGGCCCTCCCTCCCTCCACAGTCCCACCCCCAGCCTGGGGCCTCTGGGAGCCTTGGTCCTGAGCAGCCAACACACCAGCCCAGACAGCTGCAAGTCACCATGGACGCTGAAGGTAAAGGGACACTCTCTCTGCCATGTCCCTGCACCCATCCCCCCACTGCCTACCCCTGCCCCCACCCTGGCTTGTCTCAGCCCCTTGTTGCCTCCTCTGGAGTCATCTCTCCTCTGGTCCCGCCATCGACTCCCTTACCTACCCCATGTCCCTGCAGCCTTGCTCAACCCCCAGAGGCCCCTTCTCACTCTTCTTTCTCCTGTGTTGAGTCCCCAAGGAGCTCTGGGGAAGGAAGGGGCTTAAGCCCTAGAAAAGGGCAGGGTGGCCTGGAGGAGGTGGCGTCTCCTGGGGGCAGTGGGGGCCGGAAGTGGGAGGCTGGTTGGGGGAGCAGCATGGACTTCTGCTCTCGCTGGTAGCTCGGGAGAAGCAGAGACAAAGTCCTGTCCCTTCTGCAGCTGGGTGGGGGAGGGGGCTTGAGTCCCGTGATTCCCTGCCTGGAGGGAGCTGTATGCAAACTGTTGGGGTGATCAGTCCCAACCCCCAACCATGAAGTCCGGTGGCAACAAAGGAATGAGAAAAGACAAGTTAAGATTTAAAGCAGCCCCAGGGGGCCAGTTGCTAAAGTGAAGGCTGCAGAGCCCTGGTTGCCTGATAATTTATTGAGTACAATCTTTTGATCTAAGAAGCAGATGGTACGGGGTGAAACGGTGAAGGTGGGGGTGTGCGCGTCATTTGAAAGATGTATAGCCGTGGTGGTTTATGTGAATTTCCTTTAAGCTCAAAGCATATGTCTAACTACTAAGATAATCTTTTTTTTTTTTTTTTTTGAGACGGAGTCTCGCTTTCCCCCAGGCTGGAGTGCAGTGGCGTGATCTCGGCTCACTGCAAGCTCCGCCTCCCGGGTTCATGCCATTCTCCTGCCTCAGCCTCCCGAGTAGCTGGGACTACAGGCGCCCGCCGCCACGCCTGGCTAATTTTTTGTATTTTTAGTAGAGACGGGGTTTCACCATGTTAGCCAGGATGGTCTCATTTCCCAACCTCGTGATCCGCCCGTCTCTGCCTCCCAAAGTGCTGGGATTACAGGTGTTAGCCACCGTGCCCGGCCAACTAAGATAATCTTTAACTTATTGGGCTGCAGCTGGTGGGAGTGGGTTTTACAAGGAGCCAGGATGTCTGGTCACATTCCAACGCTTCAAGGAAGTGTTTCAGCCCAGAGCATTCTGTGTAAAGCCGCAGAGCAGGTCATGTTCACTGGCCTGGGGACACAATGGCAATAAGGAGGTGATTCTCCTCAGAGGCCCCCTATGGTGTTCCATAGGTGTCCTACACAGGGGTGGCTGACTAAACTGGCGCCCCGTAAACCCTTCCACCAGCACAAACCCAGGGGTCCATGCTCTACGCTCAGAAGGCTCCACCAGGGATGGGGCTGTGTGACCATGGGTGGGTCCTGGCTTCTCAGAGTCCCGTTTTCTTCCATCTGTAAAATGACAATAATAGTTCCCTGCTCTGGCCCGCCACGGTGGCTCACGCCTGTAATCCCAGCACTTTGGGAGGCTGAGGTGGGTGGAGCACTTGAGGTCAGGTGTTTGAGACCAGCCTGGCCAACATGGTGAAACCCCGTCTCTACTAAAAGTACAAAAATTAGCCGAGTGTGGTGGTGCGCACCTGTAATCCCAGCTACATGGGAGGCTGAGGCAGGAGAATTGCTTGAACCCCAGTGGCGGAGGTTGCAGTGAGCTGAGACCAGGCCTCAGCACTCCAGCCTGGGCGACAGAGCGAGACTCCATCTCAAAAAAAAAGGAAAATAAATAGTTCCCTGCTCAGAAGGTTGTGGGGAGGACAGAGGATGGGAGGCACAGGTGCTTAGACCCTCCTCCATGTTTGAGGTGCCTGCTGGCCCCATACACCCGGTCCCTCTGGCTCCACTGTGGAACCAGCTCTCAGGGGTCCCATGCAGGATGCCACGCCAAACACCTTTCAATCTCCATTGTGTCTTTCTCTTTTGAAACAACGCCGACCTGGATGTGAATCCTGACTGCCACTCAGCAGCAGTGGAAACCCTGGCAAGTTTTGTAACCTGTAGAAGCCCGTTTCCACATCTGGACAATGGAGTTGGTGGCACTGGTCTCACGGGGTTGTAATGAAGATTAAATACCTTAGCAGATGTCAAGGGGTCTCGACCTGATTCCTTCAGAGCCAGGATTCTTTACTGAGGGATCAGGGATGGGCTCTGGGGGAGTTCATGAACCCCAGAATTTGCAGGTGAAATTGTGTGTCTTTGTGAGAACACGGTTACGCATTTTTCTGGGAAGGAGATCCATAATTTTCATCAGATCCAGATTCTTTTTTTTTTTTTTTTTTTTTGAGACAGAGTCTCGCCCTGTTGTCCAGGCTGGAGTGCAGTGGCATGATCTTGGCTCGCTGCAACCTCTGCCTCCCGGGTTCAAGCGATTCTCCTGCCTCAGCCTCACGAGTAGCTGGGACTACAGGCATAAACCACCATGCCCGGCTAATTTTTGTATTTTTAGTAGAGATGGGGTGTCACCATGTTGGCCAGGCTAGCAGATCCAGATTCTTTTTTTTTTTTTTTCGAGATGGAGTCTGACTCTGTCACCAGGCTGGAGTGCAGTGGCAGGATCTCGGCTCACTGCAACCTTCACCTCCCAGGTTCAAGTGATTATCTTGCCTCAGCCTCACGAGTAGCTGGGACTACACGTGCTTCAGGCACTTGCTGCCATGTCCAGCTAATTTTGTAGTTTTAGTAGAGACAGGGTTTCACCATGTTGGCCAGGATGGTCTCGATCTCTTGACCTTGTGATCTGCCTCCTCGGCCTCCCAAAGTGCTGGGATTACAGGTGTGAGCCACCGCACCCGGCCTCTTTTGTTTTTTAGACGGGGTCTTGTTCTGTCACCCAGGCTGGTTGGTGTGCAGTAACATAATCATAGCTCACTGTTTGTAGCCTCCAACTTCTGGGCTCAAGTGGTCCTCCTGCCTCAGCCTGTGGAGTAGCTGGGACTGCAGGCGTGTGCCACCACACCTGGCTAATTAAAATAAATTTTTTTTTTTTTTAGAGATGGGTTCTTGCTGTGTTGCCCAGGCTGGTCTCAAACTCCCAGCCTCAAGCGATCCTCCAACCTCAGCCTCCCAAAAGTGTTGGGATTACAGGCATGAGCCACCGTGCCTGGCTCAAATCTTTTCATATGTGAACATCTCAGCATGTTTTCTTTCTTTCTTTTTTGAGATGGAGTTTCGCTCTTGTTGCCCAGACTGGAGTATAATGGCGTGATCTTGGCTCACTGCAACCTCTGCCTCCCAGGTTCAAGTGATTCTCCTGCCTCACTCTCCCAAGTAGCTGGGGATACAGGTGCCCACCACCATGCCCAGCTAATTTTTTTGCATTTTTTTTTTTAGTAGAGATGGGTTTTGCCGTGCTGGCCAGGCTGGTCTTGAACTCCTCACCTCAGGTGATCCACCCACCTTGGCCTCCCAAAGTGCTGGGATTACAGGCGCAAGTCACTGCGCCCAGCCTCATCATGTTTTTTTCTTAAAAGATAAAGACTTTTCTTTTTACTACAACCACAATACTATTGTCAAAACTAAACTTTAAAAATTTCCTTGGTGTTATCAAACATTCAATGTCCAGATTCCAGTGGTTTCATAAATAGCCTAATTTGCTTTTAGTTTGTTTGAATTAGGATCTAAGTAAAATCTACACTTTGTGATTGGTTAGTATGTTTTAAGAGTCTTTGAAACTTTATTTTTTTGATTAAAAAATGTTTAATTTAGAGATAGGGGTCTCACTATATTGCACAGGCTGGTCTCAAATGCCCCAAAGTGCTGGGATTACAGGTATGAGCCACCACACCTGACTGATTCTTTTTTTTTTTTTTTGAGATGGAATCTCACTCTGTTGCCCAGGCTGGAGTGCAGTGGCGCAACCTCGGCTCACTGCAACCTCCGCCTCCCAGATTCAAGCGATTCTCTCACCCCAGTCTCCCGAGTAGCTGGGATTACAGGCGTGCACCACCACACATGGATAAATTTTGTATTTTTTTAGTAGAGACAGCGCTTCACCATGTTGTCCAGGCTGGTCTCGAACTCCTGACCTAAGGTGATCTTAGGCCCACCTTGGCCTCCCAAAGTGCTGGGATTACAGGTGTGACCACCACGCCCAGCCAATATGTGGTCTTATGAGAGCATTGGTTCTTTTTTTTTTTTCCCTGAGGCAGGGTCTCACCCTGTTGCCTAGGCCAGAGTGCAGTAGCTCCATCATAGCTCACTGCAGCCTCCAACTCCTGGACTCAAGGGATCCTCCCACTTCAGCCTTCTGAATAGCTAGGACTACAGGCGTGTGTCACCATGCCCAGCTAATTTTTAAAATTGTTTTTGTAGAGATGGGTTCTCACTATGCTGCCCAGGCTGGTCTCAAACTCCTGGCCTCAAGCGATCCTTCTGCCTCGGCCTCCCAAAGTGTTGGGATTACAGGCATGAGCCACCGCCCCTGGCCGAGCATTGATTCTTGATCCTCATGTGCATCTGAGTCACAGAGCAGGGTGGGGGCTGGCTCTTCCCCAACCTGGATCCCTGGAAACTACCCCCAGAGATTCTGGTTCACTGGGTTGGAATGGGCCTGAGCATCTGAAAGTTTGAAAAGCTCCCTGTGATTCTGGTGTGCAGCCCAGGCAGAGGCCCCACTGTGTCCACTTCTCTTGAAAGGAGTGGTTCACACCAACACCCCCACTTCCCTACCTCCCGTGCGCTCCTCGAGCATGACAATGTGGCTTCTGCCCCCGACACATGGCACAAAAACCGCTCTGGCACAGGCCTCACAGTTGCTAAGTGCAGAGCCCCATCCTCAGTCTTCCTTCTATTTACTTCTGCTCACCTCCCAAAACCCTCTTCTCCTTCCCAGGTACCCACTCCTGATGATGCTTCTCTTTTTGTTGGACATGCCCTGTGGGTTCTTTATCTTATTATTTTATTTTAGAGACCGTGGCTTGCTCTGTCACCCAGGCTGGAGTGCAGTGGTGCAATCACAGGTCACTGCAGCCTCCAACTCCTGGACTCAAGCCGCAGCCTCCCGAGTAGCTGGCGAGTAGCTGGGACTACAGGCGTGCACCCCCATGCCCAGCTAACTTTTTCTTTTTTTCTTTTGTTTTTTGAGACGGAGTTTTGCTCTTGTTGCCCAGGCTGGAGAGCAATGGCACTATCTCGGCTTACTGCAACCTCTGCCTCCCAGGTTCAAGCGATTCTCCTGCCTCAGCCTCCTGAGTAGCTGGGATCACAGGCGCCCACCACCACGCCTGGCTAATTTTTGTATTTTTAGTAGAGACGGGGTTTTGCTATGTTGGCCCCGGAGTTCAATTTTTGTATTTTTAGTAGAGACGGGGTTTCACCGTTTTCACCAGGATGGTCTTGATCTCCTGACCTCGTGATCCTCCCGCCTCGGCCTCCCAAAGCGCTGGGATTACAGGCGTGAGCCACCGCGCCTGGCCACGGCAGCATCTCTTCTGAACTCCAGAGCCATTCCCTACCACCCTCTGGGCACCACCATCCACATCTCCTGCTGCCGCCTCAGCCTTAACCTCTGCAAAACCAAATCCGTTCTTTCTCTCGAGCTCTGCAGAAGCTAAGCTGTTTCACCAGGCCACGATTCAGGAAACGCTTTGGGATTCAGCTTCTGTTCTTGTGAAATGGGAAGAATCCCTGTGGTGAGCTCCAGATGAGAGCACAAAGGGGAACAGGGGTGCCCGCGGCTGGCACGCCATGGCTGGCACGCCATGGCACTCAGTGGGGTCACCGCCCCCTCCTGCTGTCCCACCTCCACCCTGCCTGCTCTTCTCCTGGAATGACTCCTTCTGCCAGCTCTCAGCTACCCAGGCCAGAGGCCCAAGGCTCCCACATCTCTTTAGCTACTAATTCTGGTAGATCCCCTTTTGGAAATAGCCCTCAAATCTACCCCAGAGCTACTGTCAAAGTTCAGGGCTCCATCTCTTTTGGTTTTTTTGAAAATATTTTTTCAAATTAATTATTTGTTGGCCGGGCGCAGTGGCTCACACCTGTAATCCCAGCACTTTGGAAGGCCGAGGCAGGTGGATCACCTGAGGTCAAGAGTTCAAGAACCAGCCTGACCAACATGGTGAAACCCCATCTCTACAAAAATACAAAAATTAGCCAGGGATGATGCTGCATGCCTGTAATCCCAGCTACTCGGGAGGCTGAGGCGGGAGAACCACTTGAACCCGGGAGGCAGAGGTTGCAGTGAGTTGAGATCACACCATTGCACTCCAGCCCAGGCGACAGTGAGACTCCGTCTCAAACAAAAAAAAATTATTTGTGGAGGCAGGGTCCCACTATGTTGCCCAGGCCTCAAGTGGCCCTCCTGCCTTGGCCTCCCATAGCACTGGGATTACAGGTGACAGCCACCGCGCCCAGCCTACTTTTTGTCTGGCCAAGACTACCTCAGCCTTCTTTTGCCTCCCAATCTGTCTCCAGTTGGTGGCTGAAGTGACCCTTCTGGAGCAAAACCATAATCATATCACTCCCTCTTTTAAAATTCTGTGATGGGTCAGGCATGGTGGATCACACTTGTAATCCCAGCACTTTGGGAGGCCGAGGTGGGAGGACTGCTTGAGCCCAGGAGTTCAAGACCAGCCTGGGCAACATAGCGAGACCCCCCGTCTCTACTTAAAAATAATAAAATAAAATGAAAAGAAAATTTTTTTTGAGATGGAGTTTCGCTCTTGTTGCCTAGGCTGGAATACAATGGTGGGATCTCAGCTCACGGCAACCTCCACCTCCCGGGTTCAACCGATTCTCCTGCCTCAGCCTCCTGAGTAGTTGGGATTACAGGCATGTGCCACCATGCCCGGCTAATTTTGTATTTTTAGTAGAGACGGGGTTTCACCATGTTGGTCAGGCTGGACTCGAACTCCTGACCTCAGGTGATCGGCCCACCTCGGCCTCCCAAAGTGCTGGAATTACAGGTGTGAGCCACTGTGTCCGGCCAATAAAATGAAATTTTATGATGGCTTCTGCGATCTGGCCAAATTCCTCAGCTAAATAGTTTAGTTCTTTCTCCCTGTGGCCTCTCCTCCCACCATGTCACCTGTGAATCCCACACTGCCCCCACCCCGACACTGTCTGCAGGTGAACAGATCAGTTTTCTCAGCCCCAAATGTCAGCCCCACCCCACACCTCTGCCTGGCAAACATCACTCACCGGTCCTCAGAGACACCTAGTCATTTATTCCATGAGTCCACCACACTTGAGAAACGCTTCTTTTCTTCGCGAGCACGCCTACCCTGTGCTAGACAGTGTTCCTAAGGGCTTTCAAACATAAAGTCTTTTGTTTTTTGTTTTTGAGACGCAGTCTTGCTCTGTCGCCCAGGCTGGAGTGCGGTGGCACAATCTTGGCTCACTGCAACCTCCGCCTCCCAAGTTCAAGCAATTCTCTGCCTCAGCCTCCCGAGTAGCTGGGATTACAGGCGCTCGGCTTTTTATTTTTTTAATTTTTTTTATTTTTTGTATTTTTAGTAGAGACGGGGTTTCACCATCTTGGCCAGGCTGGTCTTGAACTCCTGACTTCAAGTGGTCCACTTGCCTCGGCCTCCCAAAGTTCTGGGATTATAGGCGTGAGCCACTGTGCCCAGCCTCCAACTCCTGGCCTTGTCTTCCTCCCACCCTGGCTTCCCAGAGTGCTGGGATTAACAGACATGAGCCTCCACACCTGGCAACTTCTTTCCATTTTTCACTGATTCTCTGACACATCCTCATTGAGCACCTGCACTGTGTGGGGTGTTAATAATTGCTAGGCATGGAGGCAACAGCGTGGGCAGCTCTTTCTCTTACTTGTCAGGCTTTAGCCTATGCTGTTGCAGGACTGTGCCTTGGCCTGGAAGCCCCTTCCCTTATCCTCATCCCCAATCTCCCCCTTCAGCTCTTGTTCCTCTTGCAGGTCTTCCCTTAAACATCACTTCCTCAGCAGGGGCCTCACAGACACGCCCGGAGGTTAGATCCTGGTCCCTCTGTGCTTCCTGTTCTTCCCCCATCATCACAGTCTACGGCTGTTTCCTCTCGATGGGCAAAGACTGTGTCTGGCCATTGAGTTTTCTGCTATATCCAAGTGCTTCGTATACTGAACCATATAAATGTGCTGCTTTTATTGGTCAAAACGGCCAAATATTGGCAATTTTATATTGGTTAGCTTCATAGTATGTGAGCTAGGATACTTATCCCATCAGAGAGGTTGCGTAGCACAGTGAATCAGAGCCCAGGCTCTGGGGCCGCACACCTGAGGTCCAGCCCTGGCTCTGCCACTTGTCACTAAGTGATTGTGGACTGGAGACAACCCTCAGGGGCCTTGGGTTCCTAATCTGTGACAGGGATGACAATAATGACCTCCTCGTGCTGTTATAAAATACAGAAATGTACTAAAATACAAAAATTGGCCAGGCATGGTGGCACATGCCTGTAATCCCAGCTACTCAGGAGGCTGAGGCAGGAGAACTCAGGAGGCAGAGGCTGCAGTGAGTCTACTTTTATTGCCAAAGCTCGGGGGTCCATCCCTTTTCCATTGCATGCCACTGCACTCCAGCCTGGGCAACAAAGTGAGACTGTCTCAGAAAAAAGAAAAAGAAAAAAATGTTTAAAAGCCAGGAGTTTGAGACCCTGTCTCTATTAAAAAAAAAAAAAATTACCTTGGCATGGTGGAGCAGCTACTCAGGAGGCTGAGGTGAGAGGACCACATGAGCCCGGGAGTTCAAGGCTGCAGTGAGCCATGATTGCACCACTGCATTCCACTCTGTCTCAAAAAGAAAGAAAGAAAAAAGTCAAGAGAACTGGAGCTGAAACCATGAAAGGTCAGTTTTCAGCAGGAGAGTGATCAAAGAAAACCAGAACTAGACAGTCGTTAAAATAGCAAAAACATATTGCATTCCAGACTATTGCTGTAGGGGAAGAGTGACCTTAGATCAGAACTGGGCTGAACTCTACACCATGGGGGTTATAGCCAACGAGCAGAGTTGGGGGCAGTGGATGGGACATTACCATGAGAAAGCACTGGGGGTTGGGGGTATTCTGACAAGACCAACCTAAAGGGATTCTTGCTGAGGGCAGGCCAAGGTGGTCAGACAGCGCCTGGGGGAGAGTGGAGAATGAGGACCCCCATCAGGGATCGGGGGCAATCAGATGTGGAGGATGAGGGACTGGCTAAGCTGACTTAGCAGTATTCTTGCTAAAATTGGACGATGCAGAGGTGAACACGGAAGTCCAAGGCCTAACTGGAAAAGAGCTGAGGGAACCTGAGTGAGGTTTGGCTATAGACAGAACCTCTGAGTGAGCCCATCAAAGTTACTTTATTTATTTGTTTGTTTATTAATTTATTTAAGACAGAGTCTCACTCTGTCGCCCAGGCTGGAGTACAGTGGTGCTATCTCGGCTCACTGCAAACTCTGCCTCCTAGGTTCAAGCAATTCTCGTGCCTCAGCCTCCCGAGGAGCTGGGATTACAGGCACATGCCACCACACCCAGCTAAGTTTTGTGTTTTTAGTAGGGACAGGGTTTTGCCATGTTGGACAGGCTGGTCTTGAACTCCTGACCTCAGGCTAATTTTTTGTTTGTTTTTATTCTCTTTTTTTTTTTTTTTGAGACTGAGTTTCGCTCTTGTTGGCCAGGCTGGAGTGCAATGGCGCGATATTGACTCACTGCAACCTCTGCCTCCTGGGTTCAAGCGATTCTCCTGCCTCAGCCTCCCGAGTAGCTGGGACTACAGGCGCACACCACCATGCCCGGCTAATTTTTGTATTTTTAGGAGAGACGGGGTTTCATAATATTGGTCAGGCTGGTCTCAAACTCCTGATCTCAGGTGATTCGCCTGCCTCAGCCTCCCAAAGTGCTGGGATTACAGGCGTGAGCCACCGCGCCCAGCCTTTTGTTTGTTTTTAAATTTAACTTTTTTTTTGAGACCGAATTGCACTCTGTCACCCAGGATGGATTGCAATGGCGCAATCTCAGCTCATTGCAACCTCTGCCTCCTGGGTTCAAGAGATTCTCCTGCCTCAGCCTCCCAAGTAGCTGGGATTACAGGCGCCTGCCACCACAGCTGGTTAATTTTTGTGTTTTTAGTAGAGATGAGGTTTTGCCATGTTGGACAGGCTGGTCTTGAACTCCTGACCTCAGGTGATCAACCCACCTTGGCCTCCCAAAGTGCTGGGATTACGGGCATGAGCCACCATGCCCGGCCTTAACTTTTATCTTAAGTTCAGGGGTACATGTGCAGGTTTATTATATAGGTAAACTTGTGTCATGGGGGTTGTACACATTATTTAGTCACCCAGGTATTAAGTTTAGTACCCATTAGTTATTTTTCCTGATCCTCTTGAGGGAAGAGAGAGACCCTCTCATATTGTTTCATACTCAGAAAAGGAAAGAGAAGCGAAACTAAAGGCAGGTAGCCTGGTGCCTAGGAACCAGACCGGAAACCAAGGAACCAGACCCGAAATCAGGCCTGGGCGTGCCTGACCTAAGCCTGGTAGTTAAAATTCGACCCCTGACCTAGCAACTGTTGTTATCTATAGATTCCAGACATTGTATGGAAGGACATTGTGAAACCTCCCGTTAGGTTCTGTTTCACTCTGACCACCGGTGCTCGCAGCCCCTGTCACGTACCCCCTGGCTTGCTCAATCACGACCCTCTCACGCGGACCCCCTTAGAGTTGTGAGCCGTTAAAAAGGACAGAAGTTGAGCACCTGAAGAGCTCGGATTTTAAGACGCTAGCCTGCCAATGCTCCCAGCTGATTAAAGCCACTCCCTTCACTATCTTGGTGTCTGAGGGGTTTTGTCCACAGCTCGTCTTGCTACACTTGCCCTCCTCCAAACTTCCGCCCTCCAATAGGCTCCAGTATGTGTTATTCCCCTCTATGTGTCCATGTGTTCTCATCATTTAGCTCCCACTTATAAGTGAGAACACGCGGTATTTGGTTTTCTGTTCCTGCGTTTGTTTGCTAAGGATAATGGCCTCCAGCGCCATCCATGTCCCTGCAAAGAACGTAATCTCATTCTTTTTTGTGGCTGCATAGTATTCCACGGTGTATGTGTACCACACTTTCTTTGTCCAGTCTAGCATTGATGGGCATTTAGGTTGAATCATGTCTTTCCTATGGTGAATAGTGCTGTGATGTGTCTTTATAACAGAATGGTTTACATTCCTTTGGGTATATACCCAGTAATGGGATTGCTGGGTGGAATGGTATTTCTGGTTTTTGGTCTTTGAGAAATTGCTGCACTGTCCTCCACGATGGTTTAACTAATTTACACTCCCACCAACAGTGTATAAGTGATCCTTTTTCTTTGCAACCTCGCCAGATCTCGGTGGTCAACTCCTCCCACTCCCCAGGCAATGCTGATTTGCTCTGTGCCTATAGTTTTGCCTTTCCCAGGATGCTGCGGGAATGGGATCATACGGCCTTTTGGATCTGGCTCCTTTTAGTTAGACTGATACATTTGAGACAGGTCCCTATTGTTGTGTGTATCAGTAGTTGGTTTCTTCTTTTTTTGAGATGGATTCTCAGTCTGTGGTCCAGGCTGGAGTGCAGCGGCATGACCTCAGCTCACTGCAAACTCCGCCTCCCTGGTTCAAGTGATTATCCTGCCTCAGCCTCCCAAGTAGCTGGGATTACAGGCACATGCCACCACGCCCGGCTAGTTTTTGTATTTTTTCGTAGAGATGGGATTTCACCATGTTGGAGAGGCTGGTCTTGAACTCCTGACCTCGTGATCTGCCCACCTTGGCCTCCCAAAGTGCTGGAATTACGGCGTGAGCCATGGTGCCCAGCCTGCATCACAGGTTGTTTACCCAATACTCACCAGTTGCAGAATTCAAATCCATTTTTTAAAAAATCAGCCTGAAAAAAAAAGAAAAAAATCAGTCTGGCCAGGCACGGTGGCTCACGCCTGTAATCCCAGCACTTTGGGAGGCCAAGGCGGGAGGATCACCTGAGGTCAGGAGTTTGAGAGCAGCCTGGCCAAAATGGCAAAACCCTGTCTCTACTAAAAATACAAAAATTAGCTGGGCGTGGTGGCGGGCACCTGTAATCCCAGCTACTTGGGAGGCTGAGGCAGAAGAATCCCTGGAACCCGCGGGACGGAGGTTGCAGTGAGGTGACATCAGGCCACTTCACTCCAGCCTGGGCAAAAGAGTGAAGCTCTGCATCAAAAAAAAAAAAAAAAAAAAAAAAAAAAAATCAGGGTGGGCACAGTGGCTCACTCCTGTAATCCCAGGACTTTGAGAGGCTGAGGTGCGAGGATTGCTTAAGCCTGGGAGTTCAAGACGAGGCTGGGGAATATAGTGAGACCCCCATCTCTACAACAAAAAATATACAAAAATTAGCCGGGCATGGTTGGTGTGCGCCTGTAGTCCCAGTTCCTTGGGAAGCTGAGGCGAGAGGATTGCTTAAGCCTGGGCAGTTGAGGCTGCAGTGAGCCATGATCGTGCCACTGCACTGCACCTAGTTTGAATGGAGTGGGAGTGGGGGATTAGGCTCTCCTCCCTGCCGTTTGCTCCCAGGCCTTTTCCGTAGCTGGATGTGACCAACAGAGACAGTGCCCAGCCTCAGTATAGCTAGCTCTTAGTGGAGGGACAGGAGCCATCTGGGGCAGATGTGGGAGAGAATGTGGCGAAGGAGAGCCGGGTGCAGTCAAGGAGGCTTGTGGCTCGGAGGGGAGGTGGGGTGAGTGAGTGGAGACTCAGCAGCTTGGCTTTGGGGAAGTAGACAAGAGAGGGCCCTCTTTGGAGAGCGGAGCAAGCCAGGATGTCTGGCCTTCACTTCCACTTGGAACAGAAGTGTGCTGTGTGCGCGTGCTTGTGCGTGTGCGTGCACGTGTGTGCGCGCTAAATCAAACACCCTCGCTGGCTCTGTGTTCCCCTCAAGGGGAAGCCAACTCCACGGATGGCGGGGGTCCATTAGGCTGCAGGTCTTCTCCCTGCCGATAGATGGCGCTGTTGCACCGCGCCTGGGTTTGCCTCTGCCCGCAGCCATGCAGGGCCCATCACGGGCTATGCCTACCGCGCGAGGGGCCTTCACCATGTCCACTATCCTTATTTATTTATTTATTTATTTATTTATTTATTTTTTAAGTGTGGGTACTGGCCGGGCGCGGTGGCTCACGCCTGTAATCCCAGCACTTTGGGAGGCCGAGGCGGGCGGATCACGAAGTCAGGAGATTGAGACCATCCCAGCTAACACGGTGAAACCCCGTCTCTACTAAAAACACAAAAAAATTAGCCAGGCGTGGTGGTGGGCGCCTGTAGTCCCAGCTACTCGGGAGGCTGGGGCAGGAGAATGGCGTGAACCCGGGAGGCGGAGCTTGCCGTGAGCCGAGATCGCGCCACTGCAACAGAACGAGACTATCTCCAAAAAAAAAAAAAAAGTGTGGGTATATAGTAGGTGTATATATTTATGGGGTGCACATTGATAAAGGCATGCAATGCATAATAATCACATCATGGGCTAGATGCGGTGGCTGACGCCGAGATCGCGCCTCTGCAGTCGCCAGGCCACTGCAGGCGCCACAGTGGCGACAGAGCGAGACTCCGTCTCAAAAAAACAAATAAATAAATAAATCAGGTTAGGCCGGGCGCAGTGGCTCACGCCTGTAATCCCAGCACTTGGGAGGCGGAGGCGGGCGAATCACGAGGTCAGGAGTTCCAGACCAGCCTGGCCAACATGGTGAAACCCCGTCTATACTAAAAATACAAAATTTAGCCGGGTATGGTGGCAGGCGCCTGTAACCCCAGCCACTCGGGAGGCTGAGGCAGGCGAATCGCTTGAATCCGGAAGGCGGAGGTTGAAGCGAGCCGAGATCACTCCATTGCACTCCAGCCTGGGCAACAAGAGTGAGATTCTGTCTCAAAAAAAAAAAAAAAAAATTACATCATAGAGAATGGGGTGTCCATCCCCTCAAGCATTTATCCTTTCTGTTACAATCCAATTGCATTCTTTTAGTTATTTCGAAATGTACAGTTATTATTGACTGTAGTCACCCTGTTGTGCTAGCAAATAGTAGGTCTTATTCATTCTTTCTATTTTTTTTGTACCCATTAACCTTCCCCACCTCCCCATCATCCTTTTTTTTGTTTTGAGACGGAGTCTTGCTCTGTCACCCAGGCTGGAGTGCAGTGGCACGATCTCAGCTCACTTCAACCTCTGCCTCCTGGGTTCAAGCGATTCTCCTGCTTCAGCCTCCCGAGTGGCTAGGATTACAGGCCTGCGCCACTATACTTGGCTCATTTTTTTCGGGGTTTTGCCATGTTGGCCAGGCTGGTCTTGAACTCCTGACCTCAGGTGATCCACCTGCCTCAGCCTCCCAAAGTGCTGGGATTACAAGCATGAGCCACTGTACCCAGCCCCATCATCCTCATTTTATTTATTTTTTATTTTTATTACTATTTTTTTAGGTGGAGTCTTGCTCTGTCACCCAGGCTGGAGTGCAGTGGCGTGACCTCGGCTCACTGCAACCTCTGCTTCCCGGGTTCAAGCAATTCTCTTGCCTCAGCCTCCCGAGTAGCTGGGATTGCAGGCGCCTGCCACCACGCCCGGCTAATTTTTGTATTTTTAGTAGAGACAGGAGGGTTTTACCATTTTGGCTAGGCTGGTCTCAAACTCCTGACCTCAGGTGATCCTCCCGCCTTGGCCTCCCAAAGTGCTGGGATTACAGGCGTGAGCCACCGCGCCTGGCCAGACTGATTTTTTTTTTAAGTGAATTTGAAAGCTGCAACTGGTGAGTATTGGATAAACAAACTGTGATGGGATTGCAGGTGTCCACCCCCAAGCCTGGCTAATTTTTGTATTTTTAGTAGAGACCATGTTGGCCAGGCTGGCCTTGAACCCCTGACCTCAAGTGATCTGCCTGCCCCAGCCTCCCAAAGTGTTTGGGATTACAGTCGTGAGCCACCGCACCCGGTCAGAAGTTTAATTTTTTTTTTTGAGACGGAGTCTTACTCTGTCACCCCGGCTGGAGTGCAGTGGCCTGATCTCGGCTCACTGCAAGCTCCACCTCCCAGGTTCACGCCATTCTCCTGCCTCAGCCTCTGGAGTCGCTGGGACTACAGGCGCCCGCCACCAAGCCTGGCTAATTTTTTCGTATTTTTAGTAGAGACGGGGTTTCACCATATTAGCCAGAATGGTCTCGATCTCCTGACCTCGTGATCCGCCCGCCTCGGCCTCTCAAAGTACTGGGATTACAGGCGTGAGCCACCGCGCCCGGCCCAGAAGTTTAAATTTAACTAGGTGCCCAGTGATCTCATCAAGCCCACAGCACTCCCTCACCCTCGCCCCCACAACCTCCCTTCCCCCCACGCCCCCCTTCCTCACCGCAGTCCCCCCCCTGGGACCCCTAGATCTTGAGGCTGATGGGCCAGTTCCCAGTTTCACTGGTTGTTAAATATTTTGACAGTGACCCCTGACAGCAGGAGAGGCAGCCAAACTCAACAGCTGTTCTCTCTTCCCCCCAGGCCTGGCGCTGCTGCTGCCGCCCGTCACCCTGGCAGCCCTGGTGGACAGCTGGCTCCGAGAGGACTGCCCAGGGCTCAACTACGCAGCCTTGGTCAGCGGGGCAGGCCCCTCGCAGGCGGCGCTGTGGGCCAAATCCCCTGGGGTACTGGCAGGGCAGCCTTTCTTCGATGCCATATTTACCCAACTCAACTGCCAAGTCTCCTGGTTCCTCCCCGAGGGATCGAAGCTGGTGCCGGTGGCCAGAGTGGCCGAGGTCCGGGGCCCTGCCCACTGCCTGCTGCTGGGGGAACGGGTGGCCCTCAACACGCTGGCCCGCTGCAGTGGCATTGCCAGTGCTGCCGCCGCTGCAGTGGAGGCCGCCAGGGGGGCCGGCTGGACTGGGCACGTGGCAGGCACGAGGAAGACCACGCCAGGCTTCCGGCTGGTGGAGAAGTATGGGCTCCTGGTGGGCGGGGCCGCCTCGCACCGCTACGACCTGGGAGGGCTGGTGATGGTGAAGGATAACCATGTGGTGGCCGCCGGTGGCGTGGAGAAGGTGCTGGTCCTGCCTGTCCCTGGTCCAACCCCACCCTCAGCACACCCCTCCCCTCCCCTCCCCTCTCCAGAGCCTCCAGCCATGACCGGGTGAACAGCCATGGCCTGGAGTCAGCAACACAAGACTCTTCCCACCTCAGCTCCTCCATCTGAGCTGGGCTCAGTTGAGCTCATCCAGCTAAGCTAAAGGGGAGCTGGGCCTGCTTTTCTTTTTCTGGAGATGGGGCCTCAGTCTCTCCAGTAGCTGGATATACAGGCATGCTCCACCCCACTGGCTAATTTTTGCTTTTTTTTTTTTTTTTTTTTTTTGAGATGGAGTCTCACTCTTTCACCCAGGCTGGAGTGAAGTGATGCAATCTCGGCTCACTGGAACCTCTGCCTCCTGGGTTCAAGCAATTCTCCTGCCTCCGCCTCCCGAGTAGCTGGGATTACAGGCGCCAGCCACCATGCCCGGCTAATTTTTGTATTTTTTAGTAGAGACAGGGATTCACCATGTTGGCCAGACTGGTCTCAAACTCCTGACCTCAGGTGATCCACCCACCTCGGCCTCCCAAAGTGCTGGGATTACAGGAGTGAGCCACTGCACCCAGCTGCCTTTTTTTTTTTTTTTTTTTTTTTTGAGATGGGGTCTCACTATGTTGCCCAGGCTGGTCTCAAACTTCTGGACTCAAGTGATCCTCCCACCTTGGCCACCCAAAGTGCTGGGATTATAGGCATAAGCCACCATGCCTGGTTTTGGAATTGGTTCTTTATCTTTGTTCTGCTGCTGCGTGGCGTGATGTTCAAGAGCAAAGGACAACACAGGGGAAGCCAGTGTCACTGGCACCACAGCCTTGAGCCCATCTCTCTAGCCCTCTGCACCTTATTTCCCATCTGTGAAATGCCCTTAAACACCCCTTCTAATTTTAATATTCTGAGTCAAATTGAGCTCAGGTCCAAATGCCAAATATTGCTGATATTCATCCACTTTTTGACCCACAAAAGTGGTCATTTTAACCTACAATAAAACATCCTGGCTCAGTGGCTCATACCTGTAATCCCAGCACTTTGGGAGGCCCAGTTGGGGGGATTACTTAAGTCCAGGAGTCTGAGACCAGCCTGGGCCATATAGCAAGATTCTGTCTCTACAAAAAATTAAAAAATTAGCCATGCTTGTGGGCAAGCCCCTGTAGTCCCAGCCACTTGGGAGGCTGAGGTGGGAGGATCACTTGATCCCAGGAGGTGGAGGCTGCAGTGAACTATGACTGCACTGAACTCCAGCCTGGGCGACAGAGCGGGACCCTGACTCAAAAACAAAACAGTGGCCAGGTGCGGTGGCTCACGCCTGTAATCCCAGCACTTTGGGAGGCTGAGATGGGTGGATCACGAGGTCATGAGTTAGAGACCATCCTGGCCACCATGGTGAAACGTCGTCTCTATTAAAAATACAAAAATTAGCTGGGCATGGTGGCACGCACCTGTAGTCCCAGCTACTCGGGAGACTGAGGTGGGAGAATCACTTGATCCCAGGAGGTAGAGGCTGCAGTGAGCTATCATTGCACCACTGCACTCCAGCCTGGGCGACAGGTTGAGACCCTGTCTCAAAAACAAAACAAAGCAAAAACAACCCCAAAGTCTGGTTTCCTTATTAACCCCAAGTTCATGGTCCACCCGAAGCTTTTCAAATGTCAGTCCCGGCTCCCCGCGCCCCAGCTGCAGTGCTGGGCCCTATCGTCACCCTCGCCCTCCCGGCTCCCTGCGCCCCAGTGCCAGGTGCTGGGCCCAGTCCTCACCCTTGTCCTCCCGGCTGCCCAGCAGGCGGTGCGGGCGGCCAGACAGGCGGCTGACTTCACTCTGAAGGTGGAAGTGGAATGCAGCAGCCTGCAGGAGGCCGTGCAGGCAGCTGAGGCTGGTGCCGACCTTGTCCTGCTGGACAACTTCAAGCCAGAGGTAAGGTGGGCTCTGCCTCCGGGGAGGGATCTGTGGTGGGCTCTTACCTCCCCTTGGCTTGTGTCCCGCAGGAGCTGCACCCCACGGCCACCGTGCTGAAGGCCCAGTTCCCGAGTGTGGCTGTGGAAGCCAGTGGGGGCATCACCCTGGACAACCTCCCCCAGTTCTGCGGGCCGCACATAGACGTCATCTCCATGGGGATGCTGACCCAGGCGGCCCCAGCCCTTGATTTCTCCCTCAAGCTGTTTGCCAAAGAGGTGGCTCCAGTGCCCAAAATCCACTAGTCCTAAACCGGAAGAGGATGACACCGGCCATGGGTTAACGTGGCTCCTCAGGACCCTCTGGGTCACACATCTTTAGGGTCAGTGGCCAATGGGGCACATTTGGCACTAGCTTGAGCCCAACTCTGGCTCTGCCACCTGCTGCTCCTGTGACCTGTCAGGGCTGACTTCACCTCTGCTCATCTCAGTTTCCTAATCTGTAAAATGGGTCTAATAAAGGATCAACCACATGGGGTTCTGCGGTGATAATGAGCACATAGTGAGGGGTCAGCAAATGTCAGAAGTTACCTGGGACAGCCGGGCACGATGGCTCACACCTGTAATCCCAGCACTTTGGGAGGCTGAGGCGGGAAGATCACTTGAGTTCAGGAGTTTGAGACCAGCCTGGCCAACATGGTGAAACCCCATCTCTACCAAAAATAGAAGAATTAGCTGGGTGTGGTGGCACGCGCCTGTAATCCCAGCTACTTAGGAGGCTGAGGCAGGAGAATCGCTTGAACCCAGGAAGTGGAGGTTGCAGTGAGCTGATGGTGCCACTGCACTCCAGCCTGGGTGATAGAGCGAGACTCTGTCTCCAAAGAAGAAACAAAGGAAAGAAAGAGAGAAAGAGAGAGGGAGGGAGGGAGGGAGGGAAAGGAAGGATGGAAAGAAAGGAAGAAAGGCAGGCAAAAGCCCCAGACAGGCCAAAACCTTCATCCTTCATGCACCCAACCTGTACCAAACACCAGCATGGCCTGGCTGTGAGTGCACAGCAGATGGAGGTTTGCTGGGCAGAGACACTGGGCTGGCCTAGACACTGCCTTTGGTGATACCCTAAACCAAAGGGGCCAGTCCCACAGTAAGAAGGAGACCACTACTACTCCTGCTGCCCTCCTCCCCCCACCTTGCCTAGTTTACAAGACAGGAGGAAAGAGAGAAAGCAAAAAGTTAGAAAACAAAACAAAACAGAAGTAAGATAAATAGCCAGAAGACCTTGGCGACACCACCCGGCCCTGGTAGTTAAAAAAAAGTAACAATAATAATAATATCAACCCCTGACCTAAACTACTTGTGTTATCTGTAAATTCCAGACATTGTATGAAAAAGCATTGCAAAACTTTCTGCTCTGTTAGCTGATGCGTGTAGCCCCCAGTCACGTTCCCCGCTTGCTTGAGATATCATGACCCTTTCACGTGGACCCCTTAGAGTTGTAAGCCTTTAAAAAGGCCAAGAATTTCTTTTTCAGGGATCTCAGCTATTAAGATGCAAGTCTGCCAATGCTCCTGGCCAAATAAACCTCTTCCTTCTTTAATCCGGTGCCTGAGGAGTTTTGTCTGTGGCTCGTCCTGCTACAAGAGGACACAGCCCAGAGGTGCCACCTGCAGCTGCCCTGTCCCCTCTAATCCCAGCTCCACCCTGCCTGCTCCCGTCCTTCCTCCAGGGGGAACATGGACACGCTCAGATGAACCCCAGCTTCTTATGCCTGAACTGGGGAAACTGAAGCCCCATGGGACCAGGGGTTCCACTGGGCATCAAGGGAGGAAAGTTGAGCCCCGGGGTGATCTGGGAACTGGGATCTGGGATCTGGGCAGGCATTGGGGCCTGACAGAGCAGAAGTGAGGAGAGGGTACCAGGAGCTGCAAACTCGGTGCCTCCAGGACCTATTCGGATAAAATAAATGGGTGGAACTGGAATAAGACAAAGTGGGGGTGCGCTGTGGCCAACTGGAAAATGCTCGTTGCAGCCACAGCGTTCCATTAAAAAAGCGAAAGGAACCTGCCTGCCTGAGTCTTAAGCTCCCCCTAAACCCAGAAATGGGTTAGCCCTCCAGTATCCTCCAGCTCTGAGAGCTGGGGCGGGCACTCCATTACTGGGGGAACAGGAAATGGATCCTGGGCACTCTAGGGCAACACACGCCCTCCTTGCAGGGAAATGGATTTCCAGGCAGGGGAGATGCATGGGCAGAGGTGGCTTGGATTGTTTGCTGTAAGATTTGAAGCTGTGATCAGGAGGTGGCTAGGAGATGGGCTGGGTCCAGACCACAAAATGGTAGATCGGAGGATTTGGACTCTGTCTCATGAGTGAGCTGGAAATCAAGCTGGAAAATCAGATAAGCTTATTCGCAGCTTCAATCCAGTCCGTTGCAGAAGGATGCATTTGAGGGGGCTAGAGCAGCTGCAGGGAGGCCAGGAGGAGCTGTGGAAGAGGACTTGAGTGTGGGTCATGGCCATGGGGTTTGGAGAGAAGTGATACAGTGTCTTCAGAGCTTCAGAAGGCAGAGGGAGTTCGATGGCTCAAGGCAGTTGGAAGAGTTGGGTGTGACTGAGGGGGTGGGGAAATGGGGCATGCGTGGCAGGCAAGGACTCTTATGCATCACCTCCCAGTCCCTTGTCCATCTGGCTACACTTCCTCTTTGCCTGGCCAGCCTAGGACCAAGCTGGGATCATTTCCCCAGGATGCCCCACAGACAATGGCAAATGTGCCCATCATAGCAGTTTGTTTAATGAAAATGATATGCTGTTGTGAGTACGGGATGTGCCAGCAATGCTGGCTACTGCATGAGACGGGAGCTAGCAGGGAGCACCTTCATCCAGGGTGTGCAGGTCCCCTTCCCTCAGTTAATGCTCGTGGGGGCGGGCGTTAGCCTCTCCACTTACCGAAGAGGAGACTGAGGCTTTATAAAGTTAAGAGAGCTGCTTAGGGTCACTCATCAATAAAGTGGTGGAGGCCAGTCATGGTGGCTCACACCTGTAATCTCAGCACTTTGGGAGGCTGAGGCAGGAGGATCACTTGAGCCCAGGAGTTCAAGACCAGCCTGGGCAACATAGTGAGACTCAATTTCTATTTTTAAAAAATTATCCAGCTGTGGTGGTGCACACCTGTAGTCCCAGCTACTCAGGAGACTGGGGTGAGAGGATCGCTTAAGCCTGGGCAGTTGAGGCTGCAGTGAGCTGTGACTGCACCACTGCACTCCAGCCTGGGTGACAGAGGCCCTGTCTCAAACAAAAATAAATAAATAAATAAATATATAAAGTGGTGGAGCAGTTTGAATTGTGTCATTCACTCATTCAATATTTAACTGAGCATCTACTGTGTGCCAGGCACTATTCTAGACAATGAACATACAACGAGTAAACAGATAAAAATCTCTGTCCTCAGGGAGTCTGTATGTTGGGGTTGGGGTGGGGGCGGGGAAGAATAGACAATGAAAAAATACTTAAGGAAAATATGTAGACACCAATTGTCCTGATGGCCACCCCTGATGGCCACCAGAGGGCACTGCAACCACGCGGCCCTCCGTTCGTCTCTAATTCCAGCTCCCTTTCCGGATTCCGAAGGCAATAGCCAAGGAGGCTATGAATACGCAGCATAGCATCTGCTCAAGAATCAACGCGAGGAGGCATTGGCAGCAGTTTTTTCTCCACCCACTTTTCCAGCCTCATCCCCTCATCAGACCCCCATCCAACTGCCCAGGGTACCCCTGTGACTTTTCAAAGCCCCGTGTACTCCAGATTCACCAGCTACTCACATTCACTCCCAGCCACCCATCCCCTCCCAAATACTGTCTGGGTTACCCACCAACCCCATCCATCCGCTCACCTGATGCCTGTCCTCCTCCTCACCCACCCACCCGCGCCCCTCGCCCCTTCCACCTGCTGTCCTGCCCACCGGAAACTGGCCAAATTGTCCCATAGATTTTTTTTTTTTTTTTTTTTTTTTTGGATAAACACAGAAATTGACATTCCTGGTCTTAAAGCTTGAAACTTAAATTTGCCTTATCTGAGTTCCTTCCCCAGGAAACTGACCCTCAGGCCTCCCAGATAGCATCAAGGAACTGAAACTCCTTTTCTTTACCCCCCTCTAATTCCTGTTTTCCCACCCACAGCTACATTTGCTCCCCACTATATAAACCCCCAATTGGAGTTTGTTGGAGAGATGGATTTGAGACTTATCTCCTGTCTCCTTGGCAGATGTCATCTGAATAAAGCCTTCTTTCCTGGCGATACTCATTGTCCCGGGATCCCAGATCAGCTTTCTGTGCAGTAAGCAATGGGACCTAGACTGAATCCCTGGCGTTTCGGTAATACACCCATCCATCCTGTCCACCCCCACCCATCCTGTCCACCCCCATCTATCCTGTCCACCCCCGACCCATCCTGTCCACCCCCGACCCATCCTATCCACCCCCTTGTGCTTCCATCCACTCATCACTCTTCCCACCCCTCCGCCCACCCACCATCCGATGCTACAGAAGCCCAGAACTGGGGCACTCAATCTAGAGGTCAAAGATGGCAAGAGGTCAAACCAGATTGACAGTGAGTCACCTCAGTGGATATGAGTTTTAGTGTGCTGAGGCCGTGAAAGGTAAAAGCATTTAAAAACAGCAAGGCCAGGCACGGTGGCTCACGCCTGTAATCCCAGCACTCTGGGAGGCCAAGGCAGGTGGATCACCTGAGGTCAGGAGTTCAAAGCTAGCCTGACCAACATGGGGAAATCCCTTCTCTACTAAAAATACAAACTTAGCTGGGCGTGGTGGCATGTGCCTGTAGTACCAGCTACTGCTACTTGGGAGGCTGAGGCAGGAGAATCGCTGAACCCGGGAGGCGGAGGTTTCCATGAGCCGAGATCACACCACTGCACTCCACCCCGGGGAACAAGATCGAAACTCTGTCTCAAAAAACAAAAACAAAAAACCCACAAAAATTAGCCAGGCGTAGTGGCGGGTGCCTGTAACCCAGCTACGCAGGAAGCTGAGGCACAAGAATCACTTGAACCTCAAAGGCAGAGGTTGCAGTGAGCCGAGATCATGCCACTGCACTCCAGCCTGGGCGACAGAGTGAGACTCTGTCCCAAAAAAAACCCAGAGCAAACAAACAAAAAACACAACGGCGAGACATTCTTAGCAAACCAACTATCTGCAAACAATTCAACGTCGGATCTTTAAAAAAATCCCGCTGTGGCATTATGCTGCGGACACATACATTAATTTATGGCTAGCCCTTCAAGACAACCAGGTGGGTAAAATTATGTAAATGTTCACCGCCTCTATACTTTGTTCCAATGACTTCCTGAGTAATTGATTGTTTTGCCAATTACTCAGCAACATTTAAGACCTGCTTCCGGAGGCCCTAAGTAGCTCAGCATTCTAAGACCGAAGTACTGAAGAAAATCTGCCTGTGTGGCTGTGAATAACATCTCCATCCGTCACTGTGCACATCAGATTTAGGCCAGATAACGCAGGCTTTATTTATTTCAGGTACGCCTTGCGCTTCAGATCATGGGACTCTAGTATAGCACCCCCAGAAAATTATCAAGGGCAAAAAAATCATAATACATACCTCTAGTTCAGTGGGTCCTTGGATAACCTCTTTCCTCTCTCCTAGTTCTTCAGCTAAAAGATTCAGGAGCCTTAGCAACAAGAAGGAGCTATCCCACAAGTTGCATTATTCTAGATATTCGGACACTTTTTTTTTTTTTTAAGCAGGAGTCTTGCTATGTTGCACAGGCTGGTCCTGAACTCCTGTCCTTAAGTGATTCTCTTGCCTTGGCCTTCCAAGTAACTGGGATTACAGCGGTGAGCCACCGTGCCAGGGTTTTGGATGCTTTTTTTTTTTTTTTTTGAGACAGAGTCTCTCTTGTCGCCCTGGCTGGAGTGCAATGGTGTGATCTTGGCTCACTGCAACCTCTGCCTCCCGGGTTCAAACAATTCTTCTCCCTTGGCCTCCCAAGTAGCTGGGATTACAGGTGCGTGCCACTACACTCAGCTAATTTTTGTATTTCTAGTAGAGATGGGGTTTTACCATGTTGGCCAGGCTGGTCTCGTACTCCTGATCTCAGGTGATCCGCCCACCACAGCCTCCCAAAGTACTGGGGTTACAAGCGTGAGCCATCGCGCCTGGCCGGATACTTTTTAACCAAAGGAAAAAGCAAGCATCTTTATTGGAATAATATATCAATATATGCAGGTAATCAGACAATACCAGTCAGACAACACTGACTTCTTTTTTTTTTTTTTTGAGAAAGGAAGGAAGGAAGGCAGAAAGGAAGGAAGGAAGGAGGGAAGGCCGGAGGTGGTGGCTCATACTTATAATCCCAGCACTTTTTGAAGCCCAGAAGGGAGATCACTTGAGGCCAGGAGTTTGAGACCAGCCTGGGCAATATAGAGAGACCCCATCTTGACAAAAAATTTAAAAATTAGCCAGGCATGATAATTTGCACCTGTAGTTCCAGCTACCCAGGAGGCTGAGGCAGGAGAATTGCTGGAGCCCAGGAGTTTGAGGCTGCAACCAGCCGTGACTGCACCACTGCACTCCAGCCTGGGCGACAGAGAGATACCCTGTCTCGAAAATAATAAATAAAGGCCGAGTGTGGTGGCTCACACCTGTCATCCCAGCACTTTGGGAGGCCGAGGCAGGCAGATCACCTGAAGTCAGGACTTCAAGACCAGCCTGGCCATAATGGTGAAACCCCGTCTCTACTAAAAATACAAAAATTAGCCAGGCATGATGGCAGGCGCCTGTAATCCCAGCTACTTGGGAGGCCAAGACAGGAGAATCGCTTGAACCCGGGAGGCGGAGGTTGCAGTGAGCCAAGGTCGTGCCATTGCACTCCAGCCTGGAGAACAACAGCGAGACTTCGTCTCAAAATAATAATAAATAAATAAATAAATAAATATGTAAAAAGTCCCTTAACTGAGGCCAGGCGCAGTGGCTCATGCCTGTAATCCCAACACTTCGGGAAGCCAAGGAGGGTGGATCACCTGAGGTCAGGAGTTCAAGACCAGCCTGACCAACATGGAGAAACCCCATCTCTACTAAAAATACAAAATTAGCTGGGTGTGGTGGCGCATGCCTGTAATCCCAGCTACTCAGGAGGCTGAGAGAGGAGAATCGCTTGAACCCTGGAGGTGGAGGTTGCTGTGAGCCAAGATCACACCATTGCACTCCAGCCTGGGCAACAAGAGCAAAACTTCATCTCAAAAAAGCCCCTTAACTATAATCTAAGAAACAAAAAATATTTAATTTTTATTTTCTGCATGATCTGCTTAGTTTTCTTAATAAGCTGTGAACCAGAAAGGGAATTTGCTGCGGTTTGGCAGCCTTTTAGGTGGAGGATTATAGTGAATACATTTTTAGATTATTGGTATAGTAACTTCCCCAAAGGATGTAAGATTTTGAGGACTAAACCAAGTCCTGCACTTTCCATTCCAACCTAATTAATTCCAGTGAATGAAACATTCATTGGGGAAAGCACAGAAGATGCAGAAGAGCTGCTTACATGACCTGAGTCAACAATTCAGTGACCCTCTGCGTATAATAATCAAAATAGGGCCAGGCGCAGTGGCTCACACCTGTAATCCCAGCACTTTGGGAGGCCGAGGAGGGCAGATCACCTGAGGTCAGGAATTTGAGACCAGCCTGGTGAAAATGGTGAAACCCCGTTTCTACTAAAAATACAAACAATTAGCTAGGCGTAGTGGCGCACACCTGTAATCCCGGCTACTCGAGAGGCTGAGGCAGGAGAATCGCTTGAACCCAGGAGGCAGAGGTCGCAGTGAGTCGAGATCGCGCCATTGCACTCCAGCTTGGGCACCAAGAGTGAAACTCGGTCTCAAAAAAATAAATAAATAAAAATAAAAATAGAACAATAAAGTCCATTCATAAATTTTCTAGCATAGTTAACTTATCCACCTCCTCTTGCTTTTCGTTAATTAATTTAGTTATCAGAGTACAAAATGAAAAAGTAAAAAATATCCATTCACTCTCATTCCCATGAGGTAACCACGTTTAAGGAGCTCTGTGTTTTTAGTCCTCCTGGCATCTACACTTGAGTGGAAAAGATGATCATTTGTGGTTTTAAGCACTATTGACTCCCTGATGTGAAGAACAAAGAATGTATCTCACTCATTCTTTTTTTCTTCTTTTTTTTTGTGCTGTTTTTATTGGTAGTCTTCCTACTAGTTATCATCATAACTTTAAATGATATATTTAATCCCCTTTTCTTGAAGCATTGTTTTTATTTTTATTTTTTTACTTGTATTTATTTATTTATTGAGACAGAGTCTCACTGTGTCACCCAGGCTGGAGGGCAGAGGTGTGATCTTGGCTCACTGCAACCTCCGCCTCCTGGGTTCAGGCAGTTCTCCCCCTTCAGCCTCCCGAGTAGCTGGGATTACAGGCACCCGCCACCATGCCCAACTAATTTTTGTATTTTTAGTAGAGGTGGGGTTTCATCATGTCGGCCAGGCTAGTTTCAAACTCCTGATCTCAAATGATCCACCCACCTTGGCCTTCCAAAGTGCTGGGACTGGCCGGGGATGATGGCTCACGCCTGTAATCCCAGCACTTTGGGAGGCTGAGGCGGGTGGAAATCACAAGGTCAGGAGATCCAGACCATCCTGGCTAACACGGTGAAACCCCTTCTCTACTAAAAATACAAAAAATTAGCCAGGCGTGGTGGTGCATGCCTGTAATCCCAGGTACTTGGGAGGCTGATGCAGGAGAATCGCTTGAACCTGGAAGGCGGAGGTTGCAGTGAGCCGAGATGGTGCCACTGTACTCCAGCCTGGACGACAGAGTGAGACTCCATCTCAAAAAAAAAAAAAGCAAAAAACTCCACAAAGTGCTGGGATTACAGGCGTGAGCCACTGCGCCTGGCCTGAAGCATCGTTTTTAAAATTCAGATATAATTTACATCGCATATACTTCACTGCTTTAAAGGGTTCAGGCTGGGCACAGTGGTTGACACTTGTAATCCCAGCCCTTTGAGAGGCTGAGGTGGGGGGGATCACTCAAGGCCAGGAATTTTTGAGACCAGCCTGGGCAACATAGTGAGACTCGCTCTCTACCAAAAAATTTAAAAATGAGCTGGGCAAGATGGCACACACCTGTGGTTCCAGCTACTTGGGACGCTGAGGTAAGAGGATTGCTTGAGGCCAGAAGCTCGAGGCAGCAGCGAGCTGTGATTGCACCACTGCACTCCAACCTGGGAAACAGAGTAAGACCCCTTCTTTTTTTTTTTTTAGATGGAGTCTCGCTCTGTCGCCCAGGCTGGAGTGCAATGGCGCAGTCTAGGCTCACTGCAACCTCCACCTCCCAGGTTCAAGCGATTCTCCTGCCTCAGCCTCCTGAGTAGCTGGGACTATAGGCGCCCACCACCACGCCCAGCTAATTTTTTGTATTTTCAGTAGAGACGGGGTTTCACCACATTGGCCAGGCTGGTCTCGAACTGCTGACCTCATGATCTGCCTGCCTCAGCCTCCCAAAGTGTTGGGATTACAGGCATGAGCCACCACTCCTGGCCAAAACCCCTTCTTAAAAAAAAAAAAAAAAAAAAAAAAAAAGAACATCCTTTTTTTTTTTTTTTTTTTTGAGACAGAGTTTCGCTCTCTTGCCCAGGCTGGAGTGCAGTGGCGCAATCTCGGCTCACCTCCTGGGTTCACGCCATTCTCCTGCCTCCATCTCCCGAGTAGCTGGGACTACAGGCACCTGCCACCACGCCTGGCTAATTTTTTTTGTATTTTTAGTAGAGATGGGGTTTCACCGTGTTAGCCAGGATGGTGTCGATCTCCTGACCTCGTGATCCGCACGCCTCGGCCTCCCAAAGTGCTGGAATTACAGGCGTAAGCCACCGTTCCCGGCCAAAAGAACATCTTAATAATCCCAGAAAGATTGGGCGCAGTGGCTCATGCCTGTAATCCCAACACTTTGGGAGGTTGAGGCAGGTGGACCACGAGGTCAGGTGTTCGAGACTAGCCTGACCAACACGGTAAAACCCCATCTCTACTGAAAACACAAAAATTAGCCAGGCATGGTGATGCATGCCTGTAATTCCAGCTACTCAGGAGGCTGAGGCAGGAGAATTGCTTGAACCTGGGAGGCGGAGGTTACAGTGAGCTGAGACTGTGCCATTGCACTCCAGCCAGGGTGACAGAGTGAGACTCTGTCTCAAAATAAATAAATAAATAAATAAATAAATAAATAAATAAAATAACTCCAGAAAGAAACTCCCTTCTTGTGATATCAAGTACATCTCCCTCCTCTCAGCCAATGGCAACCATTATTCTACTTTCTGTCTTGATGGATTTTATCTACATAGAATTGAGGGAAGAGAGAACTTCTCATATTGTTTTATATTGTTTTATACTCAGTACCTGTTTTAAGAAAAAACAACAAGAAAGTAAAATCAAAGACAGGCAGCCCGGCGCCAGGCCCGAAACCAGGCCTGGGCCTGCCTGGCCTAAACCCAGTAGTTAAAAATCAACTCATAACTTAGAAACCAATGTTATTCATAGATTGCAGACACTGTATAGAAGAACACTGTGAAACTCCCTGCCCTGTTCTGTTTCTCTCTGACCACCGGTGCATGCAGCCCCTGCCACATACCGCCTGCTTGCTCAAATCAATCACGACCCTTTCATGTGAAATCTTTAGTGTTGTGAGCCCTTAAAAGGGACAGAAATTGTGCATTCTGGGAGCTCGGATTTTAAGGCAGTTGCTTGCTGATGCTCCCAGCTGAATAAAGCCTTTCCTTCTACAACTTGGTGTCTGAGAGGTTTTGTCTGCGGCTCGTTCTGCTACAGAAGCATACAACACATGGCCTTTTGTGCCTGGCTTCTTCCATTCAGCATGTTTCTGAGGGTCATCCATGTTGTCTGTACTTCATTCCTTTTAATGGTTTCCATTGCATGGATATACTACATTTTCTTTACCCATGCTTCAGTTGATGGACATGTGGGTTGTTTCTACGTTTTGGCTATTATGAATTATGCTGCTATGAAAATTCATGTACTGGTTTTGGTGTGGGCACACGTTTTCAATTTCTCTTGGGTGTATACCTAGGAATAGAATTAGAAAATCATGTTGGCTGGGTGCGGTGGCTCACGCCCGTAATCCCAGCACTTTGGGAGGCCAAGGCGGGCGGATCACGAGGTCAGGAGATAGAGACCATCCTGGCTAACACGGTGAAACCCCGTCTCTACTAAAAATACAAAAAATTAGCCAGGCGTGGTGGTAGGCGCCTGTAGTCCCAGCTACTCGGGAGACTGAGGCAGGAGAATGGAGTGAACCCGGGAGGCGGAGCTTGCAGTGAGCAGAGATTGCGCCACTGCACTCCAGCCTGGGCAACAGAGCGAGACTCCGTCTCAAAAAAAAAAGTCATGTTTTACTTTTTGTGGAACTGCCACACTGGTTTTCAAAGCTGCTGCTTGTACATTCCACTAGCAATGCACAAGGGTTCCTATGTCTCCACATCCTTGTCAACACTTGTTATTGTCCATCTTTTTAATTATAGCCATCCTAGTGAGTGTGATGCAGTACCTAATTGTGGTTTTGATCTGTATTTTCCTAATGATTGATGATGTTGAACATCTTTTCATGTACTTATAGAAGTTATTAAAAAATTACTTTAGGCAGATGGAGAGGAAAAGGGGTCCTTGGAAAGTTGTTTCTTTTAAAGCAACTCCAGAAACGTTTCTGGTTTACCAGGAAAGCCCTGGCTCTTAGAGCCCAGCCAGCAACATTTGATATGCAAATGCAGACCATTAGAAACTGGGTCCACCCAAACATGGCGATTCCCACCGTTGTCCTCTTGCCCTTGCCCCCACATGTGCCTGGCAAATGGCTACCCCTACATATCCCCCACCTGTGTAAAACATCATGGTGCCCTGCATTTGCATCTTAAAAGGCTAGGGTGAGAGGGCCAGTTTTTTCGTGGGCTATATGAATGACATGCCTGGTTAAACCAATCCCCTAAGCCCTATGCAAATTAGACAACACCTCCTCCAGCCTCCTCATATACCCGGTTGGTATGCCCCGCATTTGTGGTCTCCTCTCTTGGCTTTGGAGCCCCCCTCCCTCTGTCTCTGTACGGGGGTGCCTTCTTCTTTTCTTCTTCTCCCTTCTTTCTTGCCTATTAAACTCTCCACTTCTTAATACCACTACACGTGTATCTGTGTCATTTTATCCAATTTGCATGAGACAAGAGCCCTGGTGCCCCTCCACTCATCAGAGCCGTATCATTTTGGTGCATGGGCCAGGAAAATCCAAAGTACAGCCTTCGTTGGAGTGGTGAGTATGGGAGCAATCCTAAAATCTGTTCTATCATTACGAGGCGCTCTTAGCCTCTATATTAAAATAAATCAAACGGGCGTCCGTCAGCCTAATACATAGGCTTAGCATTGGCTGCCGTACTAAAGACTCGGATGTGAGGCTTGCTGGGGAGAACTTGGAGAATCCCCCATTACCCACAGGTACTGGGAATTTTGGCCATGTTTGAACTAGCTTCTTTTTGTTAGGGATAACGCTCAAAATCCTAAGGAAATTGAACACTCGAACAAAGGATTCTTAGCAAAGCAATTTTACTTCTGCACAGAGGGTTGCCTCCTTGGCCAGTTGCCATGAGAGCACACCTGAACAAAGGGGCATGAGAGCCTTTATTTGCGATGGAAGTCCTGCCCCTGTACCCTTTCCTCATTGGCTGGGGTTGGGTCATACAATCTAAACTAATCCCGGTTGGCTAAACATTTCATTTTTTAAGATAGGGTGGGCACGTAAAAACAAGTGGAGAGGAAGGGGAAGGGGTGTCTGTAATGAGCTAGAAAGTTAGTCATTTTTCCAAATAAGGAAAGGAATGTGAGCTGGTACTGATAACGCTTGGTACTGTGGTGTGCCTGGGCATCTAACAAAGGCAAAATGGAAAAGGAGAAAGAAGGAGAAAAAAGGGGGGGGGTACAATGAATTAAAGAATGAAAGATTGATGAGATTATTTGAAGAGAAACCTCATCATATTCCACATTTTCACAGGGAGACCTTGCCATCATGCGAGGCTGGGAAAACTTCTGAGGTAACTGAGAATTTCTGGTCAGGGCACACTCTGGCATGATTCAAGGGCCTCTGGACCGGACGCAGCCTCCGACAGCCGGGTGTTGGCAGAGAATCCTCAACTATCCTGTGGCCAAATTTTCTTTCTGTCTCTATCCATGGTCTCTTACCCTCTCTGTGTGTCTAATGTGCAGGGATCTTTACAGTTCAGGGAAACAGGTCTGCTAGAAGAGATGGTGAATCACGGCAGCCAGTAACTCAATAAACGTTTCTCTATGGTTTCTCTGGTGAGCACGTGGTATTTCTAAGCCACCTAGTGGCAATAAAAATCCTCTTCATGAGACACATTGCTGGTTCTCTACGGTACATTGCAGCTTCGCAATTTTTCTATTTTGCGCTTTTTTACTGCTATTTCTGTGAACGGGAAGGCTCTGCTTTTAACAGGAGTCAAATGTCTTCTGCAGCCAGATTTTAGTCCTAATATTGTCCCATCAGTAGAAATTGGCCATTTGCTTCCTACGTTCTTTTAAGGCACCTATTCTGTCTCCAGTTAAGATAGTACTTAATTAGTAGGGAAATTTTAAGTCTGGAAGTTAACCGGAACCATTTTCCTATGGGTAAATGTTTTATCATAGGCCATAATAGCAGGATTTAGAGTTCAATCTAGCATGCCCCCTGCCTTAAAGGGGTCTTGCCCAATTACATGATTTTTCTTGAAATCCATTTTTTTAGGAAGGCACAAAGGCCACACAAGTCTGGAAGGTCAAAGAGAAATAAAAGGCAGAGGACTAAGGCTGCTTGGGGAAAGCGTGACTAAGGCTCAAAAGTTGAGTTCCTCTGATGTCATGGCTTGGAGGGTCACGCCTGCAGTCACAGGTCACTGGTGGCCCATTTAAATAGGTGCTGGGAATCCAGAAACCACGGAGAGAAGATAGTTGGGGGAACTCCCCCTACTGCTTTTGTCTCCAACCTGGATCACATACCAAAAGGAAGGAGACTAAAAGAACGCTTTTATTCTCACTTCTCTTTCTAGATGGGAATTAGATCATGTATAACATGCACTGCCCTCGAGTGTATTTTAAAGCACTGGGACTCCTTCAACTCTGAAACTTTGAAGAAAAAGTGGCTTATTTTCTTTTACACAAGGGCATGGCGTATTTGTTTTTGTTTTTTTTTTGTTTTTTTTGTTTTTTTTTTTTTGAGACGGAGTCCTGCTCCGTCACTCAGGCTGGAGTGCAGTGGCTCGATTTCGGCTCACTGCAAGCTCCACCTCCCGGGTTCACACCATTCTCATGCCTCAGCCTCCCGAGTAGCTGGGACTACAGGCGCCCGCCACCACGCCCGGCTAACTTTTTTTGTATATTTAATAGAGACGGGGTTTCACTGTGTTAGCCGGGATGGTCTCAATCTCCTGACCTCGTGATCCACCCATCTAGGCCTCCCAAAGTGCTGGGATTACAGGCCTGAGCCACTGCCCCCGGCTGGGCGTGGCCTTTTTACTAAACTTCTGCAAGCGTTGCAAAATCAACCTAGCTCTTTTAGCA
Organism: Homo sapiens; assembly: GCF_000001405.40. Classification (NCBI taxonomy): domain Eukaryota; kingdom Metazoa; phylum Chordata; class Mammalia; order Primates; family Hominidae; genus Homo; species Homo sapiens. Next base: position 29,711,753 of record NC_000016.10, read on the forward strand.
ATCACATCAGGCAGGCCCAAAGAGAATGATTACCCAAAATTAGAGAAGCCAGTTCTAGGGGAACCACCTGAGGATTCCTTTATTTGGGGCCCCTTCAAGTTCCTTTCTCATTATTTAGGACCTTAGGCAAGTAAAGGGAGACTTAGGCCAATTTTCTTTCTTTCTTTATTTTTTTTTGAAACATAGTTTTGCTCTTGTTGCCCAGGCTAGAGTGCAATGGCGTGATCTTGACTCACTGCAACCTCCACCTCCCGGGTTCAAGCAATTCTCCTGCCTCAGTCTCCCAAGTAGCTAGGATTCACAGGCGTGCATCACCATGCCCAGCTAATTTTATGTTTGTTTGTTTTTTTAGTAGAGACAGTTTCACCATGTTGGTTTGGCTGGTCTTGAACTCCTGACCTCAGATGATCCACCCGCCTCAGCCTCCCAAAGTGCTGGGATTACAGGCGTGAGCCACTGCGCCTGTCCAATCTTCTAATGACCCTGATAGGTATACAGAAGTTTTCCACAATTTAACTCAGGTATTTAACCTCTCATGGAGGAATGTTATGCTGCTCTTAAGCCAAACCCTAACTGCAGTTAAAACAGGCAGCTCTGCAAGCAGAAGAAAATTTTGGAGATAAGCAATAGGTCTCCTATAGTAGGCCAAAAGGGAAAAGAAAAAATAGGGAAGGCAAAGAAATAGGGGAAACAATATTTCCAATAGGAAAAGAGGCAATACCTCTTGGCAACCCTATTTGTCACTCCTTTCTATGGTGTTTTTCCTTCTTTCACGGTTTAAAATGGCTTCTATCTCTTTTATAATGTTCTTCCAACCTGGGAAAAGTTATTTTTCCAAACGTTAAAATGCTTGGCTTAGAGTTGAGCTAGGGGGAAGGGAACACAGAAGCCTGGTATGCTGGCAAAAGGGTAAACATTTCTTACCAGATGGGCTTTTGGCTTCTCCCTGTGCAAACCGGTAAAAGGGATAATAAGGATCATTGTTTATATTCTCTGTAAATTTCTAATTCATAAAAAAGGATTTGTGAGGTTGGTCTTAAGCTGTAAACAATCTGGTGTGCTTTGCATGTCTTTCCCTAAGAAAGGGTATCTTAGGTTAGGATGCAGGCCTAGGACCCCATAAGCCTGGTGTTTGAGCGAGCCCAACAAAATCGTCACTAACAAAATTGGCTATAAGCCTTCATCTTGTTTCATGTCCTTGGAAACATGACCTGTAACCACGTGGCAATACTTTGTTTGAGTCTCCACCATTTCATAATGGTGGCTGTCTTCTGGTGCTAAGTCAGTTTCTGGGTGAGGGCCACAAAATCAGATTAAGTCGGTTTGTCAATCTGGGTGGTGCCAGCTGATCCATCAAGGGCAGGGTTTACAAAATATCTTAAACACTCATTTTAAGAGTAGTTTAGGGAGTGTCAAAATCTTGTAGCCTCCAGATGCATAGCTCCTAAGCCATAGTTTCCAATATATATATATAATTTTATATTATATATATACATAATTTTATATTATATATATTAATATATAATATATATAATTATATATGTTAATATATTTAATATATAATTATATAAAATATATAATATATAATTATATATGTTAATATATTTAATATATAATTATATAAAATATATTAATATATATAATTATATAGTTAATATATTTAATATATAATTATATAAAATATATAATTATATATAATTATATAAAATATATAAATATATATAATTATATAAAATATATAATTATATATAATTATATAAAATATATAATTATATATAATTATATAAAATATATAATTATATATAATTATATAAAATATATAAATATATATAATTATATAAAATATATAAATATATAATTATATAAAATATATAAATATATAATTATATAAAATATATAAATATATAATTATATAAAATATATAAATATATAATTATATAAAATATATAAATATATATAATTATATATAATTATATAAAATATATAAATATATATAATTATATAAAATATATAAATATATATATATATATATTTTTTTTTTGAGATGGAGTCTTGCACTGTTGCCCAGGGTGGAGTGCAGTGGCGCAATCTCAGCTTGCTGCAACCTCCACCTCCCAGGTTCAAGTGATTCTCTTTGCCTCAGCCTCACAAGTAGCTGGGATTACAGGCGTGTACCACTACACCTGGCTAACTTTTGTATTTTCAGTAAAGACAGGGTTTCACTATGTTGACCAGGCTGGTTTCGAACTCCTGACCTCGTGATTCGCCCACCTTGGCCTCCCAAAGTGCTGGGATTACAGGCGTGAGCCACCACGCCCAGCCTGGTTTTTAATCTTATGGCTAGTTTCTTGGTCTGGTCCCCAGACAAGAGGGAAGTATATCTTAAGAAGGGGCTGATATCATCTTTGTTTTAAACTATCTATAGTTTAATAACTATAAACTATCTATAGTTTAATAACTATAAACTATAGCTTAATAACTATAAACTATAGTTTAATAACTATAAACTATAGTTTAATAACTATAAACTAGTTTAATAACTATAAACTATAGTTTAATAACTATAAACTATCTATAGTTTAATAACTATAAACTATCTATAGTTTAATAACTATAAACTATCTATAGTTTAATAACTATAAACTATAGTTTAATAACTGTAGTTTTAAACTATCTATAGTTTAATAACTATAAACTGTCTATAGTTTAATAACTGTAAACTCGCCCCTCCCAAAGTTGGTCCAGCCTACACCCAGGGATGGGCAAGGACAGCTTGGGGGCTGGAAACAAAATGGAGTTGTTTGGGTCGGATCTCTTCTCTTTCACTGTCTCAGTCTCAGTTTTGCAATGACAGTTTCAAAAGCTGCCTATTACTCCTTTGAAAATACCTTGTACACTTGTGGATAAGTCATAACCTAATTAAGGCTCATTGGGTTCACCTGTGAGGTTACTTTTTGTAAAACTCAAAAGCCAAAAATCTTAACTGCTTGGCATGGCTAAAGTCAAGTAACAAGGGATTTTGAAGGCTTTTCTTAGAGCACTCAGCTTAATTAAAAGTGGATATTCAAGTTATAGGTATACTTAAAAGGCCTTTATGTTTTTCTCTTCTTGAATCTTGTTTTCTGGAAAAAGGCTCTTCTCAGTCAACTGAATTATTTTTCTCCATTTTTGTCTTAACCACTCTTAATGCATGCATGAGAGTCCCTAAGACAACTTCTGACAGCATGGAACTCCTTGGGAAAAACAGAGGAGGTGCCACAAACCCTGTTTTGGAAAAAAAACCTGTTTTCCTCATGAAACCCCCAAAATTAAAAGCTGATAGTTCCCTCTCAAAACCAAAGGCTCTGTTCTGTTATGTATTGTGTTATCTACCGTTTTGAGTTTTGGGGGTATCAAATTACTTCACATTATAAAAGAGCTTTGATGTGTAATAACTAGGTAGAAAATACACTGTAAAGGATGCCTAATAGTAGTTATAAATCAAAAAAGCATGCTCTTGGGCACCTAAAAAACATCCCCACCCCCCACAAAGAGATGAGACTACCATGCAGAATGGGCTAATTGCCAAAATAAGCCAATTGGCTTTGGGTTGCCTTGCAATGAAATGCATGGTAGAAACACTACACTGTCTTCTCTCATAGTATCTATATGGTCTTTTCATAAATTGAGCATTGAAATAAAAGCATAGCAAGGAGTTCCTAAAACACTAATCTGTCCTTTGGTAAAAAGGTTATAAAAGATTTGTAAAGATTTAACTGTAACTGTCCTGGAAATTTTGTCATTCGCAAACAATTGTTGTCTTGCTTCGTTCCTTCTCAGAAAATGGTTTATAATCAAGCTATATTAAGGACTTTAACAGGTGTTCTCAAATGCAGGTTTTTAATAGCTTTGAAGATTGTAACATTGGAATAAAAAAGTACAGGACTCATAAAGAATGGACATATTCACAAATATCAAGCAAAACAAAAGTTAACTAAATGGACTGCACTCAAAAAGTTAAAGCAGCTTTTTTTTTTTTTTTTGTGATAGAGTCTCACTCTGTCACCCAGGCTGGAGTGCAATGGTGCAATCTTGGCTCACTGCAACCTCCGCCTCCCTGGTTCAAGGGATTCTCCTGCCTCAGCCTGGGATTACAGGCGCCCACCACTGCGCTTGACAAATTTTTGTATTTTTAGTAGAGACAGGGTCTCAAACTCCTGACCTCATGATCCACACGCCTCAGCCTCCCAAAGTGCTGGGATTACAGGTGTGAGCTGCCGCACCTGGCCAAAGCAACCTTTTTAACTTTTGCTTGGAATATTGCAAATACGCATGAGAGTCCCTAAGATAACTTAAGGATCCTTGTTTTGTCTTTCAGAGTCAAGAAAACTTATTTTGAACTATTTACAGCCTTTAATAATTAAGTAAGGTGCCGGGCACCGTGGCTCATGCCTGCAAACCCAGTACTTTAGGAGGCTAAGGAGGGTGGATCACCTGAGGTTGGGAGTTTAAGACCAGCCTGACCAACTTGGAGAAACCCCATCTCTACTAAAAATACAAAATTAGCTGGGTGTGGTGGTGCATGCCTGTAATCCCAGATACTCGGGAAGCTAAGGCAGGAGAATTGCTTGAACCCAGGAGGTGGAGGTTGCAGAGCCAAGATCACACCATTGCACTCCAGCCTGGCAACAAGAGCGAAACTCTGTCTCAAAATAAAATAAAATAAATAATTGCGTAAGGTATATGCCTGTGAACAAAATTTGGAGCATGTTTGTTTTTCTCTGCCTGGTTCCTCTAGAACGTGGAGACTATCTGTGAGTACTCTTAACTTATGGCAGTAAGGTTGTTTGCATCAGTGCAATAAGAGTCAATTTTCTGGCCGGGTGCCGTGGCTCACGCCTGTAATCCTAGCACTTTGGGAGGCCGAGGTGGGCAGATCACAAGGTCAGGAGATCGAGACCATCCTGGTTAACACGGTGAAACCCCGTCTCTACTAAAAATACAAAAAAATTAGCCAGGTGTGGTGGCGGTGCCTGTAGTCCCAGCTACTCAGGAGGCTGAGGCAGGAGAATGGCGTGAACCCGGGAGGCGGAGCTTGCAGTGAGCCGAGATCGTGCCACTGCACTCCAGCCTAGGCAACAGAGCAAGACTCCGTCTCAAAAAAAAAAAAAAAAGAGTCAATTTTCTTTGTCAACAGGACACAGTTGGAAAAACTGGTTATTTTACCAAGGTTTCACTGAAAGGGTGTGTTTCCCTTTAAGGAATCAAGCTTGACATGCAGACCCAATAAAAACCCCTTGGAGAGAACTGGCCTCATAGTTAGTCTACACAGTCCCCACACAGGGTTCCTAACCTATGGTCAGTAAAGAGTGTCACTTTCTAACAGGCCTGGGAGCTCCAAGTTTATCTTGGAACCTTAAGAGGAGAGGATCACCCAACTCACAGGTATTTGAGGATACAAACCCATAGTTGGGCTCGGCTTTAAAGGTCTTATCTGAAATTCCTTGTGCAACAAAGTTTCATCAAAGCCAATTCAAAAGGCCTGTGTAGAAATAACCATTCCTGGCCGGGCACGGTGGCTCATGCCTGTAATCGCAGCACTTTGGGAAGCCAAGCTGGGCAGGTGGATCACCTGAGGTTGGGAGTTCGAGACCAGCCTGACCAATATGGAGAAATCCTGGACTCTTCTAAAAATACAAAATTAGCTGAGCGTGGCAGTGCATGTCTGTGACCCCAGCTACTCGGGAGGCTGAGGCAAGAGAACAGCTTGAACCTGGGAGGCAGAGGTTGCGGTGAGCCAAGATTGCCCTGTTGCACTCCAGCCTGGGCAAATCATCAGGCCAAGTATAAAACTAAAGTTTATTCTACAAACAACACACATGGTCCTATCATAATTTGTTTTTACCAAAAATGAGACCTGGAGAAATTGTGTCCCAAAGCTTATCATACATTTGTCATTAAATCCTAGTCTCATTAATTGTTTTTAAGCTTTTTGCCTACATTTTAGACTAACCCTGTTTATTCCTGTAAATCAAGTGGTGATCTGCAGCTTGGAAGAAAAAAAAAGGAATGGAGAATGTAAAAATCTGAATCAATATACTGGTTCTGGGCAATTATCCTATAAATTCTGCCAGGTAATAAAAGTGAGTAGGGGCCAGGCGCGGTGGCTCACCCCTGTAATCCCAGCACTTTGGGAGGCCGAGGTGGGTGGATGACCTGAGGTAGGAGTTTCAGACCAGCCTGGGCAACATGGTGAAACCCCATCTCTACTAAACATACAAAAAAATTATCTGGGCATGGTGGTGTGTGCCTATAATCCCAGCTACTAGGAAGGCTGAGGCAGGAGGATAGCTTAAACACAGGAGGTGGAGGTTGCAGTGAGCCGAGATCGCGCTATTGCCCTCCAGCCTGGGTGAGAAGGCGAGACTCCGTCTTTAAAAAAAAAAAAAAAGAAAAGCAGGGCGCGGTGGCTCACGCCTGTAATCCCAGCACTTTGGGAGGCCAAGGCGGGTGGATCACGAGGTCAGGAGATCGAGACCATCCTGGCTAACATGGTGAAACCCTGTCTCTACTAAAAATACAAAAAAATTAGCTGGGCGTGGTGGCGGGCACCTGTAGTCCCAGCTACTTGGGAGGCTGAGGCAGGAGAATGGCGTGAACCCAGGAGGTGGAGCTTGCAGTGAGCTGAGATCGCGCCACGGCACTCCAGCCTGGGCGAAAGAGCAAGACTCCGTCTCAAAAAAAAAAAAAAGTGAGTAGGGTGCCCATAGCTTGGAGATTTCTTTGTTTGGGAAAATAAAACAAAAGAACTTCATAAACCCCCAAAGGGAAATTCTATATCTTGGCAAGTAAAATTTTAAGTGGAAATTATCTACTACACCACACTTGTGGGAATTGCTGTACTCACCCCACTATTTTCAATAGGGTTATACACGGTAGCACCTTAAAGCTGAAATATTGGACAGAGTTTCCATTGCCGTAGTATTCTGCTTATTATCCTTATAGCAGGGATAGTAGTTACTAACGAAAAGGAAGCATAAAAGTTACTATCACCGAATCTGCCAGGACTTTTTACTGGGTTTAGTGATGCACTTTTAAATGAAACATGCTGCTTCTGGATTAAAACCTCTACTAAAGTAGAGGAAAATCTACAGGTACTTAAAGATGAAATCAAAATCATTGACAGGCTCAGAGAAAATGCCGGCTTCAGCCCCGGGTGGCTACAATCCCTCTTTAATGAATTCCTGTCTTCTTTATGGAATTGGTTAACCCCTTTATTAAGCCCTGTCTTGTTTATATGTCTTGTATAAATATTTGGACCCTGTATACTCAATACTGTAACTCAAATTGTTTCCTCTTGCTTAGAAGCCATCTAACTCCAAATGGTGCAAACTGAACAACCCAAGGACATGCCCCCACATGTGCCTGGCAACGTGGCTGCCCCCACATATCCCCACCTGTGTAAAACATCATTGCACCCTGCATTTGCATATTAAAAGGCTAGGGTGGGAGGGCCAGTTTTTTCAAAGGCTACACGAATAAAATGCCTGGTCAAACCAGTTCCCTGAGCCCTATGCAAATCAGACACCGCCTCCTCCAGCCTACTCATAACTGGCTGGTATCCCCCGCACTTGTGGTCTCCTCTGTTGGCTTTGGAGCCCCTCTCCCTCTGTCTCTGTACAGGGGAGCTTCTTCCTTCTTTCTGCTCCCTTTTTTCTTGCCTATTAAACTCTCCACTCCTTAAAACCACTCCATGTGTGTCCATGTGGCTTTATCCAATTCCCACGGAACAGGAGCCCTGGTGTTCCTCCACTCATAGAAGCTTTATTACTTATATATATATTCTATATATCCATCATGCATCCTACAAAGTGAAAGCAACTTTTTTTTTTTGAGATGGAGTCTCACTATGTAACCCAGGCTGGAGTGCAATGGCACAATCTCGGCTCACTGCAACCTCTGCCTCCTAGGTTCAAGTGATTCTCCCACCTCAGCCTCCCGAGTAGCTGGGACTACAGGCGCATGCAACCACAGCCAGCTAAATTTTGTATTTTTAGTAGAGATGGGGTTTCACCATGTTGGCCAGGCTGGTCTCGAACTCCCGACCTCGTGATCCACCCACCTCGGCCTCCCAAAGTGCTGGGATTACAGGTGTGAGCCACAAAGCCCGGCCAAAGTAACTTATTAATTCTGATAATTTTTCCCTCCCTCCCTCCCTCCCTCACTTTCTTCCTTCCTTCCTTCGTTTTGTTTTGGTTTTTGAGATGGAGTCTTGCTCTATCGCCCAGGCTGGAGTGCAGTGGCATGATCTCGGCTCACTCAACCTCTTCCTCCCAGGTGCAAGCGATTCTCCTGCCTCAGCCACCTGAGTAGACGGGATTACAGGCGTGTGCCACCACACTCGTTTTTGTTTGTTTGTTTGTTTGTTTGTTTGTTTTTTGAGACAGAGTCTCGCTCTGTCTCCCCAGCTGGAGTGCAGTGGCACAATCTAGGCTCACTGCCAGCTCCACCTCCCGGGTTCAAATCATTCTCATGCCTCAGCCTCCCCAGTAGCTGGGACTACAGGTGCCCACCACCATGCCCGGCTAATGTTTTGTATTTTTAGTAGAGACAGGATTTCACTGTGTTAGCTAGGATGGTCTCGATCTCCTGACCTCGTGATCCACCCGCCTCGGCCTCCCAAAGTGTTGGAATTACAGGCGTGAGTCACTGCGCCCAGCCTACACACACTTTTTTTTTTTTTTTAATTAGCTGGGCCTGGCTGAGCACGGTGGCTCATGCCTGTAATCCCAGCACTTTGGGAGGCCAAGGCGGGCGGATCAACTGAGGTTGGGAGTTCAAGACCAGACTGACTAACATGGAGAAACCCCGTCTCTGAAAATACAAAATTAGCCGGGCATGGTGGCGCATGCCTGTAATCCCAGCTACTCCAGAGGCTGAGGCAGGAGAATGGCTTGAACCTGGGAGGCGGAGGTTGCTGTGAGCTGAGATGGCGCCATTGCACTCCAGCCTGGGCAACAAAAGTGAAACTCTGTCTCAAAAAAAAAAAAAAAAAAATTAGCTGTGCCTGTAGTCCTAGCTACTGTGGAGGCTGAAGCAGGAGGACTGGTTGAGCCCAGTTCAAGGACGCAGTGAGCTATGATTGCACCACTGTACTCCAGTCTGGGCAACAGAGTGAGATGTTATCTAAAAAAACAGAGTACAATTCAGTGGTTTTTAGTATATTCACAAAGTTGTGCAATCTATGCCACTATCCAGACATTTTAATCAACCCAAAACGAAACTCTATGCCGAATAGTCACTGCCCATTCCCCTCTCTTCCCTAGCCCTGCCAACCACTAATCTGTAGGGACCAGCCCCACAGGGTCGGTGGGTCTCTCCCTGTGTGCGGCGACGAGAGAGTGTAGAAATAAAGACACAGACAAAGAGATAAGAGAAAAGGCAGCTGGGCCCGGGGGGACCACTACCACCAATGCCCGGAGACCGGTAGTGGCCCCGAATGTCTGGCTGCGCTGTTATTTATTGGATACAAGGCAGAAGGGGCAGGGTAAAGAATGTGAGTCACCTCCAATGATAGGTAAGGTCACGTGGGTCATGTGTCCACCGGACAGGGGGCCCTTCCCTGCCTGGCAGCCGAGGCAGAGAAGGAGAGGAGACAGAGAGAAAGAGAGCTTATGCCATTATTTCTGCATATCAGGGACTATTTGTATTTTCACTAATTTACTACTGCTATCTAGAAGGCAGAGCCAGGTGTACAGGATGGAACATGAAGGCGGACTAGGAGTGTGACCACTGAAGCACAGCATCACAGGGAGACGGTTAGGCCTCTGGATAACTGCGGGCGAGCCTGACTAATGTCAGGCCCTCCACAAGAGGTGGAGGAGCAGAGTCTTTTCTAAACTCCCCCGGGGAAAGGGAGACCCCTCCCCCCACTTTCCCGGTCTGCTAAGTAGTGGGTGTTTTCCCTTGACACTTACGCTACCGATGGACCACAGTCCGCCTGGCAACGGGCGTCTGTCTTCCCAGACGCTGTCGTCACCACTAGACCAAGGAGACCTCTGGTGGCTCTGTCCGGGCATAACAGAAGGCTCGCACTCTTGTCTTCTGGTCACACTTCGCTATGTCCCCTCAGCTCCTATCTCTGTATGGCCTGGTTTTTCCTAGGCTATGATTATAGAGCGAAGATTATTATAATATTGGAATAAAAAGTAATTGCTACAAACTAATGATTAATGATATTCATATATAATCATATCTAAGATCTATATCTGGTATAACTATTCTTGTTTTATATTTTATTATACTGGAACAGCTCGTGTCCTCTGTCTCTTGCCTCGGCGCCTGGGTGGCTTGTCGCCCACACTAATCCACTCTCTTAACCCCCCTCCCTTTTTTTTTTTTTTTTTAAGAGATAGGGGTCTCATTATAATGTTGCCTAGGCTGGCTTCAAACTCCTGGGCTCAAGTGATCCTCTTGCCTCAACCTCCCAACTAGCTGACACACGCCACCACATCAGGCTTTTTCTTTTTTTTTTTTTTTGGGACAGAATCTCATTCTGTTCACCCAGGCTGGAGTGCAGTGATGGTGTGATCTCGGCTGCAACCTCCACCTCCCAGGTTCAAGCGATTCTCGTGCTTCAGCCTCCCAAGTAGCTGGGATCACAGGCATGTGCGCCACCATGCCCGGCTAATTTTCTGTTTTTAGTAGAGACGGGGTTTCTCCATGTTGGTCAGGCTGGTCTCGAACTCCTGACCTCAGGTGATCCGCCTACCTTGGCCTCCCAAAGTGCTGGGATTACAGGTGTGAGTCACTGTGCCTGGCCTAATTCTTGTATTTTTAGTAGAGACAAGGTTTCTCCATGTTGCCCAGACTGGTCTCAAACTCCTGGCCTCAAGTGATCAGTCCACCTTGGCCTTGCAAAGTGCAGGGGTTACAGGCATGAGCCACTGCACTCGGTCTATTTTTTTTTTTTTTTTTTTTTTTGTAGAGACAAGGGTCTTGCTGCCAGGCGCGGTGGCTCACACCTGTAATCCCAGCACTTTGGGAGGCCGAGGTGGGTGGATCACGAGGTCAGGAGATCGAGACCATCCTGGCTAACACAGTGAAACCCCGTCTCTACTAAAAAATACAAAAAATTAGCCAGGCGTGGTGGCAGGCACCTGTAGTCCCCGCTACTGGGGAGGCTGAGGCAGGAGAATGGCGTGAACCTGGGAGGCCGAGCCAGCAGTGAGCCGAGATTGCACCACTGTACTCCAGCCTGGGCGACAAAGTGAGACTCCGTCTCCAAAAAAAAAAAAAAAAAGAAAAGAAGAGACAAGGGTCTTGCTATGTGGCCCAGGCTGGTCTTGAACTCCTCTTATCTTGGCCTCCCAGAGCGCTGGGATTACAAGGATGAGCCACCGCACCTAGATGCTGGCTACTTTAAGATTTTCACTTTATCAGTGGCTTTGAGCAATTTGATTATGATGTGCTTTGGTGTAGTTTCTTGTGTTAGAGAATTGTTGAGCTTCTTGGATGTGTAGATTTATGATTTTCATCAAATTTGGAAACTGTTAAGCTATTAGTCCTTAAGGTATTTTTTCTGTGCCCCTCTATCTCTCCTTTCCTTCAACTCCAATTACTCACATATTAGCCTGCATAAAGTTATTCCACAGCTCACTGATGTGGTTTTCTTTTTACTTTCCAGACAGGGTCTCACTCTCACCCAGGCTGCAGTGCCGTGGCACAATCATAACTCACTGCAACCTTCACCTCCTAGGCTCAAGAAATCCTCCCATCTCAGCCTCCTAAGTAGCTGGGACTACGGGTGCACACCATCACACCTGGCTAATTTTTTCTTTTTTGTAGATATGGAGTCTAGCTATGTTGCCCAGGTTGGTCTCAAACTCCTGGCCTCAAGTGATCTTCATGCCTTGACCTCCCAAAATGTTGGGATTACAGGTGTGAGCTACTGTGCCCAGCCATGTTTTTCATTCTTAAAATTGTTTTTTCTGCCTGGCCCTGTGGCTCACGCCTATAATCCCAGCACTTCGGGGGGCTGAGGTGGGTGGATCATTTGAGGTCAGGTGTTCAAGACCAGCCTGGCCAACATGGTGAAACCCTGTCTCTACTAAAAATACAAAAATTAGCCGAGTGTGGTGGCACATGCCTATAATCCCAGCTACTTGAGAGGCTGGGCCAGGAGAATCGCTTGAACCCAGGAGTCAGAGATTGCAGTGAGCCGAGACCTTGCGCCAGTGCACTCCAGCCTGGGAGACAAGAGTGACACTCCGTCTTAAAAAAAAATTGTTTTTTTTTCTGTGAGGATCACTTGAGCCCAGGAGGTCAAGGCTGCAGTGAGCCGAGATGGTGCCACTGCACCCCAGCCAGAGTGAGACCCTGTCTCAAAAAAAAAAATTGTTTTTTCTCTGCGTTTCATTTTGGATTTCTTTTGCTATGATTTCAACTTCACTAAGGCTTCCTTCTGCAATATCTAATCTACTATCAACCCTATTTATTGTACTTTTCATCTCTGACATTGTAATCTTTTAGATGCTTGACTTGGGCCTTTGTTTTGTATCTCCTTATCGCTACTTAATTTTTTAACATATGGCATTCAGTTATAGTAACTATTTTAATGTTTTCTGCTCATTGTAACATTTGTGTCAGTTCTAGGTTGGTTTCCATTAACTGATTATTCTTCTTAATATGGTCATGTTTTCTGCCTCTTTGCCTGCCTGGTAATCTTTTCTTAAAAGTGGGGAGCTTTTAAACCAATCTCATCTTCTGGGTTAAAAAGAATTTTTTTGCCATTGAAGTTCATCTTCATATTCCAATTTTTAAAAAGCATTCTATAAATTTTAATCATGTACAATTATGGGGTACACCATGCTGTTATGATATATAGATACAGCATAGAGTAATTGAATCAAGCTAATTAACACGTTTATCATCTTAAATACTCATCATTTTTTCCTGTCTAGCTGCAACTTTGTACTCTTTGACCAAAGTCACTCCGTTTCCTCCCCACCTCCAGTTTCTGCTAACTACCATTCTACTCTCTGCTTCTATTAGTTCAATTATTTCAGATTACACATTTAAGTGAGAACATGCCAGAATGCGGTATTTGTCTTTCTGGGCCTAGTTCATTTCACTCAGCATAATGTCCTCCAGCTTCATCCATGTAGTTGCAAATCACAGGATTTGCTTCTTGCTTCTTTTTAAAGTTGAATGGTATTCTATTCAAATGTGTATATATACACATTTTCTTTATCTTTTCTGTCTTTTCATCTCTTTTTTTTTTTTTTTTTTTTTTTTTTGAGACAGAGTCTTGCTCTGTCACCCAGGCTGGAGTGCAGTGACTTGGTCTTGGCTCACTGCAACCTCCGCCCCTCTGGGTTCAACCAATTCTCGTGCCTCAGCCTCCCAAGTAGCTGGAATTACAGGAGTGCACCGTACCATGCCCGGCTAATTTTTGTATTTTTATTAGAGACAGAGTTTCACCCTGTTGGCCAGACTGGTCTCAAACTCCTGGCCTCAGGTGATCTGCCCGCCTCAGCCTCCCAAAGTGCTGGGATTATACACGTGAGCCACCACGTCCAGCCTGTTTTTTGTTTGTTTGTTTTTTGTTTTTGAGATGGAGTCTCACTCTGTCAGCCAGGCTGGAATGCTGTGGTGCAATCTCGGCTCACTGCAGCCTCTGCCTCTCAGCTTCAAGCGATTCTCTTGCCTCAGCCTCCCAAGTAACTGGGATTACAGACGCCTGCCACCATGCCCAGCTAATTTTTGTATTTTTAGTAGAGATGGGGGTTTCACCATGTTGGTCAGGCTGCTCTCAAACTCCTTACCTCAAGTAATCTGCCTGCTTTGGTCTCCCAAAGTGTTGGGATTACAGGCGTGAGCCACAGCGCCTGGCCACATTTTCTTTATCCTTTCATCTGCTGATGGATGCTTAGGTTGATGTCATGATTTGCCTGTTGTAAATAACACTGCAGTGAACCTGGAAATGCAGATATCTCTGACACACTGATTTTTCAGTTCCTTTGGATATACACCCAGAAGTGGGATTGCTGGATCATTTGGTAAGTCTACTTTTAGTTTTTTCGTTTTGTTGTTGTTGTTGTTGTTGTTTTAAATGAGTCTGGCTCTATCACCCAGGCTGGAGTGCAGTGGCACTATCTTGGCTCACTGCAAACCTCCACCTCTTCCCTGCTCATGCAATCCTTCCACCTCAGCCTCCCTAGTAGCTGGAACTATGGTGCATGCCACCATGCCTGGCTAATTTTTGTATTTTTTGCAGAGACGGGGGTTTTACCATGATGTCCAGGCTGGTCTCAAACTCCTGGGCTCAAGTGATCTGTCCACTTCAGCCTCCCAAAAGTGCTGGGATTACAGATGCAAGCCACCACGCCCAGCCTATATTTTGAGGAACTTCCATATAATTTTCCAGAATGACTGTAATAATTTACATTCCCACGAACGGTGGGTAAGGGTTCCCTTTTCTCCATATCTTCACCAACACCAGCACCAACAGGTGATATCTCATCGTGCTTTTAATTTGCGTTTTCCTGGTGGTTAGTGCTGTTGAACATTTTTTCATATATTTGTTGGTCATTTCTGTGTCTTTTTTTTTTTTAATATCTGTTCAGGTCCTTTGCCCATTTTAAATCAGCTTATTTGTTTTTTTCACTCTGAGTTTTTTGAGTTTCTTATATATTTTGGGTATTAACACCTTATTGGATGTATTGCTTACAAATGTTTTCTCCCAATCTGTAAGTTATTACTTCATTCTGTTAATTTTTTCCTTATGCTTGGTAATCCTTGATTGCTTATCAGACATTGTAAATTTTACCTTGTAGAACACCAAATATTTGTGTAATCTTTATGATTTGTTAGACAGGTCCAGATTAATGCTCAGTGTAGGCTTAATTTTTTTTTTTTTTTTTTTTTTTTTAGATAGAGTCTCACCGTTGCCCAGGCTGGAGGGCAGTTGTGCCATTTTGGTGCACTGCAGCCTCTGCCTCTGGAGTTCAACTGATTCTCCTGCCTCAGCCTCCTGAGTAGCTGGGACTAGAGGCACACGCCACCATGCCTGGCTAATTTTTGTATTTTTAGTAGAGAGTGGGTTACACCCTGTTGGCCAGGCTGCTCTTGAACTCCTGGCCTCAAGTGATCTGCCCACCTTGGCCTCCCACAGTGCGATTACAGGTGTGAGCCACCGTGCCTGCCCGGCCTTTTTAAGAGATGTGGTCTTGCTGTGTTGCCTGGGCTGGTCTCAAAGTCCTGACCTCAAGTGATCCACCCATCTCAGCCTCCCACAGTGCTGGGATTACAGGCATGAGCCACTGCACCGGAAGTCTAGGTTTAATTATTCCCCATTACTGAGACAAGATCTTCCTGAGCACTCTACCCCATGCCTAGCGAATGATCAGTTTTTCCAGCTGGCCAGTGGGAAGAGGTCCTGGCCCTACCTCGTGTGAATCTTGGGCGTTGTTTCCTCGAATCCTTTCAGCTGGTTCTTTCCCTGGCCTTGGAGAGTTTCTTCACACACATGTGCTGATTAGTTCTTTGCTGAATCCTCTGAAGTCCTCTGGGGTACTCTCTCTGTGCACCTCTGTCTTGTAGGTGTTCCATTATCTAAGCTCTAGCTGCTGTGGTCTCCTCGGACTCAGCCACTCCATTTCCTCAACTCTGCGAATCCTCTGGGCTGCAACAACCCACATCCCCCTTGCCCTGCCCCACACTTTGGAAACGCTCTCGAAGCAGTAAACTGCACAGTCCTAAAAGGACTGTTGATGTCCTTTCTCTCTGGGATTTCATTGCTTTTGTTACTTTCTCTCATTGCTTGATGTTCAGCGTTTTGAACACTGTTGTTCCATGTATTGGGTCTGTTTTTGTCACTGTGGTGGTGGTGATTGTTTCAGACAGGAGGGCGGACCCAGCCCACGTGACTCCATCTTGGCTGGAAGCAGGAATCTCGGGATCAGTGGTTTCAAAGCTCCTCAGGTGATTCCAGGGGACGCTGAGGTGAGGACCACTTGCAGAGACTCCTCTGCTTGAAATATCTCTCAATCAAATGGAATCTTCTTTTGTTGTTCCCACCCCTTCATTTTCTCTGTTCTCTCTTTCTGAGTTTTTTCTTTGTTTTTGTTTTTTGAGACAAGGTCATGCTGTGTTGCCCAGGATGGAGTGCAGTGGTGCCATCACGGCTCACTGTAGCCTCAACCTCCCGGGCTCAAACAATCCTCCTGCCCCAGCCTCACGAGCAGCTGGGACCACAGGCCCATACCATCACGTCCAGCTATGTTCTCTCTTTCTGGAACTTCTGTTAAACAAATATGGATTGAATTGATTCTCCATCTCTTTTCTTTCATATTTTCCTTTCTTTTCTTTCTTTTTTGTTGGCATTTTGCTCTACATCCTGAGAGGTGTTTCAAAACTTTTCCACCCGTACCTTCCTTTGATTAATTTTTTATTTAACTTAATTAATTAATTAATTTTTGAGACATGGTCTCACTCTGTCACCCAGGCTGGAGTGCAGTGGTGCAATCTCAGCTCACTGCAGACTCAACCTCCTGGGCTCAAGTGATCCTCCTACCTCAGCCTCCTGAGTAGCTGGGAGTACAGATGCACTCCACCATGCCCGGCTAATTATTTTATTTTTTGTAGAGATGGGGTTTTGCCATGTTTCCCAGGCTGTGATGGATTTTTAAATTTGGTCCGTCGTATTTGTGACTTCCAGAACTTTGTCTTGTTCTCCAATTGCAGCATCTTCCTGGAAGCCTCTTCTTGGTTCGTGGTGCATTATCTTATTCATTCCTTTCCTCCAGGGCTAGTGTTCTGCTATTCTTCCTTTCTTTTTTTTTTTTGAGACAGAGTCTTGCTCTGTTGCCCAGGCTGGAGCACAGTGGCGTGATCTCAGCTCACTGCAAGCTCCAGCTCCTGGGTTCACGCCATTCTTCTGCCTCAGCCTCCCGAGTAGCTGGGACTACAGGTGCCTGCCACTACGCCCGGCTAATTTTTTTGTATTTTCAGTAGACATGGAGTTTCACCATGTTAGCCAGGATGGTCTTGATCTCCTGACCTCATGATCCACCCGCCTTAGCCTTCCAAAGTGCTGGGATTACAGGCATGAGCCATTGCGCCCAGGCTTTTTTTTTTTTTTTTTTTTTTTTTTTGAGATGGAGTTTTGCTCTTGTTGCCCAGGCTGGAGTGCCACCTGCAGCCCAGTGATCTTGGCTCACTGCAACCTCTGCCTCCTAGGTTCACGCAATTTTCGTGCCTCAGCCTCCCGAGTAGCTGGGATTACAGTCATGTGCCACCATGCCCGGCTAATTTTATATTTTTACTAGAGATGGGGTTTCACCATGTTGGCCAGGCTGGTCTCGAATTCCAGACCTCAGGTGATCCACCCTCCTCAGCCTCCCAGTAAGCCACTGCACCCAACCATCTGCTATTCATCTTAATCCTCTCTGGTGGCACCGAAATGAAGAGGAGACCCATGTGGATCTCCCTGCAGCCGGGTGAGTCTGGTTCCACAGGAGGCCTTTTCCTGAACTGGCTGCAGGCTCCGCGGGCAGGTCTGTTAATTGGTTAAAATGCTTCATTCAGTTAGGTGGGTTTTGTTCCCTTCTCCCCACCCAGAGGACATTTGGGAATGTCGGGAGATATTTTTGGTTATGGCAGCTAGGGGGATCCTTCTGACACCTAGTGGATAGAGGCCAGAAATGCCACTAAGTATCCTAGGACATGCAGGAGAGCCTCTCAACGATTAAGAATCAGCTGTCCCAACATGTTAATAGCACATAGGTCGGAGAGACACCCTGATTTAAGGCCATCTGAGTACAGGCTCCCCAGCTCTCACCACCAAAGGCCAAGATAAGGAGGGTCCCTCTACAGCCACTTCAGGGAACTTCCAAGGGAGCTTGTTCAATTATGTTTATTTATTTTATTTATTTATTTTTTTTGAGACGGAGTCTTGCTCTGTTGCCCAGGCTGGAGTGCAACCTCCACCTCCCAGGTTCAAACGATTCTCCTGCCTCAGCCTCCCAAGTAGCTGGGATTACAGGCACCTGCCACCACACCCAGATAATTTTTGTATTTTTTGTAGAGAAGGGGTTTCATCACGTTGCCCAGGCTGGTCTTGAATGCCATGACCGCCCCCAGTTGTGCTTAGAAGATACCGCCAACAGGCCGGGTGCGGTGGCTCATGCCTTAATCCCAGTACTTTGGGAGGCCGAGGCAGCTGGATCACGAGGTCAGGAGTTCGAGCCTGGCCAAGATGGTGAAACCCCGTCTCTACTAAAAATACCAAAATTGGCCAGGCATGGTAGCTCACGCCTGTAATCCCAGCACTTTGGGAGGCCAAGGTGGGTGGATCATGAGGTCAGGAGATCAAGACCATCCTAGCTAACACGGTGAAACCCCGTCTCAAAAATACAAAAAGTTAGCCAAGCGTGGTGGCACACACCTGTAGTCCCAGCTACTCAGAAGGCTGAGGCAGGAGAATCGCTTGAACCCAGGAGGTGGAGGTTGCAGTGAGACAAGGTCGTACCACTGCACTCCAGCCTGGGCGGCAGTGTGAGACTCCATCTCAAAATAAATAAATAAATAAATAAAATATTAAAACATAAAAATACAAAAATTAGCCAGGCAAGGTGGCGAGTACCTGTAATCCCAGCTACTCAGGAAGCTGAGGCAGGGGAATCACTTGAACCTGGGAGGTGGAGGTTGCAGTGAGCCGAGATCACGCCACTGCACTCTAGCCTGGGTGACAGAGCAAGACTCTGTCTCCAAAAAAAAAAAAAAAAGAAGACACCTCCAGCTGACAGATCATGAGCCACATGTGGCCCAGGCTTGTCTTGTTTGGCTTTTATAGGGAGATAGATTTATATATATATACATATATATATATGTTGTTCTGTAGTGTTGCGTCATGAGATATTGAAAAACACACATAACTTTTTTTAAAATTTGTTCTGGGCCAGGCGTGTAATCCCAGTAATTTGTGCAGCTGAGATGGGAGGATCGCTTGATCTCAGGAGTTCAAGACCAACCTGTGTGACACAGTGAGACACTCATCTCTACAAAAAATTAAAAATTACTGGGGCATGGTTTCGTGCACCTGTGGTCCCAGCTGAGATGGGAGAATTGCTTGAGCACACGAGGTCAAGGCTGCAGTGAGCCAAGATCGCACCGCTGCACTCCAGCCTGGGCGACAGAGCAAGATCCTGTCTCAAAACAAACAAAAACAAAAGTAAAACTACAATGTGAATGCAAGTTTTCTCAGAATATACATCCTTTAATATTTTGATCTTTGAATTTTCAATCACTATCTACCACAGAATGTTCCCTTTCCAAATTACAACTAATTTATAACTCAGTAAGGAACACTCTGGGACAAGTTCTTTTTTTTCTTTCTTTTTTCCAACTCTGGATACAGATTGGCAGACAGCAGTCTTGAGAGCTTGTTGGGAGGGTCTAGCAGGGGAGCACAGCTACTTGTATGCCCTTGACCGAAGACTGGTCCTTGTCTATCGGGGATGGTTGTCCTCTTTAACGGAGTGCACAGCTTCAGGAGGTTGCACATGGAGTAGTGAGGGAGGAAGGGGACACCCACCTAGCCAGCCAGGTCAGCTGAATCAACCCTGGCGATCAGTGGGGTAACATGTTGCAGCCAGATCGCCCTCACATCCAGGCAGCAGTCTTTAGTGAAGTGCTAACATTGTTCAACAGAGAAATCCAATAGCTAGGTTGGAGGTGGGCAGAGAAAGGGAAGTTATAAAACTCACCAGGCTGGGCGCAGTGGCTCATGCCTGTAATCCCAGCACTTTGGGAGGCCGAGGCGGGCAGATCATGAGGTCAGGAGATCGAGACCATCCTGGCTAACACGGTGAAACCCCATCTCTACTAAAAATACAAAAAATTAGCCAGGCGTAGTGGCCGGCACCTGTAGTCCCAGCTACTTGGGAGGCTGAGGCAGGAGAATGGCGTGAACCCGGGAGGCAGAGCTTGCAGTGAGCTGAGATCGCACCACTGCACTCCAGCCTGGGCGACAGAGCGAGACTCCATCTCAAAAGAAAAAAAACAACAACAAAAAAACTCACCAAAGATTTGGCTAACATCACATCAAAAGGAGTATTCTCATTTTACTTAAAATGCCCACATTTGTGTTTGTTTTGTTTTGTTTTGAGACAGAGTTTCACTCTTGTTGCCCAGGCTGGAGTACAATGGTGCGATCTTGGTTCACTACAACCTCCGCCTGCCCGGTTGAAGTGATTCTCCTGCCTCAGCCTGCTGAGTAGCTGGGATTACAGATGTGCCCCACCATGCCCGGCTAATTTTTTGTGTTTTTAGTAGAGATGGGGTTTCACCATGTTGGCCAGGTTGGTCTTGAACTCCTCACCTCAGGTGATCTGCTTGCCTCAGCCTCCCAAAGTGCTGGGAATCCAGGCGTGAGCCACCACACCCGACCCCACATTTGTTTTTATGATAGAATGTTTTCATAATTTATTATATTACTAAGTTGTGTTTTAGATTTTTCAGTTTCAAGTTTGGTTTCTAAAATAAATGAGTACAAACCACAAGCTCAGTTTCTCCTGAAACTCTCACAGCCTGCTTCTGACGTCAGATGTGTGTGGGTTGCACACTGCGTTAATCCATTCTCACACTGCTATAAAGAAATACCTGAGACTGGGTAATTTATAAAGAAAAGAGGTTTCATTGGCTCACGGTTCTGCAGGTTGTAAAGAAAGCATCTGCTCAGCTTCCGGGGAGGCCTCAGGAAACTTACAGTTATGACAGAAGGTAAAGGGGAAGCAGGCACGTCTTACGTGGCCAGAGCAGGAACAAGAGAGAGAGTGAAGGGGTAGGTGTCACACACACATTTTTTTTTTTTTTTTGAGATGGAATTTTGCTCTTGTCACCCAGGCTGGTGTGCAATGGCACAATCTCGGCTCACTGCAACCTCCGCCTCCCAGATTCAAGCAATTCTCCTATCTCGGCCTCCCAGGTAGCTGGGTTTACAGGCTTGTGCCACCATGCCTGGCTAATTTTTTTTTTTTTTTTTAGATGGAGTCTCACTCCGTCTCCCAGGCTGGAGTACAGTGGCTCGATCTCGGCTCACTGCAACCTCTGCCTCCCAGATTCAAGTGATTCTCCTGCCTCAGCCTCCTGAGTAGCTGGGTTTACAGGGGCGCACCACCACACCCGGCTAATTTTTTTATTTTCAGTAGAGACGGGGCTTCACCATGTTGGTCAGGCTGGTCTTGAATTCCTGACCTCGTGATCCACCCGCCTCGGCCTCCCAAAGTACTGGGATAACAGGCGTGAGCCACTGCGCTCAGCCAATTTTTTGTATTTTTAGTAGAGCTGGGGTTTCACCATGTTGGTCAGCTGGTCTCAAACTCCAGACCTCAGGTGATTCACCTGTCTCGGCCTCCCAAAGTGCTGGGATTACAGGCATGAGCCACCGCACCCGGCCAGTTTCACACACTTTTAAACCACCAGATCTCACAAGAACTCCCTCTCACGACGACAGAACCAAGGGGGATGGTGTTAAACCATGTTAAATCATGAGAAACCACCCTGACAATTTAATCACCCCCCACCAGGCATCAGCTCCAACACTAGGGTTTACAATTTGACATGAGATTTGGGCAGGGACACAGATCCAAACCATATCACACACCAAACAAGCAATCAGTTCTACTGCAGACACCAGCTGGGTGTCCTCTGATTTTTTTTTTTTTTTTTGAGACGGAGTCTCACTGTCGTCCAGTGAGATTGCAGTGGTGCAATCTTGGCTCACTGCAACCCCTGCCTCCCGGGTTCAAGTGATTCCTCTGCCTCAGCCTCCGGAGTACCTGGGGTTACAGGTGCCTGCCACCACGCCCAGCTAATTTTTTGTGTTTTTGGTACAGACGGAGTTTCACCGTATTAGCCAGGATGGTCTCGATCTCCTGACCTTGTGATCTGCCCTCCTCGGCCACCCAAAGTGCTGGGATTACAGTCTTGAGCCACCGCGCCCGGCCATGTCCACTGATTTAATCCAATTATAACATCATCTACCTGGAGATAGCGTCACATCTCACGGGGTGAGGGCTGCATCCCACAAGACTGCCCCTGACTTCCGATGCCAATTGCAAGCCCCAGGTTTTTTTACCTGCACTTCTAACCAACTGGCTAATAAATCAGGGTTCTCCCGGCCCTGCCCTTGGGTGACATTAACTTGCTAGAGTGGCTCACAGAACTCAGAGAAACATGTTTACCAGTTTGGTTATTATAAAGGATATTTCAAAGGCCAGGCACGGTGGCTTATGCCTGTAAACCCAGCACTTTGGGAGGTCGAGACGGGCAGATCACTTGAGGTCAGGAGTTTGAGACCAGCCTGGGCAACATGGTAAAACCCCCATCTCTACAAAAAATACAAAAATTAGCCAGGCATGGTGGCATGCACTGTAATTCCAGCTACTCGGGAGGCTCAGGAGTTTGAGACCAGCCTGACTAACATGGTGAAACCCCGTCCCTACTAAAAAATACAGAAATTAGCCGGGCGTGGTGGCATGCGCCTGTAATCCCAGATACTTGGGAGGCCAAGGCATGAGAATCGCTTGAACCCAGGAGGCAGAGTTTGCAGTGAGCTAAGATCACACCACTGCACTCCAGCCTGGGTGACAGAGCAAGACTCTGTCTCAAAACAACAACAACAAAGAAAACCAAAGTGATCCACCCACCTTGGACTCCCAAAGTGCTGGGATTATAGACATGAGCCACCATGCCCTGCCTTTTTTTTTTTTTTTCAGACAGGATCTCTCGCTCTGTTACCCAGGCTGTAGTGAAATAGTGTGATAATGTGATCACAGCTTCCTGCATCCTTGACCGCCCCCAGCCTCAAGTGTTCCTTCCACCTCAGCCTCCTGAGTGGCTGGGACTACAGGTGACCGCCATCATGCCTGGCTAATTTTTGTTTTTTCTTTTTTTAGAGATGGGGTTTTGCCATGTTGTCCAGGTTGGTCTTGAACTCCTGGGCTCAAGTGATCCTCCTCCCTTGGCCTCTCAAAGTGCTGAGATTACAGGCTATGAGCCTCTGTGCCTGGCCCCTAAACTTTTTCCAACCCACCATTCCACCATGCTCCGTGTATCAGCTCTCCATACTTTATGACTTCATTGCTTTAGTCACTGTTCTGCTACTTGCAGCCTAGGGCATTCCTAATGACACATGGTCCACATTAGACTTTACAGATAGCCTCATTTTCTACTAGTTTTGCCTATGAGGAAGACAGCCCTAGAAAGTGACAGCTAGATTGAGACCTAAAGAGTAAGAATTAGCCAAGATGAAGTAGTGGGAGGGAGGAAGATGGATGTTGCAAAAGGAAGGGAGTGTTTGTTGAAATGATCAGAAGTTGGAAAAATCTTTTAAGCATTTTTCTTTTCTTTAGAGATGGGTTCTCTGTCACCCACATTGGAGTGTAGTGGTATGGTCATAGCTCAGTGTAGCCTTGAACTCCTGACCTCAAGGGATCCTCCTCTTCAGCCTCCTGGAATTACAGGCATGAGCCATCATGCTTGGCTAATTTATTTTTAAATTTTTTGTATAGACCTGGCCACGTGTGAGGGCTCATACCTGTAATCCCAGCATTTTGGGAGGCCTAGGTGGGTGGATCATCTGAGGTCAGGAGTTGGAGACCAGCCTGGCCAACATGGAGAAACCCTGTCTGTACTGAAAATACAAAAATTTGCTGGGTGTGCTGGTGCACACCTATAATTCCAGCTATTTGGGAGGCTGAGGCAGGAGAATTGCTTGAACTCAGGATGTGGAGGCTGCAGTGAGCCAAGATTGCACCACTGCACTCCAGCCTGGGTGACAGACCAATACTCTGTCTCAAAAAATAAAAATAAAAATAAATTAAATAAATAAAAATAAATTCTTTGTAGAGACCGGGTCTTGCTACATTGCCTAGGCTGGTCTCGAACTCCCAGTCTCAAGCAATCCTCTCACTTCAGCCTCCCAAGTAGCTGGGATTACAGGAGTGAGCCACCACATCCGACCCTTTTAAGCATTTTTTTTTTTTTTTTTTTGGCAGGCTTACTCCAGGTGCAATGTGGAAAATAGAGACAGGGGAACATTTAAGCGCAGTTTAGGAGCAATGAGTGGAGCAGAACCAGGATGGAAGAAGTAAGCATGAGGAGAAGCAGGCAGAAGTCAGGGGTGTTTGGAGGTGCTGATGGGGGGCAGAAAGGAGCCTAGGAGAAAGAAGAGTATTAGGCTTGGTGGGGGTGGTCATGCATCCTAAAATAATTTTGAGGTCTTCACAGGGGGATATTGAAGTGGCTGTTAGAGAGATAGGGTTTGAAGTCAGGAGAGAGACATAGGTTAAGACATAGGTTTGGGTTCATGTTACAGAGACCCAGGACGACAGTGATTTATACAAAAGAAAGTGTTAGTTCTCTGTCGTGTAATTACACTGAGGCAGGCAGTTCAGGTGTCCTGTGCTGGCTGCAGGGATTCAAGCTCCTTCCATCTCCTGGCTCAGCCAACCCTGGCATGCTGCCGTTGTCCATGATATCTCACCATCATGTCTGGATTCTAAATAGCAGGAGAGAGAAAGAGGAGTGGGGAAGAGGAGCCAGAACCAGTTGCATGGATGCCCTTAGCCACAAGGGGGTCTGGGAAATGCAGCTTTTCCTCTGGGTGGCCACAAGCCCAGTTAAAAATAATGGTGCTGGCAACGTGCATGGCACACGGCTGGAATCCCAGCACTTTGGGAGGCTGAGGCAGGTGGATCACTTGAGCCCAGGAGCTCAACACCAGCCTGGCCAACATAGTGGGACCCCATCTCTACAAGAAATACAAAAAATAGCCAGGTGTCATGGCACATGTCTGTAGTCCCAGCTACTTGGAAGGCTGACACAGGAGGATTACCTGAAAGTGAGGAGGTCAAGGCTGCAGTGAGCTGTGATTGCACCACTGCACTCGTCTTGGCAACAGAGCAAGACTCTGTTTCAAAAAAGAAAGAAAAAAAGAAGAGGTTGTATTAGTCCATTCTCATGCTATTAATAAAGACATACCCGAGACTGGGTAATTTATAAAGGAAAGAGGTTTAATTGACTCACAATTAAGTATGGCTGGGGAGGCATCAGGAAACTTATACAGTCATGGCAGAAGGGGAAGCAAAAACATCCTTCTTCATGTGGCGGCAGCAAGGAAAAGTGCTGAGCCAAAGGAGCAAAAGTCCCTTATAAAGCCATCAGATCTTGTGACAACTTTATCACCAGAACAGCATGGAGGTAACCACCCTCATGATTCAATTGCCTCCTACGACACGTGGGGATACAGCCAAACCATATCAGAGGTAGTGCTATTCCTTTAAAATAATGCGAGAATAGATCTAGGAGGACCACATCTGCCACCGCTGGAGATGGAGACATGGGGAACATCAGGGTATGAGATAGTAATTGGGGCCAGGCGCAGTTGGCTCACGCCTGTATCCCAGCACTTTGGGAGGCTGAGGCGGGTGGATCACTTGAACTCAGGAGTTCAAGACCAGCCTGACCAACATGGTGCAACCCCATCTCTAGTAAAAAAAAATACAAAATTAGGCTGGGCGCGGTGGCTCATGCCTGGAATCCCAGCACTTAGGGAGGATGAGGTGGACGGATCACCTGAGGTCCGGAGTTGAAGACCAGTCTGGCCAACATGGTGAAACCCCGTCTGTACTAAAAATATAAAAATTAGCCGGGCATGGTGGTGGATGCCTGTAATCTCAGCTACTTGGGAGGCAGAGGCAGGAGAATCGCTCAAACCTGGGAGGCGGAGATTGCAGTGAGCTGAGATCATGCCATTGCACTCCAGCTTGGGCGACAAAAGCGAGACTCCGTCTCAAAAAAAAAAAATAAAATAGCTGGACATGGTAGTGTGCGCTTGTAATCCCAGAGACTTGGGAGGCTGAGGCAGGAGAATTGCTTGAGCCCAGGAGGCGGAGGTTGCAGTGAACTGAGATCATGCCATTGTACTCCAGCTTGGGCAACAAGAGTGAAACTCCGTCTCAAAAAAAAAGAGATAGCAATTGGAGCCTTGGGCCTAGGTGAAATTTCCCAGAAGGAGTGCAGAGGGAGGGGAAAAGCAGCCCAGGACTGACCTTTGAGAAGGCATGCCGCCAGCAAAGAGAGTCAGAGAGCACGGCTGGGTAGCGGGGAGGGAAAGCAGGTGTGTGTAAAGCCACAGAGCCATGGGGAGAGAACATTTCCAGAAGTGTCCAGTGCTGTCTGCAGGAGGCTTGAAAGTGTCCTTTGATTAAAACAGCAGGTCATGATTTTGATGGCAGTCGTTTCTGTAGAGTGCTGGAAGCCCATGGAAGCCTGCAACCAGTTGCAGAGGGAGGGGAAGATGAGAAAGTGTAGACTGCTAGGACAGACGGCTCTTCCCAGACGTTTGGCTGTGAAGGAGGTGAGAAGTCGTGCTGTGTGTGAGGGGTAGAGAATGAGTTGTTGGAGCTGGACATGACTCACCCCTGTAATCCCTGCACTTTGGGAGGCTGAGGAGGGAGGATCACTTAAGGCTAGGAGTTTGAGACCAGCCTGGGCAACATGGTGAGACCCTATGCCTACAAAAGTCAAAATACTAGTTAGATCTGGTGGCATGTGCCTGTAACCCCAGGTACTTGGGAGGCCAAGGCAGAAAGATGGCTTGAGCCCAGGAGATTGAGGCTGCAGTGAGCCGTGACTGCACCACTGCACTCCAGCCTGGGTGACAGAGTGAGACCCTATCTCAGAAAAAAGAAAAAAAAAAAAAAAGAGTTGTTGGTTGGCTGGTTGTTTTAAGGTGGGAGAGATGTCAACTTATTTATATGGGGAAATAGCCTTTTGGGTGATAGTGTGAATGGAATAACCTGACAAGCATGTCCTCACCACTATGCATCTAGAAGCGCTGCATAAAACCAAACAAACATCCTTTAAAACATGCAGCTTAGTTGCAAAAAAGAAAGGGAAATCCCCAGGAGGCACGAAGAGGAAACTGAACACTAGAGCTGTGCAACTTGCTGGGTGGCTGTGATCTTGGCATTGAAGGGCCTAGGGCTTTACACCTACCTAGAGATTGGAGATAAGGCCTTGTCTGGGGAACTGAAAACATAAACACTAATAGAAAGCTTGTACCCTTAAGGGGTGACATCCTTGGTGAAAGAGTAAACTAGGAAAAAAATCTGCCTCCAGTTCAGGGAGCATAAAAGGACCTTGTCTGTTTCACTCTGAGATTTGGTGACAATAAATGGTCTCTTTTGAGAATTCATAACCAAAGGCTTGGCCTCACTTGGACTTGGGGTTCAAGTTTACATCATCTGCATGGTCTGGGAAGCCCAAATGTCAACAAATAATATAGTCCAGGCCAGGTGTGGTAGCTCGTGCCTATAATCCCAGCACTTTGGGAGGCTGAGGTGGGAGGATCACCTGAGGTTAGGATTTCAAGACCAGCCTGGCCAACATGGTGAAACTACGTATCTACTAAAAATACAAAAATTAGCCGGGCATGTTGGCAGGAGCCTGTAATCCTAGATACTCGGGAGGCTGAGGCAGGAGACCTCGGGAGGTGGAGGTTGCTTGACCCTGGGAGGTGGAGGTTGCAGTGAGCTGAGATCGCACCACTGCACTCCAGCCTGTGCAACAGAGCAAGACTCTGTCTCAAAATAATAATAATAATAAATAATAATAATAATAATAATAACAATGTAGTCCAGGGTTGGTAACACCCATGAAGAGCTCTTGGCAGAAGCAGATGTGAAACCTCTTTGAACCTTGGTGGGCATGTGCATTCCCACTGATAACACCCTGCTGAAGCTGAATTCACAGCTCAAAATTACAAAACATAAGAGGAAACAATCTTCATGAATGACAGTAAGCAGACACAGCATATAGCAGGATTAGCTCCAACTCCAGAACTCCAGAGAATAGCATTATTTGGCAAAGAACCATACAGCAAGTGTGGTTTAAATTTCTAAAGATATAAAAGAAGACATCAATATGAGAAAGAAATAAGATGGTGTTAAAAATGAGTGGGATTCCGGTCAATGAATGCGTCTAAAAAAAAAAGTGAGCAGGAGAGGTTTAAAGTAAAAAGAAGAAACAGTAAAATGAATGTGTCTGTTAATCTATGAACTTATTCATTCCCCATTCATTAGGCTCCTATAGTGTTTTAGACCATGTTCTGGGTCTGGAAATATAAAGATGACTCTGCAGATAGCAAGTTAGACTCTGCCTCAGGAAGATCGCATGCAGAAATCCATGTATCAATGCATCCATTTATCTATACATCCACTCATCCACACATCCATTCTCTTCACCTATCCATTCTCCCATCCATCCATCCATCCATCCATCTATTCATCCATCCATCTGTCCGTCTGTCCATCTATCCATCCATCCATTTATTCATCCATCCATCCATCCATTCATCCATCCATCTAGTCTTCCATCCATTCATTTATTTATCCATCCATCCATCCATCCATCCATCCAACCGTCTTTCATTTTACTCACTGTGGGGGAAAGAAAGAGAGATCTGACTGTTACTGTGTCTCTGTAGAAAGAAGAAGACATAAGAAACTCCATTTTGTTCTGTACTAAGAAAAATTCTGCCTTGAGATGCTGTTAATCTGTAACCCTAGTCCCAACCCTGTGCTCGCAGAAACATGTGCTGTGTTGACTCAAGGTTTAATGGATTTAGGGCTGTGCAGGATGCACCTTGTTAAAAATGTGTTTGCAGGCAATATGCCTGGTAAAAGTCATTGCCATTCTCCATTATCGAGTATCTAGGGACAGAATGCACTGCGGAAGGCTGCAGGGACCTCTGCCCAAGAAAGCCTGGGTATTGTCCAAGGTTTCTCCCCACTGAGACAGCCTGAGATATGGCCTTGTGGGAAGGGGAAGACCTGACTGTCCCCCAGCCCAACACCGTAAAGGGTCTGTGCTGAGGAGGATTAGTGAAAGAGGAAGGCCTCTTTGCCGTTGAGATAAGAGGAAGGCATCTGTGTCCTGCTCGTCCCTGGGAACGGAATGTCTCGGTGTAAGGCCCGATCATACATTCTATTTACTGAGATAGGAGAAAACTACCTTATGGCTGGAGGTGAGACATGCTGGCGGCAATACTGCTCTTTACTGCTCTGAGATGTTTGTGTAAAGTCAAACATAAATCTGACCTACGTGCACATCGAGGCACAGCACGTTTCCTTAAACTTATTTATGACACAGAGACCTTTGCTCACGTTTTCCTGCTGACCCTCTCCCTACCATTACCCTATAGTCCTGCCATATCCGCCTCACTGAGATAGTAGAGATAGTGATCAATAAATACTAAGGGAACTCAGAGACCAGTGCCCGCACAGGTCCTCCGTATGCTGAGCGCTGGTCCCCTAGGCCCACTGTTCTCTCTCTATACTTTGTCTCTGCATCTTATTTCTTTTCTCAGTCTCTTGCCCCACCTGACAAGAAATACCCACAGGTGTGGAGGGGCTGGCCCCCTTCACTCATTCTCAAATGTCACAGCTAGAAAAGTCCCAATAGAACATCTTGTTCAACTTTCAGCTGTCTTTTTGTACATGAAAAAAGCACATGAGGCCCCATAATACAAAACTCTGTTTTCTGAAGTCTCTAAGTGAATAAGGTGATGGAGGCAGATCATGAACTGGGGCCTTGTCCCTGCATTTCTTCCACACTGCAGTGCCTTTCCTGAACCCATGGCATGGAAGCATCTGACCTCTGAACACCTGCCTGTATCTTCTGTTTCTCTCAGGTCTGTTCACTCCTCGTGGGCAGAGTCCCCACAACCCAGTGCTGTCAACTGATGGTGATGATAAGGAATGTCATTACCCAGCTCATGAGTGATAGAGATGGGACAGGGCCCTGGTCTCTCCCTGGTGTCAGTTTTGTGTCCATATCTTAGCTCACCCCTACCTTTGTTCCCTACTCTGCCGCTAGAGAGACTGTGAGCTCCTTGAGGGCAGGGCCCAGGTCTTATTCCTCCCCTCCCAGTGCCCAGCTCAGAAACAGTGCTTAGGATGCTGGCCAGTGACTACACCTGGGAGAAGAGACTGGACTAGGCTCTCGGTCCCTCTGCCTGGGGTTTCTGGCTGCTCTGTCAACTTCCAACATCCCAAAAATCAGAGGGGAGGTCAAGGGATTGGATGAGAGGCTCCAAGTGCTCCTTAGCCCACTGTGCAGGGAGAAGTGAGTGTTTCCTGGCTGTGGGTGAACTTCGTGGACAGCATTAAACAACACAGCATCCCGCCCCCTGTGCGGGGCTGTCTGTCTGCCTTGGCACTTCCAGAAGGTCTCATTGTGGTGCTAGAGTATCTAACACTTTCTGACTTGCAGATCAACATTCCCTTTTCTTGTTAACAAAGAGCAGTGCCGGGCGCGGTGGCTCACACCTGTAATCCCAGCACTTTGGGAGGCTGAAGCGGGCAGATCATGAGGTCAGGAGTTCGAGACCAGCCTGGCCAGCATGGTAAAACCCTGTCTCTACTAAAAATACAAAAATTAGCCAGGCATGGTGGCAGGCGCCTGTAATCCCAGCTACTTGGGAAGCTGAGGCAGGAGAATCGCTTAAACCCAGAGGCGGAGGTTGCAGTGAGCGGAGATCGCGCCATCACACTGCAGCCTGGGCAACAGAGCGAGACTCCGTCTCAAAAACAACAACAAAAACAAAGAGCAGAGTTTTAGGTCAATGCTTCCAGCAGGGAACAGAATTTAGATCTTAACAATTTTGTTTACATTGTATTTATTTTCATGTTTTACCTTCTATTGATGGCAAATGAGACTGGTTTTCCATTTACAGAAGTGATACAAAAGATTCCTGTTGCAATAATTTCATTAAGTGAATAATGAGCCAATTTAAAGAAAAATATAAAGCAAATAATTGTACAGATGGTAAACTAATATGGCAAAATCACTAATATTCAAGGCTGAAGTTTGGCCGGGCATGGTGGCTCATGGCTGTAATCCCAACACTCTGAGAGATGGGGATGAGTGGCTCTCTCGAGCCCAGGAATTAAAGACCAGCCTGGGCAACATAGCAAGACCCTGTCTCTAAAAAAAAAAAATAGCCAGGTGTGGTGGTACATGCCTGTAGTTCCACCTACTAGGGAGACTGAGGTGGGAGGATCACTTAAGCCCAGGAGTTCAAGGCCGCAGTGAGCTGAGATTGTGCCACTGTAGTCCAGCCTGGGCAACAGAGTGAGACCCTGTTTCAAAAACAAAAAAAAGTGGCCGGGTGCAGTGCTCATACCTGTAATCCCAGCATTTTGGGAGGCTAAGGCTGCTGGATCACTTGAGCCCAGGAGTTGGAAACCTGCCCAGGCAGTATGGTGAGACCGTGTCTCTACAAAAAAAATACAAAAATTAGCTGGGCGTGGTGGTATGCACCTGCAGTCCCAGCTATTCTAGAGGTTGAGGTGGGAGGATCGCTTGAGCCTAGGAGTTCGAGGCTGTAGTGAGTTGAGATTGTGCCACTGCACTCCAGTCTGGGTGACAGAGTTGAGATTCTGTCTCAAAAAAAAAAAAAAAAAAAAAAAAAAGACAAAGTTTGGAAAATTAAACCCCCAGGGAAATGGAAACTACATCTGCTGCTCACCCACCTGCCTGCCTCTCCTAAAGGGAAGATTGGGTACTTGGGGTCCCATTTCTGTAGGGTGGAGCATTATAAGTAAGCCTAGCTTGTGGCAAATCTGTCTCTCTGGACACTCCAGCAAGCTGGAAGGGACGATGATCAGAGGTCACAGTTTGGGAGTTGCCCTGCTCTAGGACAACGCTCCTCTCCACATTGGATGAAACTCAGTTTCCCCTGGCCATGGCCTTCCTCACCATGGAGTGGTGAGGGTCCGAGGCTGAGACGTGTGCAGATGGAGGAGAATGGGCAGAGGAGCCTGTGGGTTTTCTCTGACTCTAGGTCCCCACTCCAGCAAGACAGCGCCGCTGCAGCTTGGCCCAGCAAGTTCCTCCTTGCAGTTTGGGGGTCAAAGCCACAGTTCATATGAAACAAAATGTTCCTCTGCCTGGTCTGGTCCTCTCTTTGTGTATTTTCCTAGAGGACCTCACAGTGGGTGAGTGGCCAAGGAGAACAGGATTTGTGGCTCTGGGAAACTGGATTCCTGTCATCTCCTGCCAGCTGTCATCGCCACACCGAGGCTGTTCAGCACCGCAGGACCCGTTCTCTTTGGTATTGGTGGCTTCGGTAAACACTGAAAGAAGGTGGAGGTGGCTGGTCGATGCCATTTCCTGACTATCTAGTACCTTGGGTTCTTCATCTGGATGCGATCTTGAAGGCTTCTGGCCTGGCATTGGCTCCACCCCCAGGTCTCTGAGCCACAGCCCAGGTAGCTGAGCAGAGGCACTGCTGGGCTTCCCCTAGTCCACATAGCCTGGCCACCACCCAGACCCGGGGAGGGGGACTCCAGGTGGAAGGAGCCTGGGAAGGGCATCTTCGCTGGGGCAGTCTCAATCCTAATGCTGGATCCTGGGGTCCCCGGTCCCACTGAGGCAAGGCCTGCCTCGGGGATCTCTGGGGAACCCTGGGGATTCAGAACCCCACACTGGTCCGGCCTTCACGCTTCCAGAAAGCTGAGATCTGCTCCAAGGTGACCCGTGGCTGGAGGCCCCACTCAGGATCCGGGCTCCCTGGCCGCTGCCTCCTGGCCTGGGGGCTCCCAAACTGGACGCTGGCCTCTGGCCTCTGCTCGGGTTCAGCCCAGCTCACCAGGCCTGTGGCGGGGGGCCTCCCCTCCCAGGGCTGGGGCCCCCAGAAGGTGCTCCGGGCTGGGACCTCCAGTACGGTCTGGGGGCCCAAGTTGCTGGGAGCAGAATTTGGGGCTGAGGGGGCAGGTGGGGCTGTTGCTCGGGCCTCCAAAGTGCCCACCTGGGTGGGAGGCTCAGGGGCCCGATCTGTCAGCAGGGGGACCGCAGAGCCATACCAGTCCTCAGAGCGCTCTCGGGCGGTGCCCATGGGCTCAATCCACAGCTCTCCTCCTGGGCGCCACACCAGGGTGGGTGCACGGTGGCTGGGGTCTGGGCGGAGAGCACGGCGGAACAGGCGTTCAGCCAACACAGCGGTGGTGAGGATGAAGAGCGCAGCCAGGGTGGCCAGGACCAGCATGATGGGGATGCAGGGCCCACAGGGCAGTGAGGGCCATGGGGCTGCTTCCCATGCGGGGGGCCCCTCCACGCGCCCAGAGGGCGGCTCTGGAGTCAACGGCATCTGAGAGACACAGGGGTGAGAAGAGGAAGTAAATGAGGCAGAGGGGGCACAACCAAGATGAGAGAGAGGCAGCAGGTGTCCAGGAAAGCCTGGGAGAAGGGCTGGGCATGGGGGCTCATGCCTGGAATCCCAGCACTTTGAGAGGTCGAGGCGGGAGGATCACTTGAGCCCAGGAGTTCAAGACCAGCCTGGACACACAGTGAAACCTCATCTCTAAAAATAATTTAAAAACTAGCTGGGTGTGGTGGCTCACACCTGTAGTCCCAGCTACACAGGAAGCTGAGGTGGGAGGATTACTTGAGCCCAGGAGTTTGAAGCTGCAGTGACCCCAGATTGCACCACTGTCCTCCAGCCTGGGCAATAGAGCAAGACCCTTTCTCAAAAATGAAAAAGAACATTCTGGAGAGACAGAGAAGCAAGAGGGACCAGAAAGGGTAAGCGTGAGCCAGGTGGGGTGGGAGGACAGGCAGCCTACCTCGGGGCACAGCCAGGCCCTCCTGCCTGGCTCTCCAGGCCTTTCCAGAATCCCCATTTCCCTCCCAGACCCCAGGGTGCCTCAGACAAGAAAGGTCTCAAGGGCTTCTTTCCTCCCCACTCGGCCCCCTCAAGTCTTGCTCAGACCTAGAGAGGAAGTGGTGGGTGAAGAAATGAGAACCTCCCCTCCCACTGGCTCCCCTGCGTGTGTCTCCCCCACCGCCTGCCGCCAGCACCTCCGCTGGCCCCTTGAGGCTCCTTCGCCCCTCACCATTCTCCTCGGACTTGATCTTGCTCTCATAGGCTCCACGGAATCTGCTGCCGGGCCGGGCCGGGCCAGGCCTCCGGAGGCGCCTCTGCACCCCTCCTGGGCTCCCCAGCTTTGCCCAGGCTCTGGCCTGTCTCTATCTCTCGTTTGTCTCTGCACACCTCTCTGTCCCCCACATCCTCCATCTGCAGGGGGCCTCCTGCACCCCTCAACTCACCTTGGGTCAGTCCCTGGGCTCCTCTCCCTCCTAGAGCCACTCTTCCTGGTGCTGGACTAAGAGGTGCAGGCTTGGAGGGTGCAGGGCGGTCCGCCTCTCAGACGTAGAGGCCCGGCCTCGGATGAAGGCGGAAGGGAGGGCACCGCCTGTTGCTGGGCAACTGTGCCCCAACTCGTCTGCCCCTGGGGAGTGTTTGTTTCCAAAGCAACCCAAGGGGATGTGGTCACTGCGGTGAGGAGGCTTTTCCTGGGGTAAGGTGGGGCTGGAATGGGCAATGGTTCTGTTGAACTTAGTGTCACCCCATAGCCAGGCCCTGAGCCCCAGAACATTCACCGAAAAGCTGAGAAAGAGGACGCCGGGGCCAGGCACAGTGGCTCACCCCTGTAATCCCAGCATTTTGGGAGGTCAAGGTGGGCAAGTCACCTGAGGTCAGGAGTTCGAGACCAGCCTGCCAACATGGCGAAACCCCATCTCTACTGAAAAATACAAAAATTAGCTGGGCATGGTGACGGGCACTTGTAATCTCAGCTGCTCAGGCGGCTGAGGCAGGGAGAATCGCTTGAACCCGGGACTCGGAGGTTGCAGTGAGCTGAGATCGTGCCACCACACTCCAGCCTGGGCAACAGAGTGAGACTCCGTCTTAAAAAAAAAGAAAAGAAAAGAAAAGAAAAAGAAATAGGACACTGGGACTTTAGCCCGTACATTCCCAGAGAACCATGGTGCCTCCCCCGTTCCTCCTGGGAGGATGCCCCACCCCATCCTGCCTTGTCTTATCCACGGTGCCTCCCCAGATCTGCTCCTGCCATGCAGCCCCCACAGGCACCCCCTGCTTGGCCAGCTTGCTTCACACCTTTTTTTTTTTTTTCTGGTAGAGATGGGCTCTTGCTATGTTGCCCAGGCTGGTCTCAAGCTCCTGGCCTCAAGAGATCCTCCTGCCTCAGCCTCCCAAAGTGCTGGGATTACAGGTGTGAGCTACCACACTGGCCCCTGCCTCATACTTTTAATTAACATAAGTCTCTCTCTCTTCAGACCATTTAGCCCCCATTTTGGTTGGAAAATATCAGTGAGGTGAGGCTTGGGTAACAAAAATGTCAAGCCTCTGAGAGGAGTCCAGGGTATAAAAACAGGCGTGGGCCTGTTTCCAAAACCCTGACCATCCTCATGTCTGTCCCTCTTTCCTGCTGCTGAGGGTGGGAGGAGCCTGGAGCAGAGTGTGACAAGATGTCATCAGGCTCTGGAGTCCAGGTGACTTTCTGAGATTCTCTAGTTTGACTCATCCACAGATGACAAAAGTAAGGCTTAAAGAAAAGAGATTTCATGACCAAAGTCGCATGACCAATGTATGTGTGGGTGAGCATGTAGTGGCCAGGGTGGTGGAAGAATAGATAGAAATCCCTGGGCTGGG